>NC_000012.12:132224362-132571344 GCF_000001405.40 Homo sapiens | reverse complement strand
AAACCGCGTGTTCAGCTCTTGCCTGAGCAGCTCGTGATCTACAAGAGAAAAAGAGAGAGAGACAGAGAGGCACGTTGGCCGCGGGCTCCCGGCGGGGCGAGGCGGATAGTCACCTGGCACTCCCGGGGTCGGCAGGCCAAGCCGGGGTGGCCGCTCGCCACGTGCGGGCCCAGGGGTGCAGGTAAGAGAGGAGCCTGTGACCAAGTACCAATCAGAATTCCCGAATGAGGCTGGCAATACATGATTGGCTGGCTGAATGAGACCGCCAGGCTGGCATCTAGAGGCAAGAGAGAACACGGTGAGCCCCTCCCCGGGAGCCAGGGTCCAGCCACCCGCAGGCCAGCATCCTGGTCCCATCCCGGGACACGGGGCCGTCCCCAGCCTGGGCCGGGCTGACTCGGAGCCTCAGGAAGCGCCTGGGGGCCGAGGGAGGAAGCCTTCGCGGTCGGGGTTCCACTGGGATGGCGCCTGCTTGATGTGCGGCCCCCTCCTCCCAGGGCTCAGGACCCAGCAGGCTGCGGGGGAGGCCTGGCCCCAGGAGGGGAGGCCCGTGCGCCCGTCTCAGTGTGAACACGCGTCTGTACGTGCATGGGCACGTGTCCTGCCTGTCCCCGCACACAGATGGCCTGTGGCCCAGCAGAGACTCCTGGGGAAAGGCACACCTGGGGGAACCACTCAGAGAGGCGCGCAGGGTCCGCAGAGACCACAGCAGGTGGAGGGCCAGGCTGTGCGCCCCTCCCCGGTGGCCGTGTCCCCGCACCCCCCAACCCCTGCCCTGGGCGAGATTGTGGCCGAGACACCTACCGGCCGGGTGTCCTGGGAGGACCAGGCTGCTGGCCGGCAGCGCCGGGGGCGGGGGCAGTGTCGGGGGTGCGGCAAACATGGCCGCGTGGAGCTGGTGCTGCGCCTGGGACCGGAGCGCCAGGTGTGAGGTAGACAGGTGGGGGCCCGGCCCGTGTGGCGACAGCGACACGTGCTTCCCCAGGCCCAGGGGGGCGCTGCTGCTCCTGCTGCGGGACACGGGGCTCAGTGCCTGCCAGCCCGACCCCTGCAGAGCCCCCATCCTGAGACCACACAGGCCCCGTCCCCCGCGGGGACCCCACCTGAGGCCGTGCAGGCCGTTGGCTGCCGCCTGGCTGTGGCCCGCGAAGGCGCCCAGGGATGCAGGCACGTGTGTCGGGAGCAGGCCGCGGGGCTGCGGGGGTGGCGGCTGCGGGGTGTGGCGGTGCGGGGCGGGGGGTTCCTTCTTCACCAAGGGATTGGCGCGGGAGCCGGGCGGGGGCCCCGGGCAGGGCGCGGCATGGGGCGCGGGGCTGGCAGTGGGCAGGAAGCTCTCGGCGCTGAGCTCGCGGCTGCGCTCCAGGCCTGACACCTTGGGCACCGGCCCGGCCTTGGCCTCCGACTTCTCAAGCGCTGGGCCTGCAGAGAGAGGGTGGCTGCGTTCAGACCAGCAGGGCCTCGTCCCTGCCCCTCCTGTGGCCCAGGGAGCCCTGGTACGTGCCCGGTGCCCAGGCTATGTCTGGGCTCCGGCTATGCCCCCATTTCAGATGAGGAGGCAGGCACGGAGGCCACACAGCTAGCTGGATCTCACCCGAGGCTCCAGGCCCCGCCCGGCGGAGGGAGCTGGCTTGGGAGCCTGGGCCGTGGCCAGGGGTGGGGGTGGGTAGCCCACCTGCCCGAAGACGCATCACTGGCAGGGACAGGACAGGCCCTGCAAGAGTCAGTCCCTGGACAGGGGCTGCTATGACCTCATTTAACAGACAAAACCAAGATACATCAAGGACTTGGCCCAAGAGGGGAGCTGGATTTGAACACGGGAGCTAGGGCCTGTGTACCTAGGCCTCATGTTCACGGCCCCTGGATGTGCCCTCAGCCCAGGGCATGGGTCTGCCCCACCCCAACAGCAGCGCCCACAGCTGTAACCACCTTTTCTTTCTGGAACCCCCTGGTGGAAGGCTTGACCACTTCCTGGAAACTTGGGCAGGGACTGGGTGGGAGGCTTCCCCCTACTGTGACTGCCCGTCACCCGCCACCCTCAGCCCTGCTCCCTGGCCACCCTTCTGCCCACCTAGGCACGTCCCCCGCAGGTCCTGTGGGCCCCTCTGAGCCCCTGGGGCCTGCCCCCCCCACCCCCGCACACCCCAAACCCTCCTTTTCAGGCCCCTTCGGGCAGGTCTCAGATCAAGTCCCCAGGAGTCAGGAGAGGGCAGCGTCCATGTGGTGGAGCTCCTGTTGCCTGGGGTCAGGAGCTGCCACGGTCAGGGGGCCAGTTTCGCAGGAGAAACAAAACAACGTTCCACGTGCCGCATGCCTCCTGTTCACGTCCCCGGCAGACCCTGCTTCCTTCCTGAGGCCTTGGGACAGTGAGCCATGGCCCATGGGGACAGCTGCGGCCGTCCCTGCCCCATGTGACCATGGGGCCTGGTCTTCTGGGGCCTCAAGGAGTTCCTCCCAGGTGAAAACAGGCAGCAGGAAGCAGCCCCATCTTCACTCTTCACCTGGGGCCAGGCCTTCCACAGCAGCCACCACCCAGCGACCACAGAGAGGCTGCGCGGAGGACACAGGAGAGAGGGAGCCCACGGGCACTATCTCCACCGGCTTTCCCAGCTCCCTGGGTCAGCCCCACGGGACCTCTCCTCCTCTCTCCCACATCTCCAAGCCAGCCTTGCATATAGTAAGAGCTGTGATCAGGATGGAAAGAGGCTTGGGCCGCACAGACCTGGACTAGACCCCACGTGCGGGGCCTCCTGTGCCCTTCTAGCACCTCCAGCCCTCACTGGGACATTGTCCGTCCAGATGCGGCAGCAGCCGCGGCAGTGAGCTGAGTATTCAGCAGCCCCGCGTGACACCGTCTGCGAAGCCAGCTGCCTCTCCTACCGGGGCCCGTCCCATGCACGCCCCTTCTGACACCACCCCATCTGCGCCTGCTTTGCTGTGATGCTCTGATGTGAACAGGCTTCCAACTTGAAGGCAGGTGAAGGCCATGCCTGCTGAAGGGCAGTAGGGCCCATCCTTGCCGGCATTGGCAGGGCCTGTCCTGTCCAATCACATCCGGATGAAGCCGTCCCAGCAAAAGGGTGGTTCCAGCTGGAAACCCAGGGAGGCAGGAGCCGAGACCCCGTGGCCCTGCCGGAGATGCTGCCCGCCTAGGCCTTGGTGTGGGAATCCCAGGATCCCAGCGCCAGGGAGGCCCTAAGAAGACGCTGGGGCTATCCCCTCTGGAGAGGGTTGCTGGCCCGTGGACACCCCGCCCCACAGCTCACAGCCACAGGTTACGAAGGCCCCTAAGACGCCGGGGCTACCCCCTCTGGAGAGGGTTGCTGGCCTGTAGACACCCTGTCCCATAGCTCACAGCCACAGGTTTCGAAGGCCTGGCCTGGAACAGCAATCCAGGCCCCTCCACTGCACCACAGAGGCGCGCAGGCAGCAGAGCCAGGGAAGTGAGTCTCAGTCCCGTTTCTCTTTAACTCAGCAGCCACAGGTGATTGTGGTGCTCGTGGCAGGTGGCCCTTCAGTACCGAGCATCTGACCCCACGAACCTGGGGAGGGCCTGAGAGCACACATTCCTAACGGTTCCACTCTGGGAGCCGCTGCTACGAGCGGAGCCCAGGCCCTGCCTAGGGCTCAGTGGCTTCGTCTACTCTCCCCTGCTCCTGGGGGCTTCCCAGCAATCCCAGCACCCTGGTCCCACCCAGCTCTGCACCCCAGGTGCCAAGACCATCTCTCCCCTGACTTCAGGGGGATGTCCTGCCGCCAAGACGCAGGGCGCATTGTGTCTCTTCAGAGGCCCAGGAGCTGGGCCGAGGGGACCCACTTACCTTTATCGGTTCCCGGCGCAAAGAGCTTCTCAGAGCCCACGGATGCCTGGAGAGAGAGAAGGGGGGTCAGGGGCAGTCAGGGTGGTCCTCATCCTCGTGGACCTTGCGCCCAATGCCCACACACAAGTCTGGGTGGTTTTCCAGCAGGGCCAGGCGGGATGTGCCCTTGTGGATGCCCCCGTGTACGAGGTGAACACGCTTAGTCCTGAGCTCCACGCATGTGTATACATGTGCTCACGCTGGGGGCACACAGGCCCCTCTCTGCTCAGAGCAGCAGGCTTCCTAGAGGGGGTCTGAGTGAAGACGGGGTTTGTGGGGGGATCGGGAACCAAGGCTGCTGCTGGCGTGGACTGGGGGAGCGCCGGCATTTGGCAAATCTGCACCCCTCCCAGGAGAACCAGCACCAGTAGCTGTGGGCCCTGCTGGGCCCCCACCCATCAGGCCAGAGGCGGATGATGGAGAGCCCCGGGACACACCTCCTGCTCCCAACCACTGCCCAGCACAGGCGCCCTGGCGAAAGTGAGAGAACCAGGATACCGACCAGGCTGGACATGTGGGTCCGCAAGGCTGCAGGGCACCTCGCTATGCTCCCGGGCCGGCTGAGCTCCAGGCCTGGTGCCCAGCGCCCACAGGACACCGCGCTATGTGCCTGGGGTCGGCCGAGCTCCCAGCACCCACAGGACACTGCATTATGTGCTGGGGACTGGCCAAGCTCTAGGCCTGGTGCCCAGAGCCCACAGGACACCGCGCTATGTGCCTGCGGCCGGCCAAGCTCCCAGCAGCCACAGAATGCTGCGCTATGCTCCCAGGCCGGCCAAGCTCTAGGCCTGGTGCCCAGTGTTGCTGAGAGGCAGCTGAGTGTCCCAGGCTATGTGGGGGAGCTCTCAGAGGGTCAATCGCAGAAATTGCTCAGCCCCACTCCTCCATCTCTTCCAGAGAAACTCGCTCAACCACCTGCCACAAGCAGGTGGCGAGAATGTGGCCGCTGATGGGGAGGGGTGGACGGAGGGCCCCATGCTCTGGGGGACTTCACGGCAGTTTCCAGGAATGAGCTTCATAAGAATGACCTTAAATAGATATTTCCCTCCTAGTTTCTTCTTCTTCTTTTTTTTTTTTTTTTGATTAAACAGCTTCATTGAGTTGTGGATTCAACGTTTCTGTCTATCAAGAATTCACATGTTTAAATCCTCACCCCCAGGTGATGGGATCAGGAGGTGGAAGGTGATGAGGTCATGAGGTCTTGAGTGTGGAGCCTCACGAGCGGCATCAGTGCCTTATAAAGGGCCCCAGAGCCACCTAGCCCCTTCCACCATGTGAGGACGCAGCGGAGAGGCACCCTCTATGGACCAGGAAGCCCTCACAGGGACTCTGCCATGCCTTGACCTGCTTGCGGCCTCCAGCACTGTGAGCTGTGAATGTCTGCTGCAGAACTGGGCCAGAGCAGCCCGCACGGACTAAGACTTGAGATGTAAATCACATACCATCCAACTCACCGTCTAACGCTTACAATTCACTAGCGTTTAGTATGTTCACAGTGATGCACCTGTCACCACGATCCATTACAGAACATTATCATCACCCCAAAAAGAAACCCTGACTCCTAACCGTCACCCCCAACCCTGGGAAACCACAAATCTGTCTGTCTCTACAGAGCCGTCTTTTCCGAACTTCCATGTGAACACTGTCAGGCGGCACGGACCTACTGTGATTGGCTTCTCTCACTGCACGGCTTTTGACGTTCACCCACACTGCAGTGTGTACCCTGGAGAGATGGGGGACACTCTGTGTGTGGAGGAAGCAACTGCAAAGAAGGAGTGTTATGTGGATCTGGACAATGTGCCTGTGCTTGGGCACGTACACACACTCAGGCACGTACACACACTCGGGTACACGTACATGGGCACAAACTCAAGTACGTACACACAGGCACATACACACACTCGGGTACGTACACACACGGATACATGAACATGGGCACACTCGGGTACGTGTACATGAGCACACTCGGGTACGTGTACATGAGGACAGTTGGGTACGTGTACGTGGGCACACTCGGGTTCACGTACAGGGACACACACATTCTCGGGTGTGTGTACCTGGGTGGCAGTGTGTGCATGGATGTTTGTTTACATGAGCATCACATGTGTGTTTACGTAGGTGCCCGCGTGTCGGCGTCTATGTTGGTGAAATTGTAGAATGTGTCCACCAGGAGAGAGCAGTCCCCTCTGGGAATGGCGGGGGTGGAGGGCACAAGAGACTAGGCTTAAACTCATACTTTTAAGTTTGTATAAAGGAGACTGCATTCTGGTAACACTTGTGTAACTGAAATGCAACAACGACAAACATAATCAACAGCTTCACTGCTACCAGGGAGGGGCCGGCCAGGCTTGCCTAGTGAGCACAGCTGTGAGAGACCAGGGCGGGGGGCATCTGACTCGGAGGCTGGGTGCTGGGAGATGGGGGTTCTGTGCTTGTCTGTCCCCCTGATCTGTAACACGACCTGTGACTCTTAGGGTTAAAACGATAAAAAGGGACTTAGGAATTTGGCTGGTGAAGCGTGCGAGACCCACAGCTCTCCAACCTACTAAAACCTAGGAGGGCGGCCGGCCGCGGCTCACGCCTGAAATCCCAGCACTGCGGGAGGCCGAGGCCGGCGGATCACGAGGTCAGCAGATCGAGACCATCCTGGCCAACACGGTGAAACCCCGTCTCTACTAAAAATACAAAAAATTAGCCGGGCGTGGTGGCGGGCGCCTGTAGTCCCAGCTACTCGGGAGGCCGAGGAGGGCGGATCACGAGGTCAGGAGATCGAGACCATCCTGGCTAACACGGTGAAACCCCGTCTCTACTAAAAATACAAAAAATTAGCCGGGCGTGGTGGCGGGCGCCTGTAGTCCCAGCTACTCGGGAGGCTGAGGCAGGAGAATGGCGTGAACCCGGGAGGCGGAGCTTGCAGTGAGCTGAGATCGTACCACTGGACTCCAGCCTGGGCGACAGAGCGAGACTCCGTCTCAAAAAAAAAAACCTTGGAGGGCGAGGGCAGGGGCCCTCCCAGAGCCAGGAGGCTCACCAGGCGTAGCCAGCCCAGAGGGGCACTGGTGCTGGGAAGAGACCTGCTGTCCCCATGCCACAGCACACGTTTCCTATCACCCCAACCAAAATCCCAAGCAGGGATCTGGAACACGTGGATTACTAGGTCCTCACTGTGGGAGCTGCTTCCCCTGAATCCCACGTGGCCCAGCCAAGGGAGCTGGGCTGCTGTTCAGGGCAGAAGGGAGGCGGCTCAGGGTCCACCGGGGCCTGGTGTGGGGCTGGGGTGAAGCCAGGCCCAGCTGCCCAGAGGGACACCCGTGTCCAGCAACTGGCAGACGGATCAACAGTGAGCGCGTCTGCCTCAGCCACATATGGAATTGCTGTCGGCACGCGCTCTGTGAGCCTCAGAAACATCACAGGAGCCAAAGCCAGACCACAAAGAGCACGCAGCCGTGTGACCGTGAGCGCGGCCCCAGCCACAGCAGCCGAGGGGTGCAGGGGGTGCACAGGAGCTCAGGGGTTCGGGGCGACGGGGGTGGGTGTACAGACGTAGGTATGTGTCAGCTGGAGGGGTGCAGGGGGTGCACAGGTGCTCGGGGGTTCAGGGGCGACGGGAGTGAGTGTACAGTCGTAGGTATGTGTCAGCCGGAGGGGTGCAGGGGGTGCACACAAGCTCGGGGGTTCAGGGGCGACGGGGGTGAGTGTACAGTCGTAGGTATGTGTCAGCCGGAGGGGTGCAGGGGGTGCACAGGAGCTCGGGGGTTCAGGGGCGACGGGGGTGGGTATACAGTCGTAGGTATGTGTCAAAAAGCAAACCACACACTTAAAATAGCTGCATTTACTGCAAAAATAAATAGGTGAATTTTACTGCCAGTAAATGACAGCATTGGAAACCAACAAAAAGATGTGACACGATGCTGGGACAGACGGACAGGCAAACGGACAGACGGAAGGAGATCCAAGAGCGCAATGAGAAGCCCCAGAGTTCCCACAGATGCCGCGACGGACAGAGATCCACAGAACCGAATGAGAAACCCCAGACATGGTGCAGGCTGTGGGGGCCAGGTGTGGGGTGCAGGCTGTGGGGACCAGATGTGGGGTGCAGGCTGTGGGGGCCAGGCGTGGGGTACGGGCTGGGGGGCCAGATGTGAGGTGCAGGCTGTGGGGGCCAGGCATGGGGTACGGGCTGGGGGGCCAGACGTGGGGGCCAGACATGGGATGCAGGCTGTGGGGGCCAGGCGTGGGGTGCAGGCTGTGGGGGCCAGGCGTGGGGTGCAGGCTGTGGGGGCCAGGCGTGGGGTGCAGGCTGTGGGGGCCAGGCGTGGGGTGCAGGCTGTGGGGGCCAGGCGTGGGGTGCAGGCTGTGGGGGCCAGGCGTGGGGTGCAGGCTGTGGGGGCCAGGCGTGGGGTGCAGGCTGTGGGGGCCAGGCGTGGGGTGCAGGCTGTGGGGGCCAGGCGTGGGGTGCAGGCTGTGGGGGCCAGGTGTGGGGTGCAGGCTGTGGGGGCCAGGTGTGGCGTAGGTCCTTCAGAGCAAGCTCCTGTTTCACCTCTTATCTGAAAATAATTCCAGACAGATCGCAAACATAGAAGTGAAAAACCATCAACGTATCAGAGAAGACCAGGTGTGGATTCCACCTTCTTGCTGGAATGGGAAGCCCTTCCTAGTCACGTCGCAAGGGCCTGAACCACAGAGAAGAGCAGCAGGTCCATGCCTGTAAGATGGCAAGAGCCGAGGCGGGCCTGCCACACCCACACGCGCCGGAAGGGCCCCTGCACTGGAGGAAGGTGGGCCCCTCGGAAAGGAGCAGCGGTTGGGCCCCGCACGTTCGTGTGTTAAAGGGCTGCGGTGCAGCTGGTGGGAAGGGATGCTGAGCTCCTGGCACTGACGCTACTTGGTCTGCTCACCCTGTGCGGTCCCCGGGGTCGGGGTCCTGCAGCCCAGGCTTCTGCAGGGTGAAACACCAACTCTATGTCCAGCGCCCCCAGCCACCAACCCCCAGGCAGTGACGTAGGACATCCTTCTGAGGAGGTTGTTTCTGCTCAGACCCAGCTCAACCACACAGGGGCCGGGTCGGATGGAAGCTAGGAGACCCCGGCACCCCAGAAAGGGACCCTCCCAGCCCCAGTCCAGGGCCCCGATGACCCTCTCCCTCCCCCAGCCTTGCGGCCACCACCCCTAGAATCCTGGCTTGTTACAAAGAAAGAAGGACAGGAACCTCTCACCCCTGGGAAGCCAGGGGGCCTGGAGGTTGGGGCATGTGGCTTTCTCCTCTCTGCTCGCCTCAACATCATCCCCCAGAAGTGTGGCTCCCATGGGGTCCGCCTCCACCTCCCTGCCCCGTCCAGCCACTGCCGGTGACCCAGGCTACGCAGTGACCATCCCAGCATCGGAAACAGGAAGGACTCCGAGAGAAACAGGAGGAATAGTGAAGGGGCCTGTGCAGGTGGGCAGGGAGGAGTCCAGACCAGCCTTTGGGCCTCCAGGGGGCACTGCGGCTCCCCAGAAAGGCCTCGGCACCTCCTTGGCCGTGCCCATCCCCCAGCAGTGCCAGCACCAAGTGCTCCCTTGGGCCAGGCTCCCAAATCTGGGCCCCTCACACAGCAAGGATGGGGATCCAGTGCTGCTCCATGCCAGCCATGAACCAGGCACTGAACACCCAGGCCTGCCACAGACCCCTGGGGTCTCTCCTGGGCCTGCACCATCCTCCTGGGAGGACTTCTGGACCCCTCATCTGAGGGGCTGCACTGTCTCTGGCACGCACGCGGGCCCTCTTCTTGGCTGGCGTCCCGGGTTTGAGTGGCCTCTTCGCCAGGTGGCCCACCTGTTAACTGCCCCCTCTGTGGTTGGGGCAGCAGGCCCCACCACGCCGCCAGGACTCTCCAGGGGCCAGGAAGGAGGCGGGTGCTGAGGCCTCCCAGGTGGGCAGAGGGAGGAGAAGCCAGCTTAGCCCGCAGTTTGACGGCCAACCCAAAAGGCAGACCCCAAAGCACAGCCCCCAAAGCCGGCCCTCGTCTCTAGGGTAACCACAGGTTGGAGCCCTTCTGGGGCTCTGCTGCCCTCCCCTTCACTGGGACCCAAACACTCTAGTGGGTTCCGCTCCACGTCCCAGGTTCGAACACAAGCTCCCCAGGGCCACAAGGGGGCGCCCCAGACACCAGCGAAGCCAAGAGGGCTGCAAGGAAGGGGAGGGTCTTCCGCACGGGCCGCGCGGCTGGGGCCATCCAGCACCCATTCTGGTCACGCCACAGTGGGCCCTACACTTAGCAGACGAGTTTGCTCAGGGAGGCTGAGAATGGGTGCTCCAGGGGTCCTCGGCCCTAGCAGAGGCCCCGGAGGCAGGTGGCCTCCACCTCACAGTGAGAACCTGAACACCTGGCCAGGTGCAGCCACGCCCATCCGGGAGGGCTGAGAGCAGAACAGGGGCCGGCCCTCTGGGGGCCTGGCCCAGGCTCCAACCCCTTCCTAGACCACACACAGCAGCTGCACCTTCTGGGGCTCGTTCCTCCACGCGGTCCCTCAGCTCTTTCCCTTCTAGGACAGGGCTTCTGGCAGTGGCCAGATGACCCAAATGGGGTGGCAGCCCCAGGGGCCACCAGACCCGCTTAACTTCTCGGCCATGGTCTGCAGGGACGTGACCCAGGCACGAGCAGCCGCCTCTGCCTCCTAGCCCGCGTGGGGTAGAGGATCACTCAAGCCCAGGGTACAGGTGGGAGGACTCCGGGTCCGCAGGCTCAGGGTCCCTGCGAAGAGGCAGCGGGGGCGCCCGGGCAAGCCTCAGCCCCCGCGAGGTGCACAATCCCGGCGGCGGGCGGAGGTCAGGGCGCGCTTTGTCTGCGAGGACCCGACCCGCGGAGCAGCCTCGGCCAGACACGCGGCGCAGCCTGGGCCAGCCGCGCCCCGCCCCAGACAAAGAACTCCAACTCGGGGCAGGTGAGCGCGGCGCCGGGAACCCGGGTGGCCGATTCCGCACCTGGGCGCAGACAAAGGCGCGCGCCACCCACAACGCTCGGCCCCGCCTCCACCCCCGGACCCCGGGTGCCCTGACCCGGGCCTGGGACCCTCGGCCGCGCCGCACCCCCGCCCGCCCGCCGCCACGTGCGCCCCCGGGAGGACGCGGTCTCCGCGCTTGGCTCCGGGAGAGGCGGTGTGGGCAGAAGGCCCGGAGATCTCGGGCGTCCCGCTCTTCTGGGGGGGCGGTCGCTCCCCCTCCCCTGTCCCCCCAAAGTCCCAATTCCCTCTCTGGAGTCCGCAGCGCGCACTCACCTCGCCGGCGCCCCAGGCAGTCGCCCCTAGTCCCGGGGCCGGAGCCGGGCTGCATGGACGCGGGCGTGGAGCGCGAGCCCCGGGTGGCCCTGGCCCGTCCAGGCGACCCCTCTCCCCGCGTGCCCTGCTCAGCCGGAGCTCGGGCCGGGGACGCGCATGTCCGCCGCGCCGGCTCTGCGCGCTCTGGGCGGCGCTCGGTGCGCTCTGGGCTCCCGGGCGGACGTCGGGCGCGGCGCGGGCCCCGAGGCGGCGGGCGCGGAGCTGGGCGCGCGGGAGGCGGGAGCGCGGGCGGGGCGGGGGCGGGGCGCGGGCAGACCCGACTAATCCAGCCCCGAGGCGCCGATCCACCCGCGCCCGCCGCCGGCCCGGGGTCCGAACGCGCTGCCTCCGATCACGGCCACCCGGGGAAAGGCGCGCAGCGCCGGCCTCACTGAGCGCTGTGTGGGCGCTGCTCCTCTGGTCCTCACAACAAGAAGTTACGGACACCTGCCACCCCGCTCCCAGAAGGGGAAACTGAGTCAGAAAGGGCGACAGCCGGGCGCGGTGGCCGGCGCCTGAAACAGCACTTTGGGAGGCCGAGGTGGGCGGATCACTTGAGCCCAGGAGTTCGAGACCAGCCTGGCCAACATAGGAAGACCCCCCACCCCCGCCCGTCTCTACGAAATAAAAAAATTAGCCGGAGGTGGCGGCACGCGCCTGTGGCCCCAGCTACTGGGGAGGCTGAGGTGGGAGGATCAACTGAGCCCGGGAGGTGGAGGCTGCAGTGAGCCGAGATTGCACCACTGCACTTCAGCGTAGGTGACAGAGCGAGACAAGGTCTCAAAAAAAGGAAAAAAGAGCGACCTCATTGCCACTGTGGAGAGTTGGGACCTGAAAGGAGGAGCCCTTCCCCCACCCGTCCGCTGCAAGCCCCGCCCTCCCTGGGCCTCGGTTTCTCCCTCTGTGAAACGGGGGTGCAAAGTCGGAGACAGCTCCGAGCAGCTGCTGTAGCTGCAAACGGCTGTGCAGCGCAGCCCCCAAGACCACCGCCCTGAACCCCGTGATTTTACACTTGAGGTGGCCGGGAGGGACAGGAAGCACCTGGCTCTCCCTTACGGTGGGGCGCTAGAACTCGGATCGAGGCCCAGCCACGGCTTCCTGCAAAGGCTGCTTATGTGCGCCTGACCGCACCAGACGCCTGGGCGGGACCCTTCCATCCCAGCGCCCACTCAGGTGGAAAACCAGGACACCAACTGCGAACTCAAACGCGATGAGTAAGGGAGGGAGGGCGCAGCTCTGGACCCGGCAGTCGGGAAGTGTTTAAGGACGGGTCCTCTCCAAGCTGCTGCGTGGCTGGCAGCACACAGGGAGGCCGGCTCTGGTGCGGCCAGGGACAGAGGGCTTGGGCTCCAGTTTCGGGACTGAGGTGGGAGCTGTGGCCACGTTTCTATTTCTGGGCTTGGAAGGCCTGGCCCCGGGCAGGGCCTATCCATGGCGGAGCCCGCAGCCATTCAAACCGCGGGAGCAGCTCCCACACGGGTTCGATGGAGCCCTCTGCAAGCTGGACCAGCACTTTCTGCTCCCAAAGGCGCCAACGTTCGCAGGATGCCTCCAACGGTATAGAAGGAATCACCAAGGTCGGCCTCAGCCAGGGAGTTCCAGCCCTCAGGTTCTATTTGAACTACTTACCAAATACACGTACTCCCTTTACCAACAAGTCGCCCCCAAAGCCCTGCTGTTTCCTGCCATGAAAACGGCACGCGCTTGCGTCCATGCACACACACTGTGTCCACATAGGCACTTCCGGGCGCACTGCATGCCGCAAGCCACAGGGCCCTGAAGCCTGTACTCTGAGGACTTGGATAAGCCACCACTCGTCTCACCGACGAGAAAACAGACGTGCTGCTGGCGTGGCTGCTCTGTGGCAGAGCTGGGCTGGGCTGAGCCGGCAGGCTGGCCGCAGGGCTCATGGCTCAGCAGGGACACTCCCCTGGGAAGGTGGTGGGCCACTCCTGAGATGGGGATGGGGCCGCTCCATTTGAAATGCGTGGAGCCCTCAGGGATAAGTCAGGGTTAAGGTCAGGCCCAGGGTGCTGGCCTGGGCAAAGCCAGCCAGGAGGGGCCGTGAGGACAAAGGCCGTGAAGGGGCCCTGTGACGAGGTCATTTCTGTCCATGGGGGGTCCAGATGGTGAGGCCCACAGAGAGGGAACGGGCGGGGGGAGGGGAGGAGAGAAGACAGACTCAGGCAGAACCCTAGCTCAGCCCCTTCCTGCGTGCCTGGCCCTGGGAGGATGCCATCCCCAGTCCCCTCTTCCAGGCCCTGCTCTGGGGACTCGGCACAGATGGATCCAGTGCATCCTCAGCCCCCTGAGAAGCTGTGCTGCCATCAGCTCCTTCTCTGGGTACAGGGCACGGGAAGCGGCTGCCCAGCAGGCCTCGGTCCCGCCAAGCTGTGCCCACTCTCCCTGCTGACTGGAGACCCCAGGGGGCTGGGGAGTTGGGGGAGCAGGAAGAAGGAATTGAGGGGCAGCAACTGGCCAGCTCCAATTGGGCTACGGCCAGTCTCAATGTGGCCGGCTCCTCTCTTGGGACCTCACCACTGGAATCACAGGAGAAGCCATCTTCCTGCCACAAACGAGGCTTCCAACCCCACTTTCTAACCTCAGTCCTGAGGCCGCCTTCAGCACTGACCATCCTGGAACAGGCAGAGATCCTGGCCTGGGTCAACGGGGCCGAAAACCCAGCCCCGAGCCCCGAGCCCCGCCCCACAGCCCTGCGCCCCAGTTTGGGGGTGAAACTAGACTCAGAACCAGGGGCAGGTCTGTGTTTTGTTTAGAAAGGAGAGTAGCTCTGATATGAAAGATGTAGTGAGGTTAGAAGTCTAGAAGGAAGCGGAGTGGGAATAGATTATCCGGGGGAAGAAAGGCATTCACCGGAGAGCAGGCTGATATTAAGTATCAGGCTTCCAGGCCAAATATACATAATCCAGTTAGGGACTTGACGGTGGTGTTCAGAGGCACATTTATCCAGAGCTTACGGTTCAGAAACCAACACTGTAACTGCGTCTGCCATCGTTACGCAGCGGGTGGCCAGGGGGTGCCATCATGGGAAGGCATGGGAAGGTGCTGGAGGCCCCAACCATTAACCAGGAGTGCAGAGCACACAGGGTCCTCTCAGCCATGCTGCCCCAGCCACCCCAGGACACCGGATCGCCCTGGAAACCACCCTGGGGGGCACCCAACCTCCATTCGGCCATGGTTAGCCGAGCGCTGGGGCCAGGAGACCACAAGACTGCTTCCTCAAGGCTGCCACTCCGCGGGGCACGTGTCCTTGAATTGGGCCGTGTCCTCTCACGCCTGGAGAGGAACCTCCCACGGGACGGGGGTTTGGGGGGCAGCACAAGGGCCTGAAGAAGAGCGTCCCACAGGACAGGGGTGGGTGGAGGGGGGTGCAGCACGAAGGCCTGGAGAGGAGCGTCCCACAGGACAGGGGTTGGGGTGCAGCACGAAGGCCTGAAGAAGAGCGTCCCACAGGACAGGGGTTGGAGGCAGCATGAAGGCCTGGAGAGGAGCGTCCCACAGGACAGGGGTTGGAGGCAGCATGAAGGCCTGGAGAGGAGCGTCCCACAGGAGGGGGGTGGGTGGCGGGGGCAGCAGGAAGGCCTGGAGAGGAGCGTCCCACAGGACAGGGGTGGGTGGAGGGGGGTGCAGCACGAAGGCCTGGAGAGGAGCGTCCCACAGGACAGGGGTTGGGGTGCAGCACGAAGGCCTGGAGAGGAGCGTCCCACAGGACGAACACTCAGACGCACCCAGCAGGCTTGGGCCTTGAGTCGTGGCGTGGGGGGTAGGGCCTGCGCCTGCTGTTGCCCGGCCTGTGTAGGCCACAGCCACGCTGGCAGTGTGGCTTTGCCATGGAACGACTCTGAGGTTCTGTCTGTCGCAGAGGTGTGCACTCTCTGAGCAAGGCTGTGGTGCATAGGTGAGGGGTAGGCCAGACCCCCAAGGCCTGAGGGCAGCATCAGGGGGAGCCCGGAGAAGCGTGTGTTCACCATCTCCACCCGGAATGTCGGGAGAAAAGCAAAAGCCAGAACCACCTATAGGGATGTTCAGATGCTGCTCAGCATCCCTGGAGGCTGCCGGCCTGGAAATGCAAATCCTAGCGAATTTCAGCTCCCAGGGAAAGTGCAGAAGGCACCGGAACTTCGCGGAAACACAGAAACCCAGGGAAAGCCTCTGAGAAGAGAGGACCCCAGGGGCTGGGGGAAGAGCCCAGGGATGCTGTGCCCGAGGCCCTGGATGGCAGCGCCTCCTGGAACCCCGAGGCCACAACCGGCCCTGAAGGCTGGTACACAGGCACGAGTGCCTGCGGGGAGAAAGGTGGGGCCGCCTGCAGGCCCCAAGCCCACACCCATCCTGACCCTCAGATGGGGCCCTCCCAGGTTATCCAGGTGGACCTAAATCCGAGGACTGGCGTCATTTTGAGGAGAAGAGACACAAAGACACACACACAGGAGGGGCCATGTGAGGACGGACAGGGGCAGAGATAGGAGCAATGCAACCACCAGCCAGGGATGCCGGAGTCAGCAGGAGTGGGAAGAGGCAGGAAGGATCCTCCTCTGGGGCCTCTGGAGGGAGCATGAACCCAACACCATGATGCCAGACTTGTGGGTGTGGCCCCCACGCTCACGCTCGGGTGAGGCGGCTACCGTGGCCCCCACGCTCACGCTCGGGTGGGGCGGCTACCGTGGAGGCCACGCTCACGCTCGGGTGGGGCGGCTACCGTGGAGGCCACGCTCACGCTCCGGTGGCGCAGCTACCGTGGAGGCCATGCTCACGCTCGGGTGGGGCGGCTACCGTGGAGGCCACGCTCACGCTCGGGTGGGGCGGCTACCGTGGAGGCCACGCTCACGCTCGGGTGGGGCGGCTACCGTGGAGGCCACGGGACACCAGGGCCCCATGCTGCCTGCCAGAGAAAGCCGTGACCCCCCTCCAGAGATACACCACAGCTACACTCCCACCCGAGGGAGAGCTGTGCCCAGCACAGGTTTAACGTTCGTGAAATATTAAATCACAGGAAACACGTACCTCCCCCAAATGCATTGAATTCAGCCATCCCCACAGCCGTCCTTGGCAGGCGCTACTCCATTTTACAGGCAAGGAAACCAGGGCTCAGAAGGTCGTCTGCGGTGGAGGTCGCCCCCAGCAGGGGGCAGGATGGCGCCAAAGGCCACACAAGCTTGTCTTCAGAATGTCTGGTTTCCGATTTCGAGATATAGTTCCAACCGCACATTTTTTTTGTTTTTTGGAGACAGAGTCTCACTTTGTCGCCCAGGCTGGAGTGCAATGGCGCGATCTCAGCTCACTGCAGCCTCCACCTCCGGGGTTCAGGTGACCATCCCTCCTCAGCCTCTTGAGTAGCTGGGATTATAGGCGCACACCACCACAGCCAGCTAATTTTGTATTTTTTGTAGAGACGGGGTTTTGCCACGTTGGCCAGGCTGGTCTTGAACTCCTGACCTCAGGTGATCCACCCGCTTGGCCTCCTAAAGTGCTGGGATTAAAGGCGCCTGCCACCACGCCCAGCTAATTTTTATATTTTTAGTAGAGACGGGGTTTTGCTGTGTTGGCCAGGCTGGTCTTGAACTCCTGACCTCAAGTGATCTGCCCGCCTCAGCCTCCCAAAGTGCTGGGATTACAGGCATGAGTCACCGCAACTGGCCCAATTGCACATTTTAGAAAAGCATTAAGATGCATATTTAACATCAATTAAGTTACATTTATTTAAACATACTCATCAAAACCCACCTCATGAAACATCCTTTCTGTGACACCCTGTTCTGTTCCAAATCCACTCTGGGCTGCTGTTTTCAGACCCCAGTTTCTGCCGGTGCCCTGCAGTGACGCCCCCAGCTGGGCCTCCTGAGGGTGCAGGTTGCCCTCGAGGCTTCCGAGGCAGGGGCGGCACCTCCTCCAAGTGCCGGGGGTGAGGGCCTGAATGGGGGGCCCTTGTTGCTGCTCCCTGCCACTGCCCAGAGTCCTCCGGTAACTGCTGACCCCTCCCAAGGCGGTGAGGCCCTTACCGACGCTTGAGGGTCTGACGCCCGCTGCAGTGTTCGTGGGACCCCCGAGGTGCCCCGTGGCGACCGATGGCTCTGAGCCCCTTCTCTGGACTTCTGGGCTTCCAGTGCATCCTAAATCTTCCTTTGCTGTGACGGGGACATCACGGGGCCCTCAGGACGATCCAGGCTCTGTTCTTGGAGCCCTGTGAGCGAGGCTAGGCCCGTGGAGCGGAGCAGCTGCCCAGGTACAGCCAAGTGGGGCCTCTGAGGCTGGGAAAGGCAGGACACCAATTCCCCTGAGGTCGGTACCTTGACTTCAGCCTGGTGAGACCCATCCTGGACCTCCAGCTCCACTGCTGCCATCAGCTCGTGCCGTTTTGAGTGACTGTGTTTACGGCGACTTGTTACAGCAGCTGTGGGACGCTGAGACCCCCCTCGCACTCCCATTGCCCCGAGTCTCTGATGCCACTGCCTCAGCCAGGCCCCGCTTCTGCTGGGACCAGTGCAGAGAAGCCTCACTGGCTATTGGGCCTTTGATCTGAGGACCCGGGCGCTTGCTCCGTGGTGGTCATGATCTCGGTCCTCAAAGGGACCGACACGTCTGCACCTTGTGCCGGTGCCCTCGGCCCCTCCGCCTGGCTCCAGTGAAGCATGAGTGCCAGCTCAGGGTGGGGTGCTGTCCCTTCCTGTCCCCAGCAGGCCCCCACCAAACGCCGAGTTCTACCACGTGGGACCCAGGCAAGCAGGGCCCCGCAGCCTGCCACACAAGGAGCGAGATGGCCTGTCTCGGGGACCCAACCACCCAAGGCCCCCACGTGCCACTGAGCCAGCCCTCTCAAGGCCCTTCTGGGCTCAGCAGTCCCAGGTCAAAGTGCAGGCTCAGGAAGGAGGGTGGCGGCTTCGGAACCCCACACACCCTGTGAGGTCACCCCACGGTCACCCGGTGTGGGCAGGGTCTGTGTCCAGCAAAGGGAGTCCTGGCCCACGTTCCCCAGAGACGGTGGCACCTGGGACGCCGCTCCCTGCACTTTTGTCCCTAGGGAAGAATGGATGGGCCTCCAAAGCCCCCAGGAAGATGCTCCCAGAAGTGGGCTGGGGTGGGTGGGGGGTGTGAGTCACACACAGAGGAAGGCCTCCGTGAGCCACAGACACGCAGCAACCCTTCCTCAGAAGGTGCCTGGCCTGCCGGCGGCCAGATACAACAAAGGCGCAGCCTGGGCCGCTGGCTGGACAGAACAAAGGCGCGGCCCGCACACTGGACTGCTGTTGAAATTTCCCAGGACCCCACGGAGGCCCAGCAACTGCGGGGTGAGCGCCCACGGCAGGGGCCTCCAGCCTGTCCAGCCGTCCATCCGTCCTTCTGTCTGTCCTGCGGGGTGAGTGTCCACGGCAGGGGCCTCCAGCCTGTCCAGCCGTCCATCCGTCCTTCTGTCTGTCCTGCGGGGTGAGTGTCCACGGCAGGGGCCTCCGGCCCGTCCAGCCGTCCATCCGTCCTTCTGTCTGTCGCACGGGGTGAGTGCCCCATGGAAGGGGCCTCCAGCCTGTCCAGCCGTCCATCCGTCCTTCTGTCTGTCCCGCGGGGTGAGTGCCCATGGCAGGGGCCTCCAGCCTGTCCAGCTGTCCATCCATCCTTTGTCTGTCCCGTGGGGTGAGTGCCCCATAGCAGGGGCCTCCAGCCTGTCCAGCCATCCATCCGCCCTTCTGTCCATCCTGCGGGGTGAGTGCCCCAAGGCAGGGGCCTCCAGCCTGTCCAACCGTCCATCCATCCTTCTGTCTGTCCCACGGGGTGAGTGCCCATGGCAGGGGCCTCCAGCCTGTCCAGCCGTCCGTCCGTCCCTCTGGCTGTCGTGCTGGTAGTGCCTGAACTCACAGTTCCCAAGAACAAGAACCTACGAACTTCAGTGACGAAAAGGCAGAGGTTCAGAGAGGACCCAGTCGGGCACAGCGCCCCACTGGAAGAAGGGTCTGCTGGGGAGGGGCTGGGTGTGGAGGACTGGCTGGCCTCCAGCTCTCTGGGGACCGTGCTTGGGGCAGTGGGCAGTTCTCTCCTCTGCCCAGGCCCCACTGTGGCCCCATTTTGCAGACAGAACATGGAGGCTGTGGATGGTGGGCTGCCTGCGGGGTCGGCCCCACGCCATGTCTGACCTCATGCCACTGTCCCCCAGCCCTGCCCCTTCCAGGCCGGTGCTCTTGGCTGAGGCCCGGCACTGGGGGTGCTTCCTGATGGGCTTCCACAGACGGGCCAGACAGCCATCCCTGGAGGTGGCCGTGGCAGCCCCCGGCAGCAGGAGGAGCGAGGCCACCACCACCTGGCGGCTGCCTATGGAGTCCCATATCGCTCTTCACCCCACACTTTTCCAAGGAAAAAGTGGTTAGACACAAACCGAAGACTTGCGAAGGGGCCATCTGGCAGTGCCCGAGCCTCCCGTCAGCTGCCAAGGAGCCTCCTGCCAAGGGCCAGGGGAGGGGGCGGCTGGGCGGGCACAGTGTGAGGGAGGTGGTGGAGAGGTGTCTCGGTCAGTCTGTTCACGTGGAGGAGGGCTGTCCCAAAGTCTCCACCTTGATTGGCAGGAGAGCCCAGGGTGAGTCCCCAAGGGGTGGCTGGCCAGGTGGGAGCTGGCACCCCAAACCAAGCTCAAACCCGCAGGTGTGGGATGAGATGTGAAGTGCACTGGCCTGAGACATGCGCCCGCGCCCTCCCCACCACTCCGTCCAGAAGGCTTCCTCGGGGTGCACTGCCACCTGCCCCGGCATCCGCTTCTGCGGGCAGGGCTGTTCCCTGCACGGCTGCTGGGTCAGCGCCCACAGACCCCACGCAGGACGCTGTCTGTGGCTTCTCCATCTTCTGCCCACCGGGAGCAGCCAGGCCATGTGAGCAATGGGCCTCCCAGGTCTGAGTGAGGTCTCTGAGGGTCCCTGTAAATGTGGGCACTCGGGGACCTTCCTTCCATATCCAGTTCACAGACGGGTTCCACACAAGCCCGGGGCTGCTGAGGGGCTCTGGGCACTGCTGATGCGAAGCACCCCCATGTTCCTGTCTCAGAGCCGGGAATTCTGCCATCTGGAGCCTGCAGGGCTCTGTCCCTCCTGCCTGCTCCCTGGCAGGGGTGCCGGCCTCGCACAGCAGTGCCCAGGGACAGAGATCTGGGTGCCTCTGCTCCCAGCGGGTAGGGAGGAGGGCTGGGGACGGCCAGTGGGGTGCTGGCTGACTTCCCACACCTGCCTACGCCTCTGTGTGCGTCTGGATGGGCTCCACGCACACCCTCCGCCCAGCGTAAGTTCCTGACCCCCTGAACCCAGCGCCGGGCAGAGAAGACCAGGAGGGACCTGAGGCCTCCTGCCCTCCCAACTCTCCCAAACTCAGGAAGCTAATTTCTGAGCAT
The DNA here is from genome assembly GCF_000001405.40 of Homo sapiens. Lineage (NCBI taxonomy): Eukaryota > Metazoa > Chordata > Mammalia > Primates > Hominidae > Homo > Homo sapiens. The sequence continues at coordinate 132,550,809 of NC_000012.12, read as the reverse complement.
CAGGGGCTGGATGCCATGGGGAAACGGAGACGTCTGGACGGGGGAGTCCTACGGTGCAGCATCCCATGCACTCGGAGGGAAACGGAAACTCCTGCTGCCGGCTCTGGGCTCCTCTCTCTCGCTCCGCTGCAGCCCAGGATGCACTGCCGGCTCCCAGAACGCACCAGGGTCGTCCCCACCTCTGGCTTAGCTGTCTTGAGTCAGCCTGGGACACACCCCTCAGAGCATGCCCCAAGGTCACACAGACGGACAGGCTGACGGGCCAACAAGGAGAGGCCCCTGCAGTTTTCCTGGCCCACCCTGCTGCTCTCCCCGAGCAGCCTCCGGGAGCTGCCCCCCAACAGAAGCAAACGGGGCCACAGGCAGGTCCCACCCACTCTGCCAGCACCGTGCCCCCGCTTTGTGCGCCGGCGCTCAGACCTTGCCGCAGCCAGAAGGAGCCACCATCACGGGGACTCAGTGTTTGGCGGAGCTGCCTTCTCCGTCCCCGCCCCGCCAGGCCTCTCTGCTCTCCCCAGAGTGGGCGTGACCCGAAGTTCTGCCCTGGAGAAAGGCTGGCAGCCCCTCTCCGCTCCCCTGCCGTCCTCCGCAGCCCCTCTCCCTCCCCTGCTGTCCTCCTCAGGACCTGTGGCCACCACAGCCCTAGAAGCCCCAACACGGCCCCAACGGCACGGAATGCCAAACTCGCCCTGCCGGGACCCTCTGTGTGCAGGAATGCCAAACTCTCCCTGCCGGGACCCTCCGTGTGCAGGAATGCCAAACTCGCCCTGCCGGGACCCTCCGTGTGCAGAGCCCTGGACTGGACTCAGCCTCCCCGACACCGCCCAGAGCTGGTCATCTCCCCTGGGGCTGCTTGGGCGTCTCAGAAATAAACGCCCCAGTGTGCAGACTCCACCTGACCCCATTCTAGAACCCTCTTTCAGCCTGTGCTCTCCCATGGACCCCTCGGCCTCCAGCCCAGGCCCGGGCAGGGGCCGCATCTCTGCAGGCACAGCCTGCACAGACATCGTTTGGGTCTCGGAGGCTGGCGTTACCCTTGGTTGCTGGACATGGGGGGCGTGCAGTTATGGGGGCGGCTGTCAGCCTTCCCCGCCGGCATCGCCGACTCCACGTGGACCTGGCCTCCGGGGCCACAGGTGGCTTTGCCTCATCTCGGTAAGGCAGGCGGGGAGGGGAGAGGGAGCCCCCAGTAGGCCCCAGGCTCCCGAAATCCCCTCCTTCCTGCCTCTCTCAGAGCAACCCTTGGTTGTGGAGGGTGTCTTCCCCAAAAACTGCTTTTAAATGAAAGGAGGTGGGGAGGGGGTGAGTGGCTATTTCCTGGGTGCCCGTGACCTCATTTCATTCCTGAGATCAGGACAAGGTTACTCATCTGAAATGTTAGGCCCGTCACGGTTCGGGCGCGGAAGCTGTGGGCAGGGGCTGAGGGCCACGCGGAGCCACGCGGGGTCCCGGGTGAGGCCACTCCTATGGGCTTTGTGACCACCAGGACGCGTCCCCAACAGTGTCCATCTGCGGACGGGCGAGGAGAGGTGTGTTGGGCAGGGACATCGTGGCTGGAAGCAGCCCAGGATGCTGGAGCCCCAGACACGGCTGAGCCCGGCACTGCGGCCCACACGGCGCCTGCCCCAGACCCCAGGCCGCGGCGACGGTGCGGCCTCTGGCTTCCACGGCGACTTACCTTGACTTCTTGGTACGTCGAAAACTGAACCGCCCAGACCCTCCTCCCCCGGCCACCGCCACTGACTCCAATATCTGGACCCCCACCGGGCCCTCAGCTGTGAGACCCCACAGCCCAGACAGCTCCTGCCAGGCCACGGGCCACAGTGGGCGTCCCCTAACCCCTGTGCAGACCCCTCATGGAACTGTTCCATTCATAAAAACCTGCCTGGAAACCCAGGGCAGCGTCTCCCTGGCTCAGGGCGAGAATCGTCGCACACATGCAGTCCGCCTCGGGCCTCTGCAGGGCCGTCCCTGAGGCCGGGGTGACCATTCCCCTGGCACATCTGGCAGGGCCCTCACCCCCGTCCAGGTGCCCCCGGGTAGCCCTTGGCAGTCACAGGGAGACAGTGAGGTGCAGTGGTTACGGGCCGGGACCTCACGCCACCTGCCTGGCCTCCTCGCCCTCCGGGGCCTGATGCTCCTCGGCCACAGCAGGTGACGGTTCCTCCCCGCAGGGCTCTGGGGCAAGCGGGGCAGAAGGAGAGCCCCCCCGGAGGCTGCTCCGAGGCTGAGGGGACGTGGCTCAGGGGCTGCCCGGGGGGTTCACTCCTGGCTGAGGCTGCAGGAATCCTGCTTGCTCCTGAGCACTGAGGGTGACTGTGATGTGGTCATAGGCTGCGCATCTACCTCCTGGTTCTGGGGTCCACCGGGTTTAGGGTGGGGGCTGGGCTCTGCCCCTGCTCCCTCAGGACTGATGGGGCCAGTCCTGGGGCACAGGCCCAGCTGCCCTCTGCTGCCCAGGAGCTGGAGCTGATGTGCTCGACCCCATGGCAGCCCTGCCCAGGGCACCCTCCTGGCTGGGGCAGCACTGATGCCCACCTGGGCCTGTGTCCCTCCAGACACGGTACCGGCCCCAGCCCTGGACAGGCTCTTCCACAGCCAGGAGAGGCCAGCACCCCCATACCTGGGAGGCCACAAGCCCCCTGCACCCACCGGGCGGGGGGATCCCCCCAAGGCCCGATCTTCTGCCTGGTCTCCAGGGCCCACCTCACAGGGCCAAGGTCAGCAGGGAAGGGCAGGGCTGTCAGCCGAGCCCAGGAGGAGGACGCTGGGCTTACCTTGTCGTCCGGGCCGCTCTCGCTGTCACACTGCAGGGACAGAGAGACAGAAGTGAGTCGGGGCCCCACCAACCAGTGTCACCCCCCGGGGCACGGCAGCAGCCAGGCTGCAGGGGCACGGGTGGGGCGGCCCTGGCTGCTGCCAGGAGAGGGAGGTACCAGCAGGCCCAGGTGGTCGGGGCGGTTAGGAGGAACCTGGGCCAGGGCCCAGTGCTGCACCAGACAGACCTGGATCACAGCCCCCCGGGTGGGATGGACAAAGGGGCACAGCCAGGCCGACTAGCCAGCGATGGGGACAAGACTGGCCCTGCAGCCCGAGAGGAGCCCTCACTGGCCAGACCCTCAGAGCAGGGCGGCCATGAAGACCCCCATCCTGGGCCAGCCAGAGCCTTCCTCACACCAGGAAGGAGGGCAGCCTCCGGCCCAGGACAGCCCCACTGTCCCCAGTGACCCCCTGAGGGGATCGATGGCACCACATGGGCTGGGAGATCCAGGCACCCCAGCTCCTGATGGTGGGCAGAGCCTGGGAGCCCCTGGGGTCAGGACAGCCGGGGGCAGAGGAGGGGCTGGCAGCGCACGGAGGGCCACGGCCGCTCAGGGTTAGACACTCGATGCCAGCGCCATTTGTCAGCTTGGCTGGTTAGGGTGGGGGTGTGATAATCCCGAAAACAAATCCGTTCTCCGTTTTCAGTAGGCAGAGCCCTACAAAGAACACACTGACTGTCCGTTCTCCGTTTTCAGTAAGCAGAGCCCTACGAAGAACACACTGACTGTCCGTTCTCCGTTTTCAGTAAGCAGAGCCCTACGAAGAACACACTGACTGTCCGTTCTCCGTTTTCAGTAAGCAGAGCCCTACGAAGAACACACTGACTGTCCGTTCTCCGTTTTCAGTAAGCAGAGCTCTACGAAGAACACACTGACTGCAATGTCCCCCGAAACAGTCAAAAGGGGAAAAATCCCCTCCTGGCAACTGCAATTATGAGGCATTCACGTCGAATGAATGACCTGGTGGAAGAATAAACCCCCCAGTGCACGGAGGGTGGTGAGTGCCAGCCGGATGTGTGGGCGGCGCCCTCCTATGTGGAGCCCACTGGGTTAATGCAGGGAACCAAACGCACAGCCACCCTCCATGTGCAGCCGCGGCTGCCGAGTGTTCAGCGACGGAGCTCACAGTACGGTGTGAAATGCGCTTTAGCAGACACTCTGCAGCGAGAACGTGCTGCTCCCAGCGCATGACGAGTCACACTCCAGGTGGCTCCTACAAGTGGGACCCCAGCTGGGACCCCTGGGGAAGCTGGGCAGCTGGGGTGGGCCTGTGGGGGGGGTCTCCTGAGGCTGACAGGCTCCCCCAGGCTGTCTGTCCCGGCTGTGTGCTGGTCCCCCCTGGTCTGGCCTTTCAGCCGTGGCCAAGCCCTCTCCTAGGGTCCCCCCCGGTCTGGCCTTTCAGCCGTGGCCAAGCCCTCTCCTAGGGTCCCCCCGGTCTGGCCTTTCAGCCGTGGCCAAGCCCTCTCCTAGGGTCCCCCCGGTCTGGCCTTTCAGCCGTGGCCAAGCCCTCTCCTAGGGTTCCCCCGGTCTGGCCTTCAGGGTGAGAGGTAGAGAAGGGCCTCAGTCCCACCTGCACCCGCCCAGCCCGGCCCACCACACAAGAACTGAGGGCTCCAAGTCAGAACCGGGCCCATCCCGCCCCGGAGGCTGCAGGTGCGGAGCTCACCAAGGGCTGGGCCACAGGACCCCGACATGCAGACCAGCTTTGCTGGTGGCCCTGGGCCTCTGAGTCCTCCATCTCCCCTGCTGTGATATGGGCGGGCCTTGGTGTTTGGTGAGGAAAGTATGAAATGGAACTGCCCAGGCTCAGCCAGGAGCAAAGGAAGCAAAGACCAGGACGTGGGGCAGGGGAAAGCCACAAGCTCCTGCGGGGAGCGCAGGGGAGGGGAGGAACATGCCAGAACACGCCAGGGCTGAGGGGACCGGAAGAGGGCAAAGCAGGAGCCGAGACTGTGCCAAGGATGCCCTCTGCACATGGGGAGCCTGGGGAGGGCCGAGAGGGAGTGCGCCCTGGAGGTGGGACAGGAGGCAGCCCCACCAGCATCCAGAGGCCTGCAGGGGAGTCAGGTGCCCTTCTAGCCTCACAGTGGGATTTCTGGGGACCCCCAGTGAGGCCTCTCCCTGCTGAATTTGCGCTGCAGAGCCTTTGACTTGGAAACTGCAATCCCACCAGACTGTCAGGGTTCTGGCCAATCAGGCCTCGAGAGCAGCCTGACACTTGGGGCCACATGGGTGCACCCGTGGCCTGGGGGCCACCTGCCCAGTCCAGCCTCTGCTCTTATCCCCGCACCCAGATCCCTGCTTGAGCCTGGGTTGGCCCCGAGACCCATGGGCCAGAGCCAGCAGCTCCCACAAGCCCGGACCTGGTTACGGATCTCCCCGTGGGTTTCAGGTCTGTGGCTGGACCCAGCCAGGCTGACCACACAGGCGAGGGTTTAATGCATCCAACAGCAAGGAGACACTGAGGGGTGCTTTCCAGCAAGCGCACCAGAGGACGCTGCATGGATCCTCTCATTAACCAAATAGCACGGCACTGTCAGCCAGGCGCAGGCAGGGGCGTGAATGAATTCGTGTTATTAAGTCCTACTGAATTAATGTTTAACTGCAGTGGAGTCGGCATTGAATGAGGCAATTAATCAGGGCGAGGAGAAAAGGAGAGACACATCCACCTCTCGGAAGCTGCCCGAGTGAGGCGACCATTCACGGCGCCGGGGCTGGGCTCGGGGGCTCAGGGAACGTCACCCTGGTGTGGGTTTGTGATAGGCAGGAATGCCTGGGAGCAGAGGACAGACCCCAGGCCCCGAAGGGACATGCTGGGCATGGTCAGGAGGCCAAGACTCAGGCTCCAAAGAAGACGCCCGCTCTGTGCCGCACTGCCCCACACTGGGCGAGGCCCTGAGCTCCGTGCCGCACGGCCCCATGCTGGGCGAGGCCCTGAGCTCTCTGTGTCTCAGTTTGTGCTTCTGTAAATAGGAACAATTTACAGGGTTGTCCCTTACAGCTCATAGGATTACTGTGTGGCTTAAATAAGTGAATATGTGCAAAGCACTAAGGCAGTGCTTGATATATAGTCAGTACATTATACACATGACAGTATCATCACTACCATCACCATCCTCATCACCATCACCCTCATCACCGTCACCATCATCCTCACCACCATTTTCACCATCATCCTCGCCATTGCCACCATCACCATCATCCTCACCATCGCCATCACCGCCATAATCACTATCACCATTGTCACAACCATCACCATCACCATCGTCACCATCCTCACACCACCACCACCAACACCATCCTCATTACCACCACCATGATCATCAGTATCGCCGTCCTCACGTCACCATCCTCAACAGCACTACCATCAGTTATCTTCACCACCATCACTGTCGTTACCATCAGGTCATCGTCCTCACCCTCATCCTCACCACCATCATCACCATCATTGTCTGCCCACAAAGCCAAGAACGAGAAGATGCCATTTACCCTGGCGTAGGTGAAGTCCTGGTCTGGGAGTTTTAGAGTCTCTTAGCCCTGGCAGTGCTCACGCTTGTCTATGACCCTGATGGCCAAGGCTGGAAAGGTGAGCCTTCCTGTAGCCACGAGGAGACCCCGATATCAAGTCTCTCCTTCTCTGCTTGTCCTGAGCTCCAATGGCAGCCAGGAGGCAGCAGCTCCCTGTACCATGGTCTGCCAGCCTACAAGGCCCCTCTGAGTCTGTCGGACCTCACCATCCAATAATGGCCCTCGTGACCACTTCTCAGTACTTGTTGTCTCCACCCACGCCCTCAGTCAGTCTGGTTTTAAGCCGCACCGAGGCTCGGGGCCCCTAGACCACTTAAACCCGGGTGCCTGGGGTGGGGAGTAGCAGCCGGGTGATTCCGGTGATTGGCCGTGGGGGCAGGCTCTGCCCCTGAACCACTGGGCTCTGTTCCTTCCTCCTGCCCAGGGCCCCGGCCCTCACGCCTAAGGTGTGGGGTGGCCAGAGGGAGGCACCCGACAGGGGTTCCAGACCACTCAGCGGCACGAGTCAGAGGCCAGGCGTGAGTCAGGGCTCCCCACCCCAAGCCCGCAGCTCAGCTCCCCCAGGCCCTGGGAAGCTCTATCTGCCCCACCTCCATCCCGGGCTGGGTGTGAGAGCCGCAGTGGGGCTCGGAAGCACAGGCACCGGTTTCGTCCTCCGTGAGAGTGGCTTCCCCAACCACCCCAGGGGCCACTGCGTGTCACTGTTTTCACAGATGTGGCTATGCGGTGGGGATGCTTAGCACCTCCAGGCTCCATTAGCGGCCTTCCCAGACCCTCACCCGTGGGTGGACAACGGCCTTGAGACATGGCTTTTAGAGCCACAAGCTGGGTAGGGGGGCACATGGGCTTGGTCTGGCCTGATTTATTTTTTTAAAATTGGCTGCCAACATTTGAGCACCTGGAGACTTCTCATGAGCACCGATGGCTGCTTCCTGCTGAGAACAGGAAACTGCATCCCCACCTGACAGCTCCCTGTGGGTTCCCAACACCTCCCCCAGCTTCTGGGCCCCAGCCCTGGGGTGTCGAATGCTGGGCACAGCCCAGAGTTAACGTGCACCCTGGAACTCAGTCTGGGGGCGGGTCCTGGCCCCACTGCTTCACGGAGCCCGGCGTGGGCAGGTCCTGGCCCCACTGCTTCGTGGACACTGGACACCGTGGCAAAGGTCTCTTCGTTTCTCCGAGCCTGTTTCCTCATCTGCAGAGACAGTGGCACCTTCATGGGGCTTCTGAGTCGGAGGAGGCAACGTGCGTGGCAGGCTCAGGACAGCAGCCGCTGGCGGCCAGGCTTCATAAATGGGAGCTGCCATCAGTGTCATCTTCACTGTCACTGTCACCACCACTGCCACCAACCCCTCCCCCTTCCCTCATCCCTCAGAGGCATCTGAGCCCACCCCACAGCCAGGCAGTGCACCCTTGCTACCCGAAGAGCCTGGAGGGGGCTTGGCCCCCATCACCCAGGCCTCCCTGCACCCCTTCCAGACCCTGGGCGGCTACGGGTTGGGGTTGGGGCTGCCTGTCAGCCCCACACATGGGGAGACACAAATCAGCAGCACGGCTATTAAGCAGCAAAGAACACATGCCTCCCCTTCCCAGTGCAAGTGTTAATTATGGCTTCGGTGTGCTCAGGGGCCGCCTGATCCCACTGCTCAAACAAAGGCATGAAAAATTCATAAGCAGGGACCCTGCGCTGAGGTTGCTGCTCCCAGGGGTCCCTCAGTGTCTGGCCCCGACCAGGCAGGGTGGGGAGGAGATAGGAGACAGAGGGGCCAAGGGGCTGTCCTGCGGAGGGTCTAGGCCCAGCATTGGGGAAGGGTGCTGGAAACACTGCCAGCCTCTGCTTCCACCTCCCCAGCTTCCCATCCAGGAGAGCTGTCTGGGCCCAGTGGGTGGGAGAGGGGCTGAGGCAGGGCCAGTGAGGGCCGGGTTTCTGCTCTGAGGCACTGCATGAAGGTTCCTGAGCAGAACTACCTGGGGCAGGGGGCCCTGACCCCTCCTCACCAGCAGAAAAAACACCCCAACAACACGGGCGCCTGCACCAACCCGAGGTACCTCTAACAGTGGCAAGGTGTGGGCAGGATGGAGTGGAAAGGCCCAGCCTGAGTGTCGGGTGAGAGGCCGAGCTGCTGGGAACACCGGTGCGGAAGCCCCACCCTGGCTGAGCATGTGTGGCCTGAGTGTGCACATGTGTCCTCCGTGGGGCCCTGTTGAGCCTCGCGTGCCCACCCAGGTGCCCGGGGATACGAGGAGCATCTGCCGTGTGCACATGTGCCGTGGCGCGTCCTGCGTGTGCCAGTTCCTGGCCCCTCCCTGTGCCATCTGGTCATCCTGCCCTTGGTGGCTTCTGCCCTCAGTGTCCTGCCACGTGTCCCAATGTCTGTACGTGGCATGTGGGTGCCTCAGGACCTGCCACAGAGCCACGTGCCGCCGAGTGGGGAAAAGGACCACCTGCGCCACCTGTGCTGGGCCCTCGTGGGGCAGACGGCAGCTTGGCTGCTTCACCTATTCTGTCTGAACCTGCAGCCCAGAAACTCCAGCAACCCGGATGGTTCGGGGTGGTGGGGGGAGCAGCTCTGGAAGGGATGGGGCAGAAGCATGAGTGGCTGTGGGCCCCGTGCCCTGCCCTGTGGGACCCCATCTTCCCAGATGGCAGTGCCAAGGGGCCCACCTTCATTTGGGCCGCACGCTCGGGCGGGATATGCAATGCATTCCAATCAAGCGATTCGGCTGAAATAAGGGACAGGGGCTGGCGTGGCACCGGCAGCCCCCAGGGCTGAGAGCAGCTGGGGAGATTTCGAGTTGAGCTTCACACTGTGTGAAATGTCTCACGATTGGAAAGGTCACTCTCAGCCCCTTTCGGCCGCCTCAGTCCTGTGAATCCGCACCCCTCCACCATGTGGGCTTAGCCCAGGCTCCACTTCCCTTCCCCTGCATGGGCAGAACTGGGCTGCCTGGGGGGGCACCGCCAGGTGGGAGCCACTTGTGCACTCACCCCACGCAGCTGGGCAGCTGTCCCCGGGGTGGGGGGGTGCATGACCTCTGGCGGGGCTGCTGGCCCCTCGTGGGCAGGGGGTTACGGGTGTGGGTGCTGGAGCTGCAGGGCCCAAATCTGGCACTTGAGGGTGAGGCACCTTTGGCCATCCACGGTACTGGCATAGAATGGATGGGTGGGGCCCACTGAGTGGATTTGCACCTGACGTGCCTCAGGGTAGGGGTGTGGTGTGGGGCTGTGCCCCCCAGGCTGACAGTGGATTTGCACCTGACGTGCCTCGGGGTAGGGGTGTGGTGGGAGGCTGTGCCCCCCAGGCTCACAGTGGATTTGCACCTGACATGCCTCGGGGTAGGGATGTGGTGGGAGGCTGTGCCCCCCAGGCTCACAGTGGATTTGCACCTGACGTGCCTCGGGGTAGGGGTGTGGTGTGGGGCTCTGCCCCCCAGGCTCACAGTGGATTTGCACCTGACGTGCCTTGGGGTAGGGGTGTGGTGGGAGGCTGTACCCCCAGTGTCACAGCAGTATCAGCCCATTTCATAGGTGAGGAAGCAGAGGTTCAGAGGGAAATAACTTTCTTCAGCTGTATGGCTACTCAGCAAGGGCCTGGAGCTGAGCCCAGGACTCAGAGCTGGGGATCTGGGGATCTGGGGATCTGGGCTTGTGGGGCCATAGGTGTGGGGCTGGGAGTCCTCCTGCCATCGGGGAGGGGCCCCCCCGGGTGAGGCAGGTGCAGTGAGCAGTGGGCTTGCCCTGGAGCCTGGTTCCAGGTGCTGATGTGTTGAGCCCAGAGCAGGCGCCACACACACCACAGGTGGCTCGGAAGCCCACGGGATGGCTGGCAGTGACAGTGTGTGGTGGGCGGGTCAGGGGGCGTGTGGAGTCCACTGAGAGGGGATGTCTGGCCTCCATTCTGGCAGGGTTGGGTGCAGGAGACAGTGTGGGGCTGGGCTCTGCTGCTGCACCAGGCCAGATGGAGGTGTGCCAGGGACCAGAGTGGGTAGGTGGCCCGGGCCAGGGTGGGTAGGTGGCCGGGACCAGCTGGGCGCACTCTCAGGGTGGCCCACAGGGAATGGGGCCCAAGGCCGAGGGGAGGTGGCACCTGGCGGGAGGGACCTGGGGTCAACTGAGAGAGGGCTGGGGGCAGGACTGGGTGGGTGGGGGCACGGGGCTGGGAGACTGGGCTGTGTGGGCATGGGGCTGAAGGACACGACTAGGTGGATGGGGGCTGGAGGGCAGGACTGGGTGGGTGGGGACACGGGGCTGGAGGGCAGGACTGGGTGGGTGGGGGCAGGGGCTGGGAGACTGGACTGGGTGGGCATGGGGCTGGAGGGCAGGACTGGGTGGGCATCGGGCTGAAGGGCAGGACTGGGTGGGCACGGGGCTGGAGGGCAGGACTGGGTGGGCACGGGGCTGGAGGGCAGGACTGGGTGGGCATCGGGCTGGAGGGCAGGACTGGGTGGGCATCGGGCTGGAGGGCAGGACTGGGTGGGCACGGGGCTGGAGGGCAGGACTGGGTGGGCACGGGGCTGGAGGGCAGGACTGGGTGGGCATCGGGCTGGAGGGCAGGACTGGGTGGGCATCGGGCTGGAGGGCAGGACTGGGTGGGTGGGGCACGGGGCTGGGAGACTGGGCTGTGTGGGCATGGGGCTGAAGGACACGACTAGGTGGATGGGGGCTGGAGGGCAGGACTGGGTGGGTGGGGACACGGGGCTGGAGGGCAGGACTGGGTGGGTGGGGGCACGGGGCTGGGAGACTGGACTGGGTGGGCATGGGGCTGGAAGGCAGGACTGGGTGGGCATCGGGCTGGACGGCAGGACTAGGTAGGCATGGGGCTGGAGGGCAGGACTGGGCGGGCACGGGGCTGGAGGGCAGGACTGGGTGGGCATCGGGCTGGAGGGCAGGACTGGGTGGGCATCGGGCTGGAGGGCAGGACTGGGTGGGCACGGGGCTGGAGGGCAGGACTGGGTGGGCATGAGGCTGGAGGGCAGGACTGGGTGGGCATCGGGCTGGAGGGCAGGACTGGGTGGGTGGGGCATGGGGCTGGGAGACTGGACTGGGTGGACATGGGGCTGGAGGGCAGGACTGGGTGGACATGGGGCTGGAGGGCAGGACTGGGTGGGCATCGGGCTGGAGGGCAGGACTGGGTGGGCATCGGGCTGGAGGGCCGGGGCATGGGACTGAGGCTTCCTGGCCCACCTGACGGCCAGCTCCTCCCTCTCTGACCCTGATCCTAGCATAGACACTCTCCGCCCGCTCCCCAGGCCTTTCTTCTCTGGAGACTGGAAGAGCAGGCGCCTGGAAAGAGCTGCCATGGAGCCCGAGGGGTGGGGGCCGGGCAGTGTGTGGGGATGCGGCTCACACTGGGCTCACTTGCAAGTCGCCACAGACCCACCTGCTGCCGGATGGGGAAACTGAGGACTGAGTGCATGGGAGCCCACCAGGGCACAGACCGGGGGTGACTGGGTGGGTTCTGAATCCTGAATCCAGGCTCTGGAATCTGTGGCAGAAGCCCTGGAGGCCACTCTCACCCTCCGGTCAGGGCCCCGCCACACTGAGGCCCACCTTCCTCTCGCTGTCCTGGGAGGTGGAGGCACCCTTGCAACCTGGTTACACAAGATAACCGGGTGGTGGGTCCTGAAGAAAAATGCTATATTTGCTTACTCAGCAAATTCAGTTTTTATGAGTATTTAGGCTTCAAAGCACAACAAAGCACTAATTACCCAATTAATGAGCAATTAACAAGCAATCAAGTCACTGCAGCCAACAGCCACAGCCTCCAGGAGCTGCAGGTGAGTGAGGCTCTGGAGCAGACACGCCAGAGCCGGACTTGCCTGTGCACCCTCCCCACAGTGCCAAGGCCCCATGGGCTGTGCGCCCGCCTGCGAGGGTGCCTCCCGGTGGGGGCTCAAGCCCTCAGGAGAGGCTGTGCCACGTGGCGGCCCCGTGGCCATCACTGCCAGGGAAAGCTCTGGGCTCTGCGTCGCCCACTGGAGGCCCCCACTCAGTGCACCTGGCACAGTCCGTGCTTGCCTTGGGCCTTGCAGGACTCAGGCAGCCCTTGACCTCCAGTCCAGGCCCGTGAAGAGACAGCTGGGGATGGGAAAGGGGAGTGGTGGGGCTGCAGGGCTGGCACCCCTGCCTCTGGCCCCAGGATCTCCCGATGCATTTCTGAACTTTCCCTGAGAGCTGCCAAGGGAGCAGGCCTGGAGAGCCCTGCGTCGGCGAGAACGTGGGGCTGGAGCCCTGGTTAGAAGGACAGGCAGCTGGAGAACACACCCTCCCAGGCCCCTTCCGTCTCAGGACCTCCTATGAATCAAACTAACTCCCTCCCAGGCCTGGCCCCAGGGACCGGCCCCTGGGTCACAGGGCCTCAGCCCAGCCACACCCAAGCTCACTCTGACCAGGGATCTGGGTGAGCCCGTTCCCCCAATGCTCTTCTTCGAGTCCCAGCCAGTCTGGCTCCTCCTGGCACTCAGGGCTCTGCGGCCCCTCCCCCGAGCTCTCCGTGCAGTGGTGGCCACTGCGCCTGCACACGAGTGTGGCCAGCTCCTGCTCAGGACCCTGATCCCACCCAGCGATGATCTCCGATCAGCTGCTTATTTGTTATCCATGGTCTTGTCTGTTGAGAACATGGATCCTGTTCCCAAGGATCCATGGGGTCCACTTAGCTGGAGACATAGCAGGCACACGTGTGGGCGGCCTGGGCTCTGAAGTCCGCATTGCCTGTTGCCCCACACTGTGGTTGGAGGGGACAAAACTATCCTCGTGGGGGCTCCCAACTGTCACAAAGATTGGGGCACTAGGTGCTGGGGGCCAGTCCTCAAGGGAGCACTGCCCAGCCCCAATACAATTCCAGAACATTCCATCAGACATGTGCAGAATTAGACACCTGCTTAGCACCACCTGAGCCTTGGGTCTAAATGCTTTAAAATGCACAAAATCACCTTTAATTTTCTCAAGTCGCGACTGCCACAAATAGGAACATCTGGACTGGCATTTGCACTGCGACGCCCTGGGACACGGGCCAGGGAGGACCCACCACAGCTGCCTCTGGGTTCGGCCCAACCCACACACTGGACAGGCTGGACTGGCATTTGTGCTGTGACGCCATGGGACGTGGGTGGGGAAAGCACCCACCTCAGCCACCTCTGGGCTCGGCCCGACTCACACACTGGACAGGAACAGTCTCACTCTGAACAGCTTTCCATTCTACACCCGAGTGCCACCTCTTCCTGTTAAGTACATGTCCCTGGCCACACACTCCGTGGGCTTCACACCCACAGCAGAGGGCACCCACCACACGACAGGGCGGCCATCCCTAACCCTCTGCCCTCACATCCTGTCGAGCGTGGCCACCTGGGGCCCCTGTGCTCTGGCCCTCCAGCTGTCTCCACACAGCAAGGGGGTTCCTGGTGACAAGAGCTGGCCACCAGCCGCTTCCACTCTACCCCACCCCACGTCAGCCTGAAGACCCCCGAGTGCCTGCAGAGCCCCTGGCCTCACTGTGATCGTTACCACACAGGCATGGCACAACATGATCACATATACATGCATGCAAAGACACCGTTACGTACACACATGTGCACAGCCACATACATTTATGTACACACGTGCACTCACATGCAGTCATGCATGCACATGCAGTTATACGTACGCATGTACACATAACAATACACTTTCACATACACATGTGCACTCACACACACCATCATATACACATGGCACACACACCTTCATGTACACGTATACTCACACACACTGTCATGTACATCATGTACACGTGCACTCACACGTCATGTACACATGGCATGAGGTCATGTACACGTGCACTCACACCATCATGTACAATGCACTCACACACACACCGTCATGTACACGTGCACTCACACACTGTGATGTACACATGGCACACACACTGTCATGTACACATAGCACACACCATGTACACATGCACTCACACCATCATGTACACGACACACCTTCATGTACATGTGCATTCACACACTGTCATATACACATGCACTCACAGTCATGTACACATGGCACACACACCATCATGTACAGAATCATATTGTCATGTACACATGGCACACACACCATCATGTACACAATCATATTGTCATGTACACGTGGCACACACACCATCATGTACACATGCACTCACACACCCCGTCATGTACACATGCACTCACACACCATCATGTACACATGGCACGAGGTCATGTACATGTGCACTCACACCATTTTACACGTGCACTCACACACACTATCATGTACATGTGCACTCACACACCATCGTGTACACAGTCATGCACACGTGCACTCACACACCATCATGTACACATGGCACACTGTCATGTACACATGCACACACACACACCATGTACACACAGAACACACTATCATGCACACGTGGCACACACACTGTCATGTACATGTAAACAACACACCATGTACAAACATCCACGCATCATGTACACGTGCACTCACACCATCATGGACACACGTGTGCTCACACACCATCATGGACACATGTGCACTCACACACACCATCATGGACACACGTGCACTCACACACCATGGACACGTGCACTCACACCATCATGGACACACGTGCACTCACACACCATGGACACGTGCACTCACACCATCATGGACACACGTGCACTCACGCACACCATCATGGACACACGTGCACTCACACTGTCATGTACACGTGCACACATGCAGGACTCCTAACCGCTGGCCCTGCGAGCCTCCCCTCTGGGTCTCTGCTCAGTGGCTTCTCTGGGGGTTCCTGCACCCGCTGGGCCTAGTGTGCTTGGGGCACCCACAGCCTCAGCCTCACTTCCCCATGCACCTCCTGCTCTCTGATACTGGCTGCATCTGCTCCTGTTCCTCATCTCTCTGGGAGAGCTGGGATGTGGCAGCCAGTGCCCCACACACCTGCGGATCAGCTCCGCTCACCTCTTCACACCCAACCAGCACTGTCAGGGAGCCAGGCTGCAGGCCCCATCCCGCCTCAGAGGCCTCACCAGTGTTTCTTTCCATCTCTCCCTCTACGTCCCCACAGCGGATGGCGTGTGGATCTCAAATCCACTCTCCTTTTTCTCATTAGTGTCCCTCCGAGCACAGCTCCGGCTGGGCCAGAATAATTAATGAGCCTGTGTCAGGGAATGAATAAAAGATGGCCCCCTGGCCCCAAGCACGTGGCTGACCTTTCTTGGAGCCGACCGTATTAATATATTCTCGTGTTGTCAGGCTCAAAGTGCTAACTGCCTCATGAATTATTTATCAACACAAAAAGTCTTAACCAGAAACAGTGTTAACATTAATTCCTAACCCCCGTGTCACAGCAGCCCGGCCTGTTCTCATAATTGGATTTCAGCTTGATGGGCACCCCAGACTCTGGCCTGGCCCTCTCCAGCAGGGCTGTGCGCCGCCACCTTCACTGCCTGTGCCACCCTCCTTGGTCAGGCATCTCCCTGCCCTGTGGGGCTGTCCTGCCTGGTGGATGGCTGTGGCCCCCATACCTGGGAGCGCTGCAGGGAGCTGTGGGTGGGGTGAAAGGCGGCACTCATGAGGCCCCTCCAGGCCAGGGTCCAACCCCTCCCCTAGAACCTGGGCTGGGCTGGGGGGCTCTGACCTGCAGAATGTGCTGGAATGGTGCTGCCAGCCTGGCTAAGGCTCTGCAAGGGCTGGCCACAGCTGCCTGGGCCTTGAGCCACCAAGGCCCAGAAGCCAGGCACGTCAGCAAAGCCACCCTGAACCCTCCACCCAGCCCAGCCACCATCCCCAGGAGACCCCAGTGAGCACAGTGCAGCATGGAGGAGCCACCCGGGCTGAGCCTTGCTCAATTCTGACCCACAAAACAGGAGATAAAAGAGCGCGTGCCCGCTGCGGGAAGTGAGCCCTGTGTGGGCACATGTGGGGCAGGGAGGTGGCGAGGAGAAAAAGGTGGACAGGGAGGGGACCAAATCCATTGGCCCCATCTGGACCCCGCCCTGGCAGAGGGTGCGACAGGTGCAGCTGATGCCTGGGCCTCGGCTTCCGCATCTGCAGATGGAGGCGAGGTCTCCTCATGGACCTCACCTGTTTGCAATCAAATACCACAGGTGGAGGAGTCAGATGATCTAAATGCCATGGAGATGAAGGTGTTCTCACACGCAGACACTCCCTTCACCTGGGGCCCGACAACGCACGTGGCGTCCCACCCTCCCGCAGCCCATGGAGGCCAGGACTGGAGTGGAGGCGGACGGCAGGATGGCCACCTCCCAGGACCCCAAGTCCCTGCTGCCCCCATGCTGACCTCCCAGGGCTGAGTGGTGGTGCTTGGGCTGCTGGAACAAACCTGGCCTGGACCCTGCCCCTCTCAGCACTGGGTGGGTCAGCCCCTTTGTCACTTAGCCTGGGGTGGTGGGGGATAGTGGTACTATCTGCACAGCCTCCCATCCTCTACGGCCCAGCTCCCCTGCACCCCTCCCTGTTCTCTCCCACAGTGGCACCCACCCGCCTCAGGTTCTGCACACACAGGCTTGCCCCTACTCAGACACCCTGGCCTGCCCCTTCTGAGATGCTGCCCTGACCCCGGCCACCTTCCTTCCGACCTGGCAGCTGCTGCTCTCTTTACTGACTGGCTCCTCTCCCCTCTGGAATGGCAGCTCCCTGGGGGCAGGGACCCTGTGTGACGTGCTCCTCACAACCCAGTGCCTGGCATGGAGCCCAGCCCAGAGTCAGGCTGTGCTGAGGCCACTGCCCTCAGGCACATGATCACTGTGGCATGGACGGACAGATGGGTGGCAGACGAGGGACAGGTGGTAAGTGCATGGATGTGGGTGGGTGCAGATGGACAAATGGGTGAGCAGATGGGTGCGGGCTGTGCCCACCATGGGGCGAGGACATGGCTCAGCCCCCACCCCTACGGTACCCACACAGCAGCCAGCCTGAAAGACCCTTCTATGCTCAGAGGTTGGGAGGAGACTGTGGCTCTCTGACTCCAGGGAGAGGCTGGGTCGGGAGGAGACTGTGGCTCTCTGACTACAGGGAGAGGCTGGGTCGGGAGGAGACTGAGGCTCTCTGACTCCAGGGAGAGGCTGGGTCGGGAGGAGACTGTGGCTCTCTGACTCCAGGGAGAGGCTGGGTCGGGAGGAGACTGAGGCTCTCTGACTCCAGGGAGAGGCTGGGTCAGGAGGAGACTGAGGCTCTCTGACTCCAGGGAGAGGCTGGGTCGGGAGGAGACTGTGGCTGGGTCGGGAGGAGACTGTGGCTCTCTGACTCCAGGGAGAGGCTGGGTCGGGAGGAGACTGCAGCTCTCTGACTCCAGGGAGAGGCTGGGTCGGGAGGAGACTGCAGCTCTCTGACTCCAGGGAGAGGCTGGGTTGGGAGGAGACCGTGGCTCTCTGACTCCAGGGAGAGGCTGATGGGTTTTTATTGCTTCTGTACAAGTTGTGGCTGCTCAGAAGAGGCCCAAGGAGCCCCGTAATGAGTGTCACAAACCTGCCTTGTAAAGACAGCGCCTGTATCGGGCCCTGGCACAGAGCGAGGGCAGCGGGACCCCAGCGGCTGGTGGGCATCTGCAGTGTCCCACCTGGCTGGGTCTCTGCTCCTCCCACCCACCTCCAGCCTCCCTGTCCCAGGCATGCCCCCAAGCACACGGGGTGGGCTCCTTCCTCAGGGGCCTCAGGGCCTCTCACCGGCCCCTCTGTTCAAACCTATGCCTGCTTCGGCTGGCCTGGCCCCCCCTCCCACCCTCCTGCACTGCGCTTAACACCCCGCCTGGGACAGCGACTCCTTGGCTTCCCTTACCCAGGTCTTTCCCATCTTTCTCCCTGTGTGCATGCCCGGCCATGGACACGCTCAGCACACATGGGCTGGAGGGGAGGCAAGGGGACGGATTTCTCCACACCTCAGTTTGTGCAGGGTGGGCATCTGTGACCCTGATGGAGGACCTTGCCAGTGGGGACAGGAAGGGCCTGGGGGGGCTGTGGCCAAGTGGGTGCTACTGGGGGCAGAGTAGGGCATGTGGGCATAGCCAGGCAGATGGCTCTTCTTGATGGGCACAAGGGGCTGGGCAGCCGCATGGAGGAGAATTCTGGGTGGGCATGGCCGAGTGGTGAGGGAGGTCTGAGGGTCTCAGCTCCCAGTCACTGAGGTGGGGGGCCCTGTTGGCCTCTCTGGGCCTGTGATCCTGTCTGGAGAACGGGATGATCTGGTAACTAAATGCCGTGTGCAGGGTGAGATGGGTCCCTGAGGCCTGGGCCTCACCATGGGCTGCCACCACCACCCTGCAGCTCACCCAGCCCCTCACTCTGGCTCCTGCTGGCCAAAGGCCCCTCCAGAACATTCTGTGCATGGGTGTGGGAGGGCAAGCCAGGGTCCTGTGCCGGCAGGAATGGCTCCAACCCCAGCAAGCTCTTGTGGATCCTCATTCTGTCTAATCGATCCACTAGCCCCCTGCCACGCTGGAGTCAGTCACCACATCCTTGGGTGGAAGCAACTCTACCTTACAGCACTGACGGTGGCTGAGAAGGCCAAACCACACACTTGGGGCACAAGCTGCTGAGGATGAGCAATAGCTGGGGCTTTGCTGGCCACCAATGTGGACAAAATTACACCACTCTAAGGATGGTTCATAAAACCAGACCAGGTGATGAATGCCTGTGCCACTCAGCAACACGGGAGGCTGCTGGCCTGGCTGTGCCTTCTCATTAGGCTGGAGGCCCCAGTCACAGGCAGGTGGCAAGGGGTGCACACGTGCACAACACGCAACGCCACGTGCACAACACACAACGCCACGTGCACAACACACAACGCCAAGTGCACAACACGCAACGCCATGTGCACAACACAATGCCACATGCACAGCATGCAAACACACAAACACAGGTCACACACACGCGGGTGCACACACACACACACACGCACACACAGAGGCCCAGAGAGGAACCCGTGACACTGTTCTACAAGGCAACGCACAGCCCCATGCAGCCCACCACACGGGGGTACCACGGACACGAGCTGCACACAGGACAGGCACAGACCTGCCCACACGCACATGCACACATGCACGCACACACACATACACACATGCACATGCACACACACGCCCACACACACATGGCAGCCTCAGCCTAGGGAGCAACCCAGGAGTCTGAGGCCTCAGGGAAGTCCCAAACCCCCACTAGTGGGTCCCAGGCTTCAGCACAATCCAGACCCTCGCCTGGGCCCCTCGCCTGCTCCTGGGTCCTGTCCTGCTCCTGGGTCCTGTCCTGCTCCTGGGTCCTGTCCTGCTCCTGGGCATGCGTCCCATGGGACCGGTTCTTGGTCCTCCACCCCTGGGGTGGTCTGGCCTCCACCTGCCTCCAGTCCTCAGTGCCGGGGAAGAGCACTTCCAAGGAGGCCAGGCACCTCCCTGCTCTCTGCCTGGAGCCTGGGCTCTCACCTGCACCCCGGGCTCTCACCTGCACCCCCCCCCCCACACTGGACACAAGGGGCCCGCAGGGCTGACAGCATGGGCAACTGAGGGCCACACTGGACCAAGGCCCCGGGTGCACACCTGCACATGGCAGGGCCCATCTGTATGCACCAGGGTCTGAAACAGGTATGTGTGTGCTGGGGCCCAGTGCACACGCACAGGACCCTCTGCAGCCCTCAGGGTCCTCCCAGGCTCCTGCGGCTTGGAGGGGAACCCCATCCCCAGTGCAGCAGGCCAGCCCCTCCCCCCTTCCCCCTCCCCCCACCCCCCAGCCCCACCCCCCACCCCGCCATCTGTCACTTGTGTGCCTCGGCTGTGGGGGTTAAGCTGCAAGCAGCTGGCAAGTTAATAACGGGCTTTCTCAGGAAACACAGAGTGCTCTGGGGAGAAGACTTGAATAATGAGTGGAGACCCAGAAGCAGAAGGGCACCCAGTGGCTCAGGGCAGAGAGACCCAGGTGCCCTGGGGACCTCAGACCAGCTGGGGTGGCCACAGGAGGTGGCCACGTGCACACCTCACCAGCAACAGGGGGCAGAGCCCACCTTCCAGAGCTTAAGACCCGGCCCTCCCCCTGACCCACAGTGAGCCGACAGGAGTCCTGCCCAGCACTCGGAGATGTCACTGACACTCACAGTCTGGCACCTATGTGGGGGCCACAGTCCTCCTGCCCATGGAGTCTGCATCAGGACACCCCACTTGACCCAGGTGCCTCCCAGCAGCCGGAGCCAGGTGGCCTTAGCCCATTTCCACACTCTGACCCTGAACACGCACACCAGGAGCTGGTCTGTCAGGACACTGCCCAGAGAAGGGCGGAGGAGTGTCATCAAACTCATGATGATGGGAAGGGCGGAGGAGCGTCATCATACTCATGACGATGGGAAGGGCAGAGGAGTGTCATCATACTCATGATGATGGGAAGGGCGGAGGAGTGTCATCATACTCATGACAATGGGAAGGGCGGAGGAGTGTCATCATACTCATGACCATGGCTGTCAGGACACCCACAGCCACCTCTGAGGGGTTGCCCCCGCGCACAGGTGACAACAGCAAGGCTGCCTGAGACCCCATGCAGCACAGGAGGAAGGAAACCCTAGGAAGAGGGCCCTTGGGCAGGCAGCTGCTCCAGGAACCACTGCCCAGAAGTGAGCTCCAGCCACCCCAGGTCAACAGCTCACGGACTCTGGGCCAAACCAGGTGAGAGGCCAAAGGCAGAGCCCAGGGTGGCAGAGCTGAGCCCAGGGTGGCAGAGAAGAGCCCAGGGTGGTAGAGCCCAGGGTGGCAGAGAAGAGCCCAGGGGGGCAGAGCCCAGGGGTGCAGAGCCGAGCCCAGGGTGGCAGAGCCAAGCCCAGGGTGGCAGAGCTTAGGGTGGCAGAGAAGAGCCCAGGGTGGCAGAGCCCAGGGTGGCAGAGAAGAGCCCAGGGTGGCAGAGCCGAGCCCAGGGTGGCAGAGAAGAGCCCAGGATGGTAGAGCTGAGCCCAGGGCTTTAGACAGAACCTCAGGTGAAAGGGCAGCCTCAGGGGAGCTGGGGTGGGGGTGCAAAGGGCCTGGCTGAGCCCCTGCTGTGACCCAGCCAAGTGGCCAATTCCTGCCCATGAGGCTGGGTCCAGGGATCCTGGGGTCCACTCCTGGCCTGTGGCCGCGCCGCCCATGCCGCTCCCTTGCCGCTTCCTGCTCTGCCACCAGCAGAAGCTGTGGGACAGAGACAGTGGGGGGCCGTCCCCACCAGGCTGTGTCCCCTCTGGCCTGGCCACACTGGGTCATTCCTGGTTTAATTACACACCCTATAAAAAGCTGCTGTGGTTTAGTGAGGGAGCCTCTACGGCCTGGAAATTTCGGGGGCTGCAGGGATGGGGTGGGCAGAGTCCAGGCCCCCACCCTCCCACGAGCCCAGCAGGCCGTCAATCTGTAGAAATGGCTTTTATGGAGCTCTGGGTTTTATGTTGTCATTAATGTTCCTCCTGATACTTAAGGGAAAATGAAACACAGTCATGAGGAGGGCAGGGGACAGTGGTGATGGGGGCCGGGGAGATGGTGCTGGGCCTCCAGGTCCGGGGGGCAGGGGTCGGCGCCCAGCCTCCCAGGCCATTCCCACAGCAAGTCCAGGCACATGTGCAAGGAGCCCTCCACCGTGCCATGTGCACCCACGGGGAGGCATGGCACACCCTGAAACACACCCGTGTACCCACGGGGAGGCACGGCACACACTGAAACACACCTGCTTCCCCCGGGCACACCCTGAAACACACCCGTGCACCCACAGGGAGGCACGGCACACACTGAAACACACCTGCTTCTCTCAGGCACACACTGAAACACACCCGTGCACCCACGGGGAGGCACAGCACACACTGAAACACACCCGCTCCCCCGGACACACACCCGCTCCCCCCAGGCAGACACCCGCTCCCCCCGGGAAACACACCCGCTCCCCCTGGGCACACACCCGTCATGAAGGCTGCACACAGGTCTCCTTCCCCCTGCCCGCCACGGGGTGCTGGCTCCCTGGGTGTTGCCCAGCCTGGGCCCAGGCCTTTCTGTCCGGGGTGAGGCAGGTGCCGGTCAGGGCATTGGAGGTGGCTGCTCACACCATGGGCACCTCCCACACCAAATGTCCCAGGCCCCCAACAGGACCCCAAGAAGCAGCCCGGCCTTGGCCCCGCGGATCCCGGCACCCTTAGCTGCAGCTGGGGTCTGTGCAGGCTGACTACTCTGAGGCTCCTGGCAAGGCCACAGCCACAGGGCCAGCCCGTCCCCCTGGGGCAGCATGTTAGCCTGGGGGCCCCCTGGCAAACCGTGAGCAGGACGCACCCCCAAATCTTCACTCTGGAGCTTGTCCACCCCCCACCAACCCCATGGTGTTTGAGGCCAGAACCAGTCTGGGGCTCCAGAGGGAAAGCGGGCACGGGACTGGGGTGAGCTAAGTTGTGGGGCCTCGGACAGGTGAGGTGGGGACCTGGTCCTAAGGCCCCAGGGGGACAAAGATGGAGGAGGGGTGCTGGGAGACTTACAGAGTAGCCTCTCCCCGAGACCGCATGCGCAGAGCTCTGCAGGAAGGAAGAGGGGACAGTCAGTGAGGCTGCCACTCGGAACAAACTCCCAGGGATGCACCCGACAGCTGCCCTGCAGCCCTCAGCCCTTAGCCCTGCCCCGCAGCCCTGCAGCTCACAGCCCTGCCCCGCAGATCCACAGACCCGAAGCCCTCAACCCTGCCCGGCAGCCCCGCAGCCCACAACCCTGCCCCACAGCCCCACAGCCCTCAACCCTGCCCCGCAGCCCACAACCCTGCCCCACAGCCCCGCAGCCCACAACCCTGCCCCACAGCCCCGCAGCCCACAACCCTGCCCCGCAGCCCCGCAGCCCTCAACCCTGCCCCGCAGCCCCGCAGCCCTCAACCCTGCCCCGCAGCCCCGCAGCCCTCAACTCGGATGGGGACAGGTCCAGATGCCCAGACCCAAGACCACCAGCGAGACATCCTCTCAGGCAGGGGCCACGAGGGCTGAGGCCGCAGGGAGGAGGACAGAGTTAGGCGTCGTGGTGGGGTCCTCCCCAGGGGCTGTCGTCCTCCTGAGGGGCCCAGCCAGTCTGAGGCTCCCCTGCAGCAGCTCTGGGATCCAAACCCGAGGAGGCTCCCACAGGGACGCCCTTGGCTAGCTCCCTGTCCCCAAGAGGGAAGGCCCCACCAGAAATGCTCCTCAGAGGAGGCAGGAAGACCTGGGGGAGGTCAGCCCAGGGCCCCAGCTTCTGCTGACCTCCCTCCGTGCCCACCCGCCAGAGGGGTCCATGGTTGCAGGACTTTGGGGAGGGTGCCCTGGCTAGACAAGGAAGGCTTCCGGGAGGAGGTACCAGATGGAGCCCTCAAAGGAGGGTTCACCACAGGGGCCTGACAGGTGGTGGGGGTTGGGGCTGGGGGATGGTAGCTGGGGGCCCCTCAGACATCAGGGCACACTCTGGTCTGCAGGGGCAGCTAGGGGCCCCCCACACCTCTGGTGGGGATCCCTCTGGCCTGCAGGGGCTGCTGAGGTCCCCCACACCCTTGGATCCCTCTGGCTCGAGTGGGTGTTGTGAGGTCTTCAGGACAGAGGTATGGATCACACCAGCTACACACTCAGACCACCAGGGCCTCCCCCAGCAGGAGGGGTGGGGAAACAGGCTCAGGGCTGCTGTAGTGGATGGGGTGGGTCACTGAGCTGGGCAAGTGGGGCTCACAGGGAGGGTCCAGAGCCCCCTGAGGAGTGGGGGGCAGATGCAAAGATCCAACACCCCCTCTGAGGGGCAAGGCAGAGGAAGAAAAGGAGGGCTTTGGGGCCAGCTGACGGCAGTCCTCCACTCTCCCAAATCAATCCACAACCCCCACTGCAGAGTCAGGGAGGACACCCCCTCCCCTTCCCAAGACAGACCCTTGCCGGGGACAGGTCAGCTCCTGAAGGGCCCCAGGATGTCAGGGGACAGAGCCCAAGGCCCTGGGTCCCGATGGGCCCACCCGCCAGCTCCCAGCTGCCAGAGGGGTGGGAGGGCCTTCGTTGCCCTGAGTTTGAGCCTCAGCCCCAGCTGCTGCATTGTGCCCAGAATGTGACTTCCTTCACCAGGGGCTGGCAATTAGAGGACAAACCAAGGCAGCGGCAGTCCCAGGTAATTCCCAGCCTATTTTCCTAACTTGTGGCAACAAGATGGGGAGCCGGGCAGTGAGGCCTTCATTTAAATGATAATGAGATGCCTCAAGTTCCAGTCAGCAGAAACCTCCCCACTGCCCCGCCAGTGCCCATCTCAAGACTCGGCGGCCGTCCGCCTGCCCTCCACCCACAGGCCAGCAGTGCAGGCACAGCGTCCAAGGCTTAACGTTTTGGCCTCTGGGCTCCTGCCAGCTCACTCACCATTTCTTCATTTAAATCTCTCCTAATGGGAAAGTCCTAATGAGTAAAAAATCACGCTTTAACGAAGGCAAAATGCTCATTGCTAAGACAAAGCCTTGGTGGGAAACCGGACCCTAACCAGCGGCTTCCTGGACGCCCTTGTGCAGGGTGCAGCGGGCAGGGGGCCCAGACTCGGACTGGACGCCCTTGTGCAGGGCACAGTGGGCAGGCGGCCCAGACTCGGACTGGACGCCCTTGTGCGGGGCGCAGCGGGCAGGCGGCCCAGACTCGGAGCCTCCGGGCGCGGGCAGCTGGGTACTCACATCGCTGAGCGGGTCCCGGGAGCTGGTGGCTTCGAGGACGCTGTCGTCGTCACTGTCCCGGTCGCCCCCTTTGGACACGGTGACCTTCATCTGGGACAGAGAGAGACACTGTCTCAGGCAAACCCCCACCTCACCGCGTCCGCATCGGGGCCCCCTGGCTAGGGCTACATGCCTGCTCCCGGCACCCCAGCACCCCGGCCCCAGGCGCCCCGACAGCCGCTGGGCGCTTTGGGATGTGACGAGCTGTGGTGGGCTGGGTCCTGGTCTGGGGGCGGGAGCAGCAGCAGGACAGAGCTCTGCACAGCCAGGAATGCCATCCCAGCTGACAGCGCACACACTGATAACACACTCTACCAGGACGGGGAGGACCTACCCAGGACCCACCGGCTCAGTGACACGAGAACCGCCACGTGCTTGGAGCCGCCCCTTCCACAAGCCGCTGACTTTGAAGGCATCCTGGGGGTGCTAGGGACCACAGGCAGGGCCTCCACCCACACCCTGGCTGGTTCGCACCACCCCATCTGGCTGTACAGGGCTATGACCTCCAGGTCGAGCCTCAGTGCCACCCACTGTCCCCTGGCTGTGCCCACAGCACCTCCTTCGGTCGGCTCCATGCCAGAGCAAGCAGCGAGGTGGTGGTGGGACCTGCCTGACCCTGGCCATGGGCCCTTGGGCCACTGCTCGGCCTCCCCGTGCCTCAGTTTCATCACCTGCTGAAGGGAGCACCCATACTCCCTTCACCCCACCCCCACGCCCCACGCCCACCGCCACCACCCCTGACACCAGCCAACATGGGCGCCGATGCGTGCCAGGGCCTGGCCCGGGCGCTTTGCACACACTCACACATTTGCTCACACGGTGGCCCCGAGTAGAAACTATTTTCCTTTACATTTCACGGATGAGAAAACAGAGGCGCAGACAGGTTAAGTGACCATGCAGGGACCAGACCCCGAGCCCTGCATGTATTTACTTTTTTTACTTGGAAATAATTTCAAACCTGCACAAAGCTGAGGGAAGTGAGAGGCCAGAGCTCCTGCTGGCCAGCGCCCAGCAGGGACGCCCCTGCACAGCCAGCGCCCAGACTCACGTGGAAGCCCAGCGGTCTCCCTCTCTGGCCAACTTGGATCTGGAACAATTCTGCACCTTGTAGTGACACGCCCCAGCACATCTGGGCCCCCAGGCCTCGCATGCCAGGGCCCCTGGTGAGGTTCTTTACTTTGAGTCATCCAAGTCAGGAGCACGCCCCAGCCCGGGGAAACCCGTCCCAGGACTGGCTGGTGTGGCTCGCTGCAGCCATGAGCCTGGCTCCCTGCCGACCTTCGGCTCAGCCAGAGGCCCGCTCTGTGCACCTCCTGCAGCAACAGGCCTCCCTGGGTGGCTGACAGGGTGCACACAAGGCAGACGGTGCCAGTGCGAATTAAGGGATGTCACCCAGGCCCCTGAGGTCAAATGCCCCCGGCCCATGAGGTCCATCAAGCCGCACAGTAGCAGGCACCCACACTGGAGGAGGCCCTGGCCGGGCAGGGATGCAGCCCCGAGGAGTCTGAGCCTTACTGGGCGGGAGCCGGGGGCAGGGTGGTGGGCTAGTGACCTGCTCAGCTGCACAGTAGCCCTCACAGGCCCTGGCCAGGCTGCCCGGCTCTTCCTGGCACTGTGGCCTCGGGCAAGCGACTGGCCTGCCCCAGCCTCAGTTTCGGCATCTGTAACTGTAACATTCGGGAACCCTGGCAGGGCCCCTCGGTGCAATGAGGTTTAGGTGGAGGCACGGCCTGTGCAGCAGAGCCCGGGGCCGGCACCTTCCAGGCCACCAGGGGTCACTGTTGTCACCAGCTGGACTCTCACAACCTCTCCTTTCTCACCCCCGGAGCTGGCACCACGGTCCCAGCTGGGCAGCCCTGCCCACCGGGTCCCACACTTGCTGCCCTGCTGGGGCCATCAGGGGTTCTGTCCACCTCTGCAGGAAGCCACGTGTCCCACTCCTAGCGGTTCTCAACGCGGGGTCCCGGGAATGCATCATCGTCTCCCAGAGCCTGCAAGGAATGAGTTTCCAGCCCGCTCCAGGAACCGTGTATCACCGGCCCCCTGGGGAGTCTGACCATTGGCGATGGCCCCATGAGCCCTGCACTCACTTCTAGGGACAGAGGCTCAGGGCAGTACCTGGCAGCGATGGGAAAGGCTGCCACAGGGCTGCTGAGTATAGTGGTGCAGGCTGCTCACTGCCCAAGGACACCTGGCCGATGGGAAGGGAGGTGGGTCGGAAACACCCACACAGCTGAGCCGTGAGGAGTAGGGCACCTCTCTACACTTCACACCCACACAAAAGCCACCTCCGGTCAGGGCTGGGCGCAGATGGAACGCGTCACCCCCATGCCACAGAGGGGCTCGGTGGGCTGCCCTGCGTGTGCTCCTCCCAAACCCGGAGGCCCTGAAAGGTGGCCAGGCCGGTCGTGGGGTGGGGTCTCTTCCCCTTCCTCGGGTGGCCGGTTTTAGCTCTGAAAGTCCCACGTCTCGAAAAACCCTGTAGAACTGGGAATCTGTGTCCTGGTCACCCCACTCTGTCCCCAGGCAGGACCTCAAACAGCCAAGGTGGCTGCCCTCAGCCCAGCCGCTTCTCAGTGCTGCCAGCCACACCAGGGGCCGGGGAGGCCACACGTCCACTCCCAGCAGGAGCTGGAGGGACAAGATCACAGTCCCTGGATGACAAGTCCACGTCTGGGGCCAGAGGGGGCCCCTTTTGCCCTGGAGGGTGGGCAGGAGCTACTGCACCTGTGCCCACCCCAGCCTTGTGGTCTGCCCACCTATCTGTCCACCCGTCCAACCGATGCTTATGGAGCCCTGACGAGCCAGGTACCGTTCTGGGCAGTGAGCAGAGCCGACCCAAGCCCCTGCCCCCCCTAGAGTGACAAAGGAGTGACTGTTCCCAGTGCACACAGAAGGTGGCTCCGTCTGCCAGGCGGCAGGTGCGGGGGGAAAGGCAGCGCAGGCCGGGGAGGGCCCCGGACACAGCTCACTGACGGCACCAACGGCCCAGCACACACACTGCAGCCCTGAGTTGCCCTCCTCACAGGGCACCCTGCTGCTCCACCAAGCCTGTGCTTCCTGGGGTGGGGAAGGAAGGCTGAGTCTGTCCAGTTATGTCAGCAGGTGGGGCGTGCAGCAGGAGCAGGGCAGGAGGAACAGCTCCCTGTGGGCCAGCATGGAGCGCCTGTCAGTTTCTGTGACGTCAGTATCCAAACCAAAGCTGATGGAAGCCACTAACAGTTTAACAGCCGGCTTCAAATTTCCTGAACCCTCAGCAACCTGCTCCTACAAGCTGCACTCCACTGGGCAGCCGCAGACCAGCCGCTGGTGGGACCAGGAGCACTGGGGCCCTGAGGGTTCTGGCAGTAACCGTAGGAACATGGTGGCTCCAGGCGCACAGAGCCCCTCCCCCAAGGTCCCCTCCCCTCACCAACCCCCTCCCTCCACACCGTCCCCCAGCTCCAGGCTGCACGTCCAAAAATCACTGCCTCTGGGTTGCCCACAGAAACATGGTTCCACTGGGAGGCTCGGGCTCAGTCGGGGGCTCAGGTGCGGCCTGGCCTGTCCGGTTCTAGTGCCCTTGAGCTGTCCTGTTGCTGGGAAGGGGCCAGAGAGACGGGAGCCAGCAGTGGCCCCGCCATGCAGCCAGGAAACCCTCTAGGGTGCACGGAGACCCGCAGGCACACACACCACCCCAGGCTGAGGGGCCGCGCCGGCTGCACACAGAGACCCACGCAGACCCACAGGCGCCGGCAGGCTGAGGGGCCACGCTGGCTGCATACACACACCCACACCCCTCTCTACCACAGCAGTCACACTGGCCCTGTACACACCTCACCCCATGCACACGGACTCATCGCCCCACCTGCTCCCCAGACCCGCCCCAAGGCTCTAAGCACGCACTGTCCTGCGCAGGCCCCGCCCAAAGTGGAGCACCCAAGAGGCCCCACACCAGCCCCCGTGTCCTCTTGTGCAAACTGAGCAGAAGGTGCCCTCCCGGGGAATGTGCAATGGTCAGGGCAAATGCACGCACTACATACGGCACGGTGGGAATGGCAGCCCTGGAGCGGTGCAGTGCACAACTCTGACAGCCATACTCTGCAGCCCTGGTGAAGTCTCACACCAATCGGATCACACCAGGGCGACTCTCACACCCCATCCCATGGCATCACATTCAGACAAGGACTATCCTACAGGGGCATGAACTGAGACTGGCCGGCCACGATGCCTCCAGCCTCTGCACCTGCAGGCCTGGGAGCGAGGGTGAGAGTCGGGGGCTGCCTGGGCTGCTGTTCTAATGCAGACCCTGGAGAACCCTGAGAAGGGGCCTACGGCTTCCTCAGACCTGCCAGGCCAAGGACAGGCCCCCTGGGAGATGGGGCAGAGGTCAGGCCCCCACACCCCCTAGTTGGGCTGGGCCACAGTTCCAGCAGGAGACGGGAACGCGACGCCCCTGCAGAAATGGAGCACAGGTATGCAGAGGCGGAGCTGCCGCCATCCGTGTCTGAGTGGAAATGAGTGTGGACACAGCGCACCCCTGCCCCAGCCCCACAGCCTGCGCTCCCTCCTCCTCGCAGCTCCCGCTTCCTCTTAAGGAGCTGAGCCCCTAGAACATGGCTCCTGGCCCAGTGCAAACAGTGCTCCCTCGGGGAGCTTTCAGGACTCCTGGGCCTCCCCCAGGGACTGGATGTCATGGGTCCAGACTTGAGACTTTCCAAGTTCCCCACCCACCAAGGTTGAGCAGCCTCAGGGGACTGCAGTGGGTGTCCAGCTCCCTGGCTCAGGGCAGGGCAGGGCAGGGCAAAGAGGGAGTGGCTGCTTTCGTCCACAACACTCCATTTCCCCACCTCCCACAGTCCCTACCAGCTCCCAGCTGGTCCTGGTTTCCTGCCTGTTTTGGGAGCCCACAAAGCCGTCCCCGAATCCTGAGAGCAGGTGCCTGGCACAACTGTGGGTGGGTGGTACCTCTCTCCGCTGCCTTCGCTCCCGAAGGGACAGTCCCAGAGCCCTCACAGTGTCCCCAGGCCTGGTTGAGCCATGGATGATGACTATGGGCCCCTCACATTCAGCAAGAGCAGAGCCCGACTCTGGGGCCCCTCTGTCCCGAACCTGCCCAGGCCACAGGGACTTGCAGGCAGATGCTACGCCCTGCCTTCAGCCCTACCACAGTCCCCTGCTGCTACCTCCTGGGGGCTGGGCTCATGTCCCTGGTCGGGAGGAGCCGATGCCGCACCCACAGCACGTGACACCAGCGACTGCATCCTGCTCTGTTTTGTGGACTGTTGTCCCCACCCTCGGGCGTTTGGAGGGCAGGGGCTTTGTGGCAGTCACTGGTGCTGCTCCAGAACTTGTACTCCTAAGGTGAGCCTGATGGGGAAAGGAAGTGACCCAGTTCCGGGGTCAACCTGAGCAGGGGCTGCCTCGGGAAAATTGCCATCTGCAAAGAAAGAGATGGGAGAGCCCTGGGGAGCGTCCCAGACAGCAGGAGCAGCCAGGGAAAGGGAGCTCTCCCACAGCTGCTGGAGGTGTGCAAGGAGGGTGTGCTAGAGGTGTGCAAGGAGGGTTGCTGGAGGGTGCAAGGAGGGTGTGCTGGAGGGGTGCAAGGAGGGTGTGCTGGAGGGGTACAAGGAGGGTTGCTGGAGGGTGCAAGGAGGGTGTGCTGGAGGGGTGCAAGGAGGGGGTGCTGGAGGTGTGCAAGGAGGGTGTGCTGGAGGGGTGCAAGGAGGGGGTGCTGGAGGAGTGCGAGGAAGGCTGTGTACCTGCTGGTGGGGGCACTGGAAGAGGGGCCCAACTTCCTCACCACCCATACACGCTGCCTGCACAGCCTCTGGGCTCTCTTCCACACATACTCAACCTACAACCCTCAGACTGGAAGAGTAGCCACTTTTTTTTTTTTTTTTTTTGAGACAGAGTCTTGCCCAGGCTGGAGTGCAGTGGTGAGATCTTGGCTCACTGCAACCTCTGCCTCCCGGGTTCAAGCGATTCTCTGCCTCAGCCTCTCTAGTAGCTGGGATTACAGGCACTTGCCACCACACTCAGCTAAGTTTTGTATTTTTAGTAGAGATGGGGTTTCACCATCTTGGCCAGACTGGTCTTGAACTCCTGACTTCGTGATCCATTTGCCTTGGCCTCCCAAAGTGCTGGGATTACAGGCGTGAGCCACCGCGCCCAGCCAGGGGTAGCCACTTCTTAGCACCCACAGCTCGAAGCTCAGGCTGGAGTCACATTGAGCTGAAGGCAGCACCTACTGGTGAGGTGTGGCACTGCAGCCCAGCTGTATGAGACTGCATAGCCTATGGGAAGGAGAACGACTCTCAGAGTTGGGAGTGGGGAGTCAGAAGCTCCAGAATGAGGGAAACTCTGTTGTCTGTCTCCAGGACCCTGGTATTAGCAAAGCATGCCATCCCCTCCTCCAGGCTAACACCACGCAGTATGGCTGTGGCCCTGCTTCTTCCTGAAACCGTTCCTGACACTCCATTCACTCCACATGCCAACCAGGCTAGGTAAAGAGCTCCTCCAGGCTCCCACAGTCCCCTAAGTGTCTCTCTAAAAGAGAA
Source organism: Homo sapiens (assembly GCF_000001405.40). Classification (NCBI taxonomy): domain Eukaryota; kingdom Metazoa; phylum Chordata; class Mammalia; order Primates; family Hominidae; genus Homo; species Homo sapiens. Next base: position 132,519,245 of record NC_000012.12, on the reverse strand, counting down.
GTGGGGTTGCTTGTTTCTGTGTCTCTCTTCAGTAGACTGTAAGCATCCAGTGGGCGGGGCTGTCTTTTATCCTTGCCTACCTAGCACAGGCAGACACAGTAAACAGGGACTCAGGCAATGTTTGGGAGAGACCAAGTGTTCCCTGAGTCAGCACAGTGTCAGGGAGCAGGGTACTGCCCGCCCAGTGCGGGACACTCCAGTACGCTGCTCCACCTTCTTCTATTGTGATTCAGATGGGTGGATGGATGGATGCATGGGTGGATGGATGGACAAACAGGTAGATGAATGGGTGCATGGGTGGATAGATGGACAGACAGGTGGATGGATGGACAGACGGGTGGGTGGGTGGATGGATAGATGCATGGGTGGTTGGATGGACAGATGGGTGGATGATGGATGCATGGGTGGATGGATGGACGGGTAGATGGGTGGATGCATGGGTGGATGGATGGACAGACAGGTAGATGGGTGGATGGATGGATGTGTGGATGTATGGGTGGATGGATGCATGGGGTGAATGATGGATGCCTGAGTGGATGGATGGACAGATGGGTGGATGGAAGGACAGATGGGTGGATGGATGGATGCACGGGTGGATGGACAGATGGGTAGATGGGTGGATGCATGGATAGACGGGTGGATGGATGGACAGATGGGTGGATGGATGGCCAGATGGGTAGATGGATGGATGCACAAGTGGATGGATGGATGGATGCATGCATGCATGGTGGATGGATGGACAGATGGGTGGATGGACACATGGGTGGATGGATGGACAGACGGGTGGATGGATGGATGAGATACACTACAGACGGGTGGATGATGGACGCATGGGTGGATGGATGGACAGACAGGTGGATGGATGGATGAGATACACTACAGATGAGTGGATGATGAATGCGTGGGTGGATGGACAGATGCATGGGTGGCTGGATGGACAGATGGGTGGATGATGGATGCATGGGTAGATGCATGGGTGGATGGATGGACAGACAGGTGGATGATGGACAGATGGGTGGATGGATGGATGAGATACACTACAGATGATATGAGGGATGCTGGCTGAGTTAAGGCCTAGGAAGTGCGTTGCCAGCAGGCTCTTGGGGACACTAGTGTGTGTGGGCAAGTGCAGGTAAGTGTCTGCAAGGCCCTGCCTGTGCAGTCCTGTGTGCCGGAGGAGGGGTGGGAACAGCAGCTATGCTGTGTCAGAGTGGACTCCAGCAGGTGTGTGCCGCCAGCTCTGGAGTTGGGGCCACTGGACTCCTGGCTCCACCACATTTGCCGCCTGGGCTGCATCACTTGGTCTTGCTCAGTTGGCGCCCTGTCCAACAGAAGAATGACCTAATTCAAGCCACTGCCACCCCCTCCTGAACGGCTGCAGCAGCCTCCCGACAGGCGCCACCACCCCCACAACCGTGCTGCCTCCCCCACGAGTTTGTAAAAACACAGGAGCTCACGTTGTTCCCTGGCTTAAAACCCTCAGTGGTTTCCCTCTGTATGAGACCAGGCCCCTCCTTAGCCCTGTCTGCCCACCCCATGCCCGCTCGGCTCCTCAGGCACACGCCACCAGAGGCCTGGGTGGCTACACCCTCTACCCAGAGCGCTCTTCCCTGACCGCCTGGTCTAACGGTGCCTTCTCTCCTTCCCAGGCACAGCTGTGCTCACACTCAGAACAGTCTCCACCCGCTCTGCTGTTGTCCCAGTTATAGTTTAACTTCTCGAGGGCAGCACGGTCACTTGTCTTGTTTGTCACTGCAGCCCCAGGCCCAGAACAGGGGCGGAATGACCAAAAGTACAAAATGGATGCCAGTCGGAAGAGCCTTCCCGACCAGAGTGAGGCTGGGAAAGCAGAGGTGGCCATGCTCGCCCCGGAACGGCTAGCCCCAGGCTGTGGGGAGCAGTGCCTGCTAGGCCCAGGTGCTCAGCCTTCCTCTTCCACTCCCACCTAACAGCACCCTGGCCGGCGTGGCCCCCAGCCCTCCTGAGTGGCCCCTTCCCCTGGACCAACTCTTGGTTTGTAGGAGGGCCCTGTCAGGTGGGAGGAAGCTCTAGGACCCTGTGACCCAGCCTGCTGCTCCCTGCAGGTGGCAGGCCCAGGCCCAGTGTCTAAGGCACTGATTAACTGAGTGCCTCTCTCCACAGGCCCTGCACAGGAGGACCCTTGCCTGGCAACCGGGACAAAGATAAGCCTCTAGCGTCTGGGCCTCAAACCAGCCAGGCTGGGCCCAGGAGGCGGGAGAAATTACTCTGAGAATTCATAATAATAAAAGCAGGAATCGATATCATCATGGCAGCTATGTAGACAGTACAAACCTTGCATGTTAGCTCATTTTATCATCTCAACAACCCGAAAACAAATGAACTATTTAGTAACATCCCCGTTTTACAGACAGGAAAACTGAGGCCCAGAAAGCTGCCCTCCAGGTAATGGCCCAGGGTACAGATTCCACAACAAAGCCAAGCCGCTGGGCTTGAATCCTGGTCCAGCTGCTCACTGTGTGAACCTTGGGCAAGTTATTTACAGGCGGCTTTTTTTCTTCAGCATCCTCATCCGGCAAATGGGAATAGTTACAGGGTTGCAGTTAAACAAGCTGATGCATGTTAACTGGTGGAAATGTGCCTGGTACGATCAGAAAAGACTTCAAGTGTTAGGCTAGGCTGGCGACAGGGTGCTGAGCAGGCTGGGGGAGGTGGCACTGAAGACAGAAAACGTGGACATCCAGAAACTCCATCTAACAGATGTAAGACTCTTCAGATTATCTAAGCCGGGCGTGGTGGTTCACGCCTGTTCCCAGCACTTTGGGAGGCCGAGGTGGGTGGATCACCTGAGGTCAGGAGTTCAAGACCAGCCTGGCCAACATGGTGAAACCCTATCTCTACTAAAAATACAAAAATTAGCTGGGCGTGGTGGCACTTGCCTGTGATCCCAGCTACTCAGGAAGCTGAGGCAGGAGAACTGCTTGAACCCGGGAGGCAGAGCTTGCGCAACATTGTGCCACTGCACTCCAGCCTGGGTGATAGAGCAAGACTCCATCTCAAAAAAAAAAAAAAAAGACTATTCGGATTATCTATTTCATCTTGTGTCAGTTTTGTTTTCCAAGTAATTTGCCCACTTCACCTAAGCTGTTGAATTTGTTGGAATAAAATTGTCCCCATTTCACCTTTTTCGTGTCTATAGTGCCTGTAATGATATTTCCCCTTTTGTTCCTAATATTCATAATTTGTGTTTTCTTTTTCTGATTGATCTAGCTAGGGATTTCTCAACTTTGAAAACACCTTTTGGCATTGTTCATTTCCTCTATTGTCTGTTTCCTACCTTATTAATTTTTTTTTTTTTTTTTTTTTTGAGACGGAGTCTCACTCTGTTGCCCAGGCTGGAGTGCAGTGGCGTGATCTCAGCTCACTGCAACCTCCACCTCCTGGGTTCAAGTGATTGGCATGCCTCAGCCTCCCAAGCAGCTGGGACTACAGGTGTGCGCCACCGTGCCTGGCTAATTTTTTGTATTTTTAGTAGAGACGGGTTTCACCATGTTGGCCAGGCTGGTCTTGAACTCCTGACCTCAAGTGATCCACCCTCCTTGGGGTCCCAAAGTGCTGGGATTACAGGCGTGAGCCACCGCACCTGGCCTGCCTCATTAATTTCTGTATTTCTGTTCTTGTCTATACTATGGCTTTCCTTTATAGGTTTACAAACCTTCCATTTTTTTTTTTTTTTGGTTTCTTAAGGTAAAACCTTAAGATTCTAGACCTTTCTTCTTTTCCCATATAAGCACAAGCTAGTTTTCCTTTAAGGATTGCTTTAGCTGCATCCCATAAATTTTGACGTAGTATTCCTTATTTTCTAGTGAAATTCAGGTCAGAGATTCAGGAGGTGGAAGCTAAGGACCTGCCTGGCTGGGTGTGCTGGGTGGGAGGACAGGGGAGTGAGGAGAGGAGAATGACTGTCAACTTCTAGCCCAGTCATCTGGGTGGTTCCAGGTTCACCCACTGAAATGGGGAAAGACAGAAGCTGGTGTGTCTGGTTTGTCTGTGCCAAGTGAGGGGTGCATCCTGGGTCTCGGCAGGACACTCTGGCCTGATGCATGAGGTCTGGCCTCAAACCATAGAGCCGATGAGGTAGAGGATGAGGAGACAGACAGCAGGCGCCTGGGAACAGCATGGGCATGAGATAAGCACTCACAGAGGGTATATTGTTCTGGACCCCCCACACCTCCCTGCTGTCAGCCTTGTGGTTATTGGGCGCAGAAGCTGCCAGTCTAAACTCAAGTGTTGTAAATGTAAAACACCTGCTGGCTTTCCCAGACTCTACAAAAAAAAGAGTAAAAAAGATGTGACAATTTTTATATAGATTACATTGTTGAAATACTATTTTCAAAGTACATGGAGTGAAACGCAATACTTCATTAAAATGAATTTTACTTATTTCTTCTTAACTCTATATGTGGCTCACATAACACTCCTATTAAACAGTGCTGCCCTAGGAGAGTCCAGGGCCCTACCCACCCCTGCTGGATGAGAAGCTGCACTCTGCCAGGTCCCAGGGTACACCAGGGAGCCCTCTAGGTCGTGTACCGGCCCTAGGAGAGGCTTCGTGCCAAATCCCTGCACCATGGCCGGGACTGTGGCTCAGCATGAAAACCCTTCTTCCTCGGAGTCCCCCCACAGCTTTGCACCGTGGCCGGGCCTGTGGCTCAGCATGGAAACCCTTCCCCCTCGGGGTCTCCCCACAGCTTTGTGAACTGCTAGGGATGTCCCCTATCACTGCAGCTTCTGGCCGGAGGAGGATGGCCGGTGGCCTCGGCCTGGTCAATGCCAGTCCAGCTCAGTCTGGTACTGCGGTCCTGGGCCACCTGGGAAGACGCCAGGGAGGCCAGAGAGATCCTGGGTCAGGCCGCAGCCCTGCTCAGATCCCTCCGAGGCCCCAGGACTCCCCCTGGACTTCTGGGCGGCCCTGGGTCTCCCTTGGGCACCTGCGGGTAGTCCTGCCTTCTGGCCTCTGAACATCCAGGTGCCCCCCCAGCCCCCCACTCATGCCCTCTGTGTCTTTGCCCTCACCACAGTCGCCCAGCATGCTATCCCAGCCTGTCTCCCCACACACGGAGGAGCCGAGCCCTGACGCGAGAACAGAGGCGGAGCTCATCGTCCTCAGTGCCCAGACAAGGATCCCGAATGAGCAAACGGGGAAGGCCCAGGAGGTGGTGTTTCCAACACGCAGGGCAGGGCCTGGGGGAGGGACTGTGGCTATTCACCTGCAGTGAGGGGTCCAGAGAGACGGGGCCCTCGGACGAGGGTCTGCAGGCAGATGCCCACACACCAGGCGTGGATGCTGGGCCAGGTGCCGGGAGCCCACCCACGCTCACACCCCTCCCTCCCTGGGGGCTGCTCAGCGATGGCTCATGGACTTGGCCTGACCTGGGGAGGACCCAAGGGCCTTAGAGCTCCAGGCCCCTCGTGGGGTTGGCCCCACCGCCACAGTCTCAGTGTCACCCATCTTCCAGGAATCCACCCCGACCTCCCCTTCTCCTCCCCCAACAACAAACCAACCACTGCCCTCGTCTGCCGTGGGCTCTGCAGGAACACGCCTCGGCCTCTCCCAGAAGGCTCACGCCCTCCCCATAACCCCTTCTGCAGATGGGAGGGGACCAGCCTGCCTGTGCCAACAACAACAAGGTGGGCAGAGGCCCCCACAGAGGTGACCAGAGGGCTGATGGTCACTAAAGCACTGCACGCAGGCCCCAGTCTCCAGAGGGGTTCCTGAGGCAGCAACAGGGTCTCTGTAGTCGGGCAGCGGGCAGCCTCCCCCAGATCCCCACTGTCACCCCCCGGAAGACACCTCCATCCTCAACCTTCAGGCTGGGCTGCCCCCACCCCCTCTACAGCAGCCAGGACACAAGCCCATCTTCCTGGGCAGGCGCAGCCCCACTGAGTACCAACCCCTTCCAGAAACAAGGGAACAAGCCATGTTCCAACCAGGCCTCAGGCTCCAATCTGCTGCCTGTGATGGGAGCCAAATCCCACTTGCCGGAGGCCTCGCAGGCCCACAGCTGCATCTTCTGGTCAGCAAAGTGAGTCATAAAAATTAGAATTGACCACCAACATTTCAACATTGCCAAATCCAGAGAAACCTGGATTCCCAGCTCTTCAGAAACATCAAAGATCTGGCCACACGAAATCTGCATTTCCCAGGGCGACGCCTGGCAGCAGTGTCCCCACCAGGGCGCGGGCCCCAGGACACAACATGGATGTCCAGCACCATAGCGCCCTGGTGTCTCTGCCCTCCCCATGGCGGCACCCCGACCGCAAGCCAGTGCAGACAGTGGGTTCGAGCTGGAGGCTGCAGGGTCATGGCCAGGCCTCGAGAGCCCCTCTGGGTCCTGAATGTTTCCTCCACGGGTGTCCTCTGCACCCCCAGCTGTTGGCCACAGGGACCCAGGCTGCAGTTTCCAGCTCTCCTCAGCCCTCCCTGGCAGCCTGGCCTTCCCCATTAAGGGGCAGCCAAGTGCCACTGCTCAGCTCCAGCATGGATGGCCCCTCCCCACTCCCTCAGCCCGTTCAGGCCTGCCCCAGACATGGCTCTACTCACTCGGCCCCCTCTGTACTCACAGGAGCCCGGGGGTAGGGGCAGGGGCCTGAAAGTGGAAAGAGGGCAGGAGACTGTTTAAATCATCACTGTTCCCCACGCCTGACAACAGGGACGTCTGAAGGCAACTTCAGCCCCTCTGCGGGGCAATGGCTTGTGTGGGTGACTCTGAGATGGCACCGCCCTCCAAGCCCGCACCCCAAGTGTGCCAGGTCCAGCCTGGAGCTCAGCCAGGGCGCTGCAGCCAGGACTCGGCCCCTCCATGCCCCGGCCTTCCGTGAGCAGAACACAAGCACCTGACAGGCTGTGCAGAGGATGCTGGGCTGAACCATGCTCCCTCACGCGTGCCCAGGCCATGCAGAGGACTCTGAGCTGAACCACCCTCCCTCACCAGTCCCCAGGACACTGATCCCGGGGATGGGTGCCCCCCAGGCATGAGCCGAGAGGGGGGTCTCGACCCCTGTCACACTGGCCCACACAGTAGCCTTGCGGTGGGGGGATCTGGAGGCCGGTGCCCCCATGCTGAGCACAGTACAAACCCCCATTCCAGGCCTCAGATGGGTGGGCAGGAAGGTCAGGAACAGATGCTCCAGGTCTCCCCTCTGTTCGGTCAGAGTGCAATGAATCCCGAGCCAAGCCCAGCACAAAAGCCCTTTGTGGGAATAAATCACGTAAGACACATGCTCGTCTGTTTAAATTACAAACGCTGATGCTGTTATAAAAAATAGTGGCACGGCACTTTTTATTTTCTTTAATCAGAAAAATAAGCCCTGCGCTTCTGGGATGGAGGCCCCAGGTGAGCACCGGAGGAAGGGGCCCGGGTGGGTGGGGAGCGAGGGGGCCCGGAGGCCAAAGCAGATGCTGCACCAGAGGCTGGTCAGGACCCGGGAGGGCCTGCGGGGGTGGGGTCCTCATGAGCAAGTGCGGGGTGCTGGAGGTCAGCAGCTGCCTGGCCTGGGAGCCAGGGACACCCATCCCCTTCCTGACACCTGAGGCAGCCCAGCTGGGCAAGACCAGGCCTGCAGGACCAGAGCCTCCTGTCACGTGGCGCAGGGGTCCAGGTGGTCAACGCTGCTCTCTGGAGGACCACTGGTTAGAGCCTGCCCAGCTCCCCTGAGGTCTGGAGACAGTCAAAGCCCCCCCAAACACCCCCTCCCTTTTGGGCGAGTGGCGTGCCTTGGACTCCAGAAGACTCGAGTGGGGCTGCCTTGAGACCAGGTCCTGAGGGGGTGGCAACACCTGACCACAGGTGGGGGCCGTGGAAGGGGCAGGGATGGGCCCAGGGGTAGCCTTGTAGTGTGAGGTGTGCCCGACCACATGTAGGTCAACAGCCAGACGGGACGCTGCAGGGGACTGTGGGGAAGCCGGGAGAAGGCGCTGCCCACCCTGTGGGGTCCCCCTCGCCTGGAGACCCTGCAGGCAACCCTTCAGTGCATGCCCACGGGGGTGGTGGAGGCAGAGTCCTGAGAGGTGGGGGTGGGAGCCTCCGGGTCCCCTGCAGGTCCTGACCCACCAGATGGGCCCATGTGCCCCCTGTAGCTTGGGGGCCCTGGAGGTGGACACCAGCACCTCCTGACTACCAGGGGGAGGGCCTGGACTGAAACCCACACCTTCACCATTCGCCACTGGGCCACTCTGCAGGAACTGCAGCACCCCACAGATCCTTCATGCCCAGCACGCCACTCACTCTCACACCCTCTCGCACACATGCACACACAGCACGCACACACCAGGCTCACGCGCTCCGCACAGGTGGCACGCCAGGGGCAAGCGTGCACGTAGACTCAGAGATGCAAGGACAGTATTGGCAATTCAGAGGCACAGAAAGACGCTGAGGGGCCCCCAGCAAGGTCCCCGCCCTCAGGGGCTGTGTTCCCCTCCCAGGGCACGCACACCACAGGCAGCAACGCGGGTGGGGGCACTGTGACGCCAGTGGGGGGAGAGGGAGCATGGCGGGGCGGCAGGCAGACGCGGGTTCATCTCTCTTCCTGGTGTGGTGAGCCTCAGCCTGATCGTGGCACTGTAGGGGCTCCCGCCTCTGGCCGAGCCTCAATTTCCAACGACAAACAGCTCAGCCCTGTCTAGACAAGGCCTCAGGCTAGTCCGGCAAAGCATCTCCAGCCCGAAGGGCAATGCGGCCTTGGCCCTTGGGGCCCTGCCAGGGTGCAGATCACACTGGAGTGGGCTGGAAAACCCATATGGGGAGGTGCCTGCAGGCATCAGGCTCCAGGGCTCACAGATGGGGCCTGACGGGCCATCCCGGGGGCACAGGATCGGGTCCACCGGGACCGCAGGGGCCGGCAGGGATGGCCCAGGGCCAGGAGCGAGAGCCGGGGCTGACGGGCCGGCACCAGATCCAATAGGGACCGCCGCGGCTGGCACAGGAGCCCCAGGAGAGGCCGGCAGGGTGGGCCCGGCTGCCCCAGGAGTGAAGGGCGATCGGGAATGGGGAGCAACGGCTGGGGTTTGCAGGGCTTGTTGGGGCCCATGAGCGGCCGCAGGGGCTGGCAGGGCTGCTCTGGGCCCATGAGCGGCCGCTTGGGTGGGCAGGGCTGCTCCGGGCCCATGAGCGGCTGCTTCTGCTGCCTCGGCCGTCCCGGGCCCAGGAGTGAAGGCGTGAGTGGGCCGGGCTGCTCTGGGGCTTCCACTAACCGCTGGGGCTGCCTGGGGCGCAGCAGCGACCGCCGGGGGCGGCTGGGCTGGCCCAGCAGGGACCTTCGGGGCTGGCCGTACTGACACGGGGCTAGGAAGGCCCGCCGGGGGCAGCAGCACTGTCCTGGGAGGAAGCTGGCGGGCCGTCGGCGTGGTCGGAGGGTGAGGAGTGGCCGCGGGGGCTGGTACCGCTGGCACTGGGCTAGCAGCGACCACAGGGGCCGGCTGCGCTGTCCTGAGGATGCCCTACCGGGCTGGCCACAGTGACACGGGCTGGCCCACGGCCGCAGGGGTCGGCAGCGGTGCCACAGGGTCAGCAGGGACCGCAGGCGCCTGCAGCGGTGCCTTGGGGCCAGGAGGAACCGCAGGCGCCGGCAGTAGAGGCAGGGGACCAGGAGGGACCGTGGGGCCAGGAGGGACCGCAGGCGCCGGCAGTGGTGACACGGGGTCAGCAGGGACCGCAGGCGCCTGCAGCACTGCCTGGGGCCTGGGAGTGCCCAATGCGGCCGGCAGGGCTGGGCCGGGCGTGACCGCTGGGGCTGGCAGAGCTGATCTGGGGATGGAAGGAGCCGCTGGGGCCGGCAGGGCTGACCGGGGCCCAGAAGTGACCGCCGGGGCTGGCAGGGCTGTTTCAGGCCCAGAAGTGACCGCTGGGGCCAGCTGCGCTGACCCAGGAGTGGCCGCTGGGAGGGCTGGCAGGGCTGCCCAGGGTCCGGGAGTGCCGACGGGGCTGGGAGGGACCCCTGGGGCTGGCTGGACTGGCTGGGCTGGAGCTGTTGCTGGCGCTGGGCCGGGCCGTTCTGGTCCCAGTGGCTGGCTGGGAGCGGCCCCCCTTCTGGGGAGCACACCTGCATGGAAGAAAGAGCACGTGTCCACCTGGGCAGGTGTCACCGCCCGCGGAACCCCCGTCCAGCCCGGGCCCAGGAGGCATGCTGCCCTTCTCCAGCAGCCCAATTCCCAAGGGGGCCGAGGAGAGCCGAGGACACCGCGCAGAGCCCCACCCTGGAAGGAAGGCGCACACCAGCGGACCCCCGCGGAGGAAGCAGCTGCAGGCTGAGCTGCACCCAGGACAGAGCCCCACGCGCTGGGGAAGCCCCCACCTGCTCTGACAGCCCCTCCTGGGCAGGAGGCCCCTGGGCAGGGCAGGCAGAGCCCTGTTCCCAGCTGGGCCACGCACCTGACCACTGACCACAGTCACGTGCCTGCAGCCACTGCCGGGACCAAGTATTCCCTTCCCCACGCCGCACACGTGAGCGGATGGCGCTGCGTGTGGACAGGACAGCCCTCGGCAATGAGCCTGGACCCCCTCCTTATAGACACTCTGGACACCTGTAGTCGGCGGAGCCTGATGGACACGGCAGGGAAACGGGGCCGGCCTATCAGCTTGGCGCCCCAGCCCGGAACGCGCGCCTTGCTGCCCCAGACAGGCACCTCTCCTGCTGTGGCCCTGGGCACGTCACGGCCCCTCCGTGACCCAGCCGGCTCCTGCCTCTGCTAGGCCCCAGCCCTGTCCACGTGTCCTGCACCCCAAGCCTGACAACGATGGGCGCGCTGCCAGGCAGGCCCGGGGGCCACGTGGCGTGGTGTCCAGGTGCTGGCATGGCCCTGGGGCGGTGAGCACTGACCCGCCGCAGAGCTTCCGGTCGGGGAGGGACCTGCTCACCTGCTTGGAGGGCTGCAGTGGGACCTTTCTCGCCCCATCGCAGGCGGGTTCGAGGTCCTGCCCGGGGCTGCCTGCCTCCAGGGGCCGCCTGTTCTCACTGGGCTCCGCAGGGGGGCAGGTTTCCGACTCCCGGGGCTTCTTGATGAGACGACGCTCCCACTTCTCCTTCCGCTCATGTGGCTTCAGGGCCATATCCTTCTGCAGGGAGACAGGGAAACGCCAGTTAATTGGCGGGACCCCAGGGCCTTGGGCCCAGGACAGCACCCACCTGAGCAGCTCTTGGGAAGGAGCCTCCCCACTTGGGAGGGGCACCTCAGAGGGAAAGGAAGATGGCTGCTGTGGGACGGGGGATGGGAGGGGAAGGACGATGGCAGGTGAGATGCTGCTGCGGGATGGGGGATGGGAGTTTCCCAGGGCTCAGCCATCGAAGGGGCCAGACGAGAAAAAGCTTAGTCCAGCAGGGAGTCTCCAGTAAGCTTCACAGGAGGCCAGCCCAGGGCTGCCCAGGACTGCCCCTCCCTGCTGAGACCAGGGCTACCTTTCAAGAGCGAGTGCCCTGCAGTGGGGGCCAGGGACCACAGGAGCCTCTCCAGGGGACACCCAGGCCCCACAAGAAGTGCTCCCCCAGGTGACAGCCCACAGGAAGTGCTCCCCCAGGTGACACCATATTCCAGAGGGCCTGAGGGGTTCTGGCCAGTGCTCCCAGACGGGTCTGTGGATTTGGGACAGAGATGCTTCCCCGTGTTCACCTTTGGGCTACCAGACCCTGGGGACACCCCCAGGCCCCCTGTAAACCTGCTGGCCTCCCCTGGTCCCCTCTCGTCCCATCTCGACTCCTTCAGAGCACCTTCTAGCCTGCGGACAGCCCCAGGACACTCCAGCCTCCGCCCTGCCGGTGGACATCGGGCAGCCCCAGGTTCTGGGGTCCCCACCTCCACACTCGATAAACCACTAGTAAGCACCTTCTGTATGCTGGCTCAGCTCCTGGCACCAGGGCTGGTGCAGACAGATACGGCGCGTCAAGTTTAGGGTCCAGAGGAGCCAGCCGGCCAGGGAGAAGCGTCCACGAAAGGACAGAATCCTCTCGGGGAGGGCACAGCTGTGAGGAAAACAGCAGCAGTGAAGCCCAGGACAGAACCCATGTCAGAGCTGCTGCCAAGAACCCTGGGAAGCCACTGGGGAGGATCCGCCCCCACGGAGGGCCACAGTGTCCCCGAGGAGGACCCGCCCCCGCATAGAGCCATGGTGTCCCTGGGGAGAAGGACCTTGGCTGTCCCTCCGGTAAGGGCAGACGACAGAGACAAGAGCCATGGTGGTGCCGGCCACGCCCTCTCCGGCTGGGCGCCCGCCCCATGACACAAGCGCCACCCCCACCAGTCTGAGCTGGAGGCCCTGAGAGGCCCAGCAGCGTTTCCGGGCCCCCTGCCCACGAGGGCTGATCCTGTCACTCCAACTCTTTGCTGTTTCCGGCTCCAGGAAGACTCCTTGCCTCCCCGAGGCCCAGCTCCCGCCATATGCTCTCTGCAGAGCCACCACTCAAGGCCCAGAGCCCTGCTGTGAGCGGCCTGCTCCTGCACAAGCCCGAGAGCCCATGGCCTCCAGAGTTCCTGCTCGCCCACCCAGGATCTGTCAGGGCTGCCCATCCCAGGCAGCTGTGGACGCAATCTGCTAACACTGCAGAAACGGTTCCCAGTGAGCTCTGAGGGTCTCAGCCTGGATGAATCAAAGGCTGCAGCCCAGAGAACGGCTGTTTGCAGCGCTGGATCAAAAGCAGGAACAAATCAAGGTGTTACCTTTCACAGTAACTAGGAAACCTGCAAGGGCAGCCTGCCACGCAGGGCACCACTGTGCTGGGATTTGTCTTTCTACTGGGCAAAGAGTCAGAGGGGACAGGCAGAGGGCAGATCTGAGGAGGCGGGACCGGGTGGTACCCTCGGGGCACAGACGCTCCCCCAGGCCCGCTCCACACCTCTCCCCATTGCCACAGTGCTCACAGCTGGCCAGAAGGACGCATGTGTCAAGGGCAAATTGTTTAAATTTACCACATTTTCTGTAAACCTGCTCTAGTGTTACTCTGCTTTCAAAAAAATATAAAGATTTCTGCCGGCCCCTCCTCCCATCCACAGACCCACCCTCCAGCTCCCTCCCCACCCCGGCCACAGTCACACCAAGCACAAGGCAGTTTCCTGTCCCGTCTGACCCCCACCAGAATGTCCATCTGTCCTGCCCCCTGCTCAGCCCCAGACAGGGCTCACAAGTGCTGCTGAGTGAACATTCTAGAGAACAGACAGCATGGGGTGGGTGCCCACACCGAGGAGGAGAGGCCTCCGACATCTCCGGCTCCAGGCGCAGCCCCTGTGCCCACACACCCCCAGCCAGCACTGCAGCCACGCTCACTGCAGAGAACAGAGGCCATTCCCAGGAAGCTCTGGGAGGGCTGTCCCAGCACTCTGCTCTTGAGATGCCAGCCAGCGCTTCGCCTGCTACCTTAAGACGGTGGGAAAGGTACCCAGGCCTGGGAGAGCCGTGCGGCTGGCCCCTCTGCTGGTCACTCCGGGGCTTTCCAGGGTAAGGCTGGCCCTGTGGGCTTCGCCTGGCAGGTTTCAGAGGCCCCACAGCAACGCCACAGCACTGCCCTGCCCAGCTGCTGAGAGAGGCACGACCAAGGAGGCCCAGGCAGGGGCCCTTGCCAGCCCCACCGCTGCACCCAACACCCCACTCTGCCCAGTCGCTCAGTCACTCCACGTACACCTGAGGGGTTGGTGGTGCAGCTCAGAGACCATACAGCGTCCCGTCCAAGGCCACCATGACAGGCAGCAGCGTGGTCACCCCCGCTCCTGTGAGGACCAGAGTTCCCCTTGGGGCAGACCACGGGTGGGGGTGGGGCCGGGACAGGAGTCCAGGCCAGACGGGGGGCAGTCCCCAGGGACTGAGGGACAGTGCGTGCCCTGGGCAGCCCCAGTGTCCTCATTTGTAAGCTAGGCAACAGCCCCACCCCATGGGCGGTGCCAACCACCACACCCCAAGGATGCCTGGGCTCCGTGGAAGGAAGGGCCCAGAAGGTTCGCATGGGGAAGTGACATGAGCTCCGGGTGGGGGCCCTGCACCAAGCCAAGGAGACCAGCAGCGGCCGCGCTCACCCACTTCATCGTGTTCACCGCAGTGAGGTCTGTGCCAGGTGCTCTGCTAAGTGGTGGGTCAGGCCCCGCTTATCTTTTTGTTTTTGAGATGGAGTCTCACTGTGCTGCCCAGGCTGGAGTGCAGTGGCACAATCTTGGCTCACTGCAACTTCTGCATCCCGGGTTTAAGCAATTCTCCTGCCTCAGCCTCCTGAGCAGCTGGGATTACAGGTCACCACGCCCAGCTAATTTTTTTGTGTTTTTACTAGAGACAGAATTTCACCATGTTGGCCAGGCTGGTCTCAAACTCCTGACCTCAGGTGATCCGCCCACCTCAGCCCCCCAGAGTGCTGGGATTACAGGCGTGAGCCACCGTGCCTGGCCTGGGCCCCGCTTATCTAATCCACACAAACAGGACCCCATGAGTTGGTCGCAGTGACCACCCCAGTGTCGAATGAAGACACAAGAGACACAGAGAGGCCTGGAAAGGCTCCAGGAGCTGTCCCCAGCACCACCCACCACCCAGCCCAGCCCTGGGGTGCCAGCCAGGGCCGCCTCAGGCCACTGTCCCAGCTGCAGGAACCCCTGCTAGGCTGAGGCAGCGGAGGCCTTGAACCCCCCACAGGTGTGCAGTGCACACCTGGGTCAGCACCCGTGGCACCACACCTGCGCACACAGGGGCCCTCCAAGAAGGCGCGGTGGAGGCCCTCCCTGCGCAACGCCACTGCCCTGCAGTGGCGCCAGCACCCCCAGTAGTGGCTAGGGCCCCAGACCTCCCTGCTCCTCTCCCAGGAGGACCACCAGGGCTGGGCGCAGGCTGCCGTGACATTGCTAGACAGATTTTCCTGTAGCAATTCTATGCGACTGCTTTTGGCTCTCTTAATGTCATTACCATACAGCACCAATAACATTCCTAATCACGCTACAGTGAACCAGACACGGAGAGATAAAATAATTCTACCTCAGCACACACAGAGCCCTGCTGCCCCTCTTTGGGACGGGGCTGCCTGTTTGCACCAAGGCCTGGCCCACCCCCTGCAGCCAGGTGGCCACGCCCTGCTCCTGAAACCACAGCAAGGGCCTCTCCCCTCCTTGGCACCAGGCAGGAGGCTCTGGAGAACCACCTACCCAAGACCTCACCTCCCTGGCAGGCCCCTCTGCTTCCCACCTAGAGTGATGACCATGTTCCCCTGGGCAAAGTCAGGCCTGGAACCCCCAGGGATCTTCTCAGATGGGTCAGAAGCTGCTCTCCATGGGGGCAGGGGGCTGAGGGAGCCCCCAGGGGTCTTCTCGGATGGGTTGGAAGCTGCTCTCCAGTGGGGGCAGGAGGCTGAGGGAGGCTGCAGCTGCTTGGCTCCCAGAACCTTGTTGGCTCACACCTTCGTCAGGCTTGTCTCTGTCATTCCAAGAGCTCAGGCCCAAAGCCCAGAGCCTCTGACTCTCAACTGTGTTCAGTCTGTGTGCAAACCCCACAGCTCTCCCTGCAGAGCACCTGAAAATCTGCTCAGCACCCAGCTGGCATGGCTGCCTCCCATACCCGGGACCTGTGGTGGCCTGTGCCCCGACATCCTCTCTGCCTTGGGTCAAAAGCTGAACAGAAACTGGCACAGGAGACCCTACAGGGAGGCCCACCCATGGCCCCGTGTGGGGACTGGGTCTAATTACCCCTCCAGCTGCGAAGGTGGGAACGGGACCCTTTCCCACCATGACCCATCTCCCCCATGGCTCACACTCACCTGGTGGGCGACAGCCCCCACATCTCCCCCCGCCCAGGGCGTCCCATGTCCAATGTCGCCTTGGCCGGTTTTTTCTGATGGGGACCCCACATCACGCACCCACAGAAACTGCCCCGGCAAGCCTCACTGACACCTCACTTGTTCCAGAGGCCTCCAGGTCGTGCCCAGCTGCTCCTATGGCCTCCAGGATGTGGTCCTGCGGGCTTGCGGCTCTCGCCTAGCAACGGACCAGCAGCTGGGAGCTGGGCTGCCCCTGCAGGACCACCAAAAGCATGGTGGCTGCTGCCTCTCGGGGCTGGCTGACATTCCCAAGCACCCAGTGAGGGCATGTGGCTGCACTCTAGGGGCAAGGAGGTAGGGTCAGGGCTCCTGGGGGGTGGGGTGGGAGGCGGGGCACTGTGAGGCCCAGCTTGGCCGTTACTGCTGCACTCCACCCCTTGGGAGCTATGGAGGCTGTGGCCTGGCCCTGTGCGGGCCGGGAAGAGCTACCTGCAGACAAGTCGGAGACCCAGACCATTGGTGACGGTGTCATGGAGAACAGCAGTGCTGCCTGGGATGGAGTGGTGCCAGGACGGGTGTGAATGCAGGGGGCACGGCAGGTGGACAGGAGAGGGCGGGGACAGGAGAGGGTGAGAACAGGAGGGGGCGGGGACAGGAGAGGGTGAGGACAGGAGGGGGCGGGGACAGGAGGGGGCGGGGACAGGAGAGGGCAGGGACGGTAGGGGGCGGGGACAGGAGGGGGCGGGGACAGGCAGGCATGGGGATAGCGGGCTCGAGGCCTGAAGCAGGGAGGTGGGGGATGGTGTAAGGGGCAGGCTGGTGTGAGGACTGCAGTGGAGCTACTGCTTGGCCCTGGTTTTATCCCAGGGTTCCAGTCCAGCCACGCCTGGAGAACCGTCTGATAGGGGCTGAGCCTGGAGGGTGAAAGAGGCTGCCCAGTCACCCTCTGACCAGCCCGACTGGGAGGCCACTGTCACGTGCCAGGCCTGGAGGTCAGTCCTGCTGTGCACTCGGACGTTCCTCCCTCCAGCTCCGATTTACTGGAAGACCACGGATCACACCTGGCTGTGGCCCGCAGTCTCACCCTTCAAACCAAAGGCCTTCCGCAGGATTCCTCTGGGTGGCCATAAGGGCCGGGGGTGGAGGGCTGAGGTGGCACCAGGGAAGATGGCCCAGGGCGGCAGTTTGCCAGGAGGGAGGTGACAAAGGGCTGGAGCCTGCCCCGGCCACCAGTGGGGTCTGCCAAGGATTCTAGAAGGGCCCCCAGAAGGACGGACCACACCATTGCTGGCAGGTGGGGGAAAGCAGGCAGCTGCCCCCTCTGTCCCTAAGGAAATGCGGGGCTGCCGCAGGTTGGGGCATGAGGACGCATCAGGATGGTGGTCAACACACTGAGTGGGACGCATCACTCAGACCCGGGAGGTCACCTCTTCAAAACCAACATATGTCCCGTCCATGCACTCTCTGTACAAACAGACTTCCTCACAATAACGAAAAGAATAAAAGGAAAGGCAAGTCATTTGGATTTAGATTTAGAGGAAGACAACAGAAAGAAGCCAGGTGCTGGAGACACCGGGCAGGTGAGGCTGTCCCCAAAGGGGGGACGCAGGGCAGGACCCTGTGAGCAGAGATCTGGGCAGTCGAAGGAAGGAGAGGAGCCACGGGCCTGGGTGTCCTGCTCCCCGCCAGCTCCTGCTCAGCCGCCCTGCATGCTGGGCCCTGCTGTGTGGCCAGCGCTGCTGGGACGAGGAATCCACCACTGGGGTCCCACCCTCTCCAGAGGCCCCTGTCCTGGCCCCTCCCCTCACTGGCCCCTGCACAGGAATGGGCCGTGCATTTGCTCACGGCAGCCCCTCTCACTCCTGTCCAAGGCCTTGGGCCCCGAGCGGAAGGCAGGCTCAGGCTTCATTTCCATGGCCCACACTGGCCCCTGTGAACTCATGACAGCAGTGAGGGCACCCAGCGCACCAACCACTGGGGCTGGGCTTTGTCAGCCCACACTGGTCTCTGAGGCTCCTGGCCCTGGGAGCCCCTCCCCCGGCCATCACCCCTGCTGACAGCTGCCACTGGCGATCCCACGCAGCAGCCTGGGACACACAGAGCCTCTTCCTCAGCCATGGGGAGGGCGGCCCGGGCCCACGCTAGCCAGGTGTCGCTAAAGCCACAGGCCTGGGGCGCGAGGACCACAGGGGCAGCCGCCGCTCGGCCCCAGCTTTATCCCGGAATTCTAGTCCAGCTGTGCCCACAGAACTGACGACCCCTGGGGCTAGGGGCTGGTAGGGGCTGGGCTCCCAGAGTGAACAGGACCACGAGGCCGACCCACTTCTGACCTCAGGGCCCCAGGGAGCAGAGTTGCAGGGGGACCAATGTAGCCCCCACCCAGTCCAGTCCACGTCAGGGGCCCGGTCCACATCAGGGTCCCCTCCCTGGCAGTGGCTGCAGGCCCCTTGGGCTCCTTCCCCGCCCAGCTCCTGGCCACATGGTCCCTGGGGAGAGGCACGCAGCCACGCCGGCCACAGGACAGGGTGTGAGGGGCAGGCGAGTGAGGCATGGGATGAGGGTCTGGCCGAGGACAGCCAGAGGCCTGCTGGGGTATGAGCAGCAGCAACTGGGGCAGGGGCCAAGGGCTGTGGGGGACACTGCGGCAGGAGAGGTTAGAGAGGGTGGGGCTGTGGCAGGGCCTGAGCTCCCTGTGAGGACACAGACTGTTCCAGGCTGGACGGAGTCTGCAGGGCCTGGGCTCCCTGTAAGGGTGTGAATGGGCTGTCCCGGGCTGGACGGAGTCTGCAGGGCCTGGGATCCCTGTAAGGGTGTGAATGGGCTGTCCCGGGCTGGATGGAGTCTGCAGGGCCCTGGGCTCCCAGGCAGGACAGCAGCTGGATGAGGTCGGATTCAGGAAACTATGGACTGGGTGGGTGGAGGGGCCAGGACAGGGGATGGCAACAGGGCCAGGACTCCCCGGAGGCTGGTCTGGACACACAGCAGGACCGGCTGGCCCTATGGGGGACAGAGGACAGGGAGCAGAGAGGCCGGCCCCATGAGCCCAGGCCAGAGAGGGGCAGCCCCAGCCTCCAGCCCTTGCCTGAGTTCTGATCCTGCTCAGCCACTCGCCAGCAGTGTAGACACGGGAAGTGACTGCACGGCTCTGTGCGTCAGGTTCCTCATGTGCAGCATGGGGACAGCACAGCACCCACAGTGGGGGTGTAAGCCTGGGACACACTCGGCTGCTCTGCTCCCTAAAGCCGCCAGCCAGGACCAAGTTCTCAACAGAGGGAAGGTGGCGGCCACAGACTGGGCAGGTGTCCCTCTGGCCTCAGTGGGGCAGGGTCACGGCGTGCGGCTCCCAGCCCCAGACGCTTGATGGCTCCCGCAGAGTCTAGAGGGCAGTGCCGGCGCCTCCTGAGCCAGACACCACGGATTCCGGCCAGAGGGTCCCGGGTGCACGTACATGGTACACACGTGGGCCGGGAAGACGGGCGTGGAGACCTTCACACCTGTCTGGGCTGCGGAGAGCCCAGTAGCCCACCCAGCCTCCTCCCTGACGCCAGCACAGCTCTGGGGAACCCCATCCACCCCACAGGCCAGCTCACAAACCAGATCAGCACAGCTCTGCTGCGCCAACGGAGCTGGGGCTCAGAGGCCGTTCTGTCCCTCACACTCCTGAGGACGCCTGCCGTCCTCCACAGGTACGTGGAACCAAGTACCCCATTTGCCCTGAGTCCCCAGAGCACCTGATCTCACGGAGTTTAGGTGCTGCGCAGCGCCCCACCCCCCAGCCCTGCAGCCCCCCAGCCACAGCCCCCAGCTGTCTCCAGCCTGCCTGCCACCGGCACCCCAAACCTGTACCACCTGCTACATGTGCCCTTCCTGACGGGCTCTCGGGAACCGCCACGCCACGGTGCTGCCCCTCACAGCCTGCACTCTTCCCCAGAAGCCCTCGTGGCCTCCTCTGTGACTCCTAGCCTTCGACGACAGACTCTTTACTGCCATCCCAATACTCACTGGCAATGGGGCCTGTGGGTGTATCTTGGGGGCCGGCCCAGGGCCTGGCACACAGCCGGTGCTCAATAAATGCTTATAAAGTCTGTCAGGGAAAGCAGAACAGCTCAGAACCCTTCCCTGCTGGCCAGCGGCTCACCTGGCCTCTCCCAGAGGTCCAGCACCACTGCTGCCCAGCACCACCCCTGCCTGGCTGGCCCTTCCCTGCTGGCCAGCGGCTCACCTGGCCTCTCCCAGAGGTCCAGCACCACCCCTGCCCGGCACCACCCCTGCCCGGCACCATCCCTGCCTGGCCGGCCCTGGAGGCTCCACTGTGCAGCATCAAGACCTGGGCAGAGCAGAGATCTGGAATGGGCGGGGCGGCTGCCGAGGCCGGATGAGGCCCACCAGTCCCAGGGACCAGTCTGGCCACCCAAGCTCCTGGAGGCCTTGCAGAGCACTGTCCCAGGGGACAGCAGAGGTGGCAGGTACCCTTGGTCACATACACAGGCAGAAGGGGCCCAGCCTGCCGTGGTGAGAGCAGAGGAAGCCCGCTGAGCAGACGGGAGCATGGGCAGGTGGCCACGGGACCTGGCTGGGGTTGTCGGCCTCTCTGCCCAGCCCCCAGTGGGGTGAGTACCATGGCCAAGCCTCAGTTTCCACGCATCACACAGGGTAGCTGCAGCTGCGCCTCCAGCTGTCCTGGCCCACGGGGACACCAGCACCTGATGGCTCTTCAGCCTCTGACCTCCCTCCCCTAGAATAGGTTGGTGGCCACCCAAGCACAGCCCCACCCAGCTCTGCAAGGCCCACGCAGGGCCGCCTGCTGACCAGGATGGGGGGCCCTGTGCAGTAGCACCTCAAGGGGCCCCGGCACCTCCCAAAGCTCCCAGGGGATCTGGACATTCCAGGCTGTAGAGCAGGAGAACCCAGACTTCCATGACCCACATCCCCACATGGGGGTGGTGGGGGCAGCCCAGGACAGGTGTGTGGGGATGGCCCATCCTCCTCATTTCCCTGGAGGGTCTGTAGGATGAGAGTGGAGGGCTAGGGGCCGGGAGGGGTCGGCAGCCACAGATCCACTCTGCTGCGGTCCTCGACAGCCTGTAGCTCAGCCTCCAGCCGGGATTGGCCAGAAGGTGTCTGACAGGCAGGTAGCTGCTGCGGCGCCTCTGCAAGGGTGGCTGGGGGCCTGTGGGTCCCGCAGGCCTCCCCACTGGAACATTCCGACTGCTGTCACATCCCAACACAGCCCCCGGCCCCATGCCCCCGACACAGGCCTCACTGTGAGCGAGGGGCCCGGAGAGAGACCCACACCCACACAGGGGGCACGTAGCTGTGGGGCTTGACAGATCTGGACGGCCGGCTTTCCCTGCCAGCCACCTCCCCAGGCTCCCAAAGAAACAGCAGGCACCCTCCCCAGAGGCCCTGTGGGCCAGCTCTCCCGGGGTGCAGCCAGCCAGGCTGTGACGGGCCCCCCAGCTCTCCCAGGGGTGCAGGCCAGGCTCAGCAATGGGCCTCCCAGCTGCTGCCACACGACCACTTCAGATGCCATACACTCCTGGGGTGGGGCCGGGGAGGACACCAGGCCCGAGGGGTCTCTAGGGGAGGCACATGCGTGGCACAAACACACACATCGCACGCCACAAGCCCTGGCCCTCCCTCAGGGACCTGGGGGCTGCTTACATGCTCACCCTTCTTTAGGGACAAATGGCTTTGTCATGGGCCACATGGCGGGAGTCAGGGCCTGACCCCGGGCCACTAAGAAGGGTTAGATCCCCAGCCCGGGGTTGCCTCAGCAGGTGTGAGGCGGCGCCCTAGGGGTCCCGAGGCCCAGAGCCTGGATTCTAGCCTGGGGCCACTCACTCAGCTCATCTGGACAGGGGCAGGAGGCCTGGGGGCACTGAAGGGTGGTCAGGCCCGTGGGCTCCTGAAAGCAGGAGCTGAGGCCAGAGGGGGTCCTGGTGCCATCTGGGTAGGGGAGTATGGAGGGGGAGTCCGGAGGGAGGGGGCAGCCTGGGACACAGGGGTCACTCAGGGACTCCTGGAGACTCAGGTGGGCTGGGCTCCTCCCGTGGCTGCCTCTGACTCAGGGCAGCCAGACTGGGTCTGCCCTGGGACCTTGGGCCAGCTCTGTGGTCCTCCTACTTAGAGGGCCCTCCTGAGCCAGCCAGGCCACCCCGGGCTCCTCTCCCCCAGCCTCCACTCCTAGCGAGGTGGTCCCATGACCTCTCCCTCATTACCCGTGTCCCCACCCCAAACCATGCTGACTTGGGGTCTCTAACTGGTCACCAGTAAATGGGCTGGAGTGCTGGGACCCGAGTATTCTGTCCAGGTGCTGAGAAAGTGATAAATTCTTATGCCATTTTGACGTTACAGAAAAAAATGAAAAGTTCCCAACCAAAATGCAGCAAAACCAGCGGAAGCAAGACTACCAGACTAACTTTACTAGAAACAGGGTGGCAAAAATCCGAACCGTCGGCAAACAACCCGAAATGAGACTCCACCAACACGGCCCGCCAGGGCCACGTCCGGAGTTCACGGACAGCCTGACAGCAACACAGGACACCGCAGGGCCTGGGAAGGAAGCGCGGGGCAGCGGCACAAGCTGGGTGAGCAGGGCCACCCCTACCCGATGCTGGACCAGAGACGCGCCCCGCGCAACACAGGACACCGCAGGGCCTGGGAAGGAAGCGCGGGGCGGCGGCACAAGCTGGGTGAGCAGGGTCACCCCTACCTGATGCTGGACCAGAGATGCGTCCCGTGCAAGACAGAGCGCCCATCAGAATGTGGGGAAACAGGGAAGGAGGGAGGGACACAGATACCCACAAACAGCAACACCAATCCTCACGCTCTGGACACACTCACAAATCCAGCGCAGCCGCAGGGAAGCAGCAACGTCACAGCCATGTGCAGACGCCAGCAGGGCCAATGACAACCCCCTAAGAGTCCCCTAGAAACTGCCTGTGCTGAGGAGGGAATCCAACAAAGTACCCAGGTAGAGATGTCAGGTGGGAAGACAAACAGCAACAACCAGCCAGAAAACACAGTGAAACGAGGCTTCCAGAGTGACAAAAACACAAGCCCGGGTAAATACGCAACACGGGCCCCTCGGCAGGGAACAGACCCTCACAACCATCAGGAGCCTTAAAACTGCCAGCCACAGACAGCAGGGCCAGTTCTGGGCACTTCTCTTTCTCCAGAGAAGCAATCACACAAAGGCGGGATATGGCGGACGTCTGGCGACAGACCTCCCCGTAAGGACAGCTGGGGCACGAGAGCCTAGTGGGGAAGGAGGGTCTAGTGTGGGTCTGACTCCCTGCTGCAGGACTGTGCGGTGACTCACAGGGACCCCGGGAGACCCCTCCAGGCAAAGGGCAGCCGGCACCAGGCCCCAAACGCGAAGGTGCGCAGCACGTGCGGAGGTGCAGGCACGCGGCGTAGCCACGGCAAGGACAGGAAGGCCTTGGAAACCTGAGCCAAGAACTGACAGGCCCAAGCAGCCGGGAGGGAGGGGATGGGGAAGAGGGCCGGTGACTCCTGCTGTAACAGCCCCGACCCCGAGGCCAGCAAGCCACTGGGCAGGGGCCCGTGAGGGGCAGAAGCACAGGCAGAGGACGTGGAACCCTTCCCAGAGCCAAAGCAGGCCAGGTGCAAGCCCTGCTCCAGCCATGGCAGGGCCTGAGGAGCTGCTGGCCCCCAGACAGGGCCTGGACAGGTGGCGGGCACCCACGTGGACCGAGGGGCCAGCGACGCTGCTTTCAGGGCCTCTGAGTCCACCTCCCCGGAGGGAGCAGCCCTTGCCCACAGCTGTGGGACTCTGTGGGAGGAACAGGAATCCATGCAGCTTCCAGGCAGCCCCTCATTGTCACAGGGCAGGCCCCGGCTCAGCTCCGCACCCCTGCCCCATGGCTGTGGGTAAAGCACTTCCCCTCTCTGTGCCTCAGTTTCCCCACCTGGAGACCAGGAAGCAGCCACAAGGAGTTCCTGGGCCGAAGCCTGCCCTCTCCCTGGCTCTCCTCACTGAACCCAAATGTCTGCGGTCTCAGCCCCCACCACCATCTGAGAGATGGGCCAGGCATGGACTCACAGTGCCCCTGGCAAACTCAGCCCCCACTGGCACCACCAACAGTGTGGCCTCAGCGGTCCCCGGAGGTCCAAGTGACACTGTCAGGCCCCACACGCGGTGCTCGGCAGGCCGGGCCCAGCCCCGCCCCCACATGGCCAGGTCACACTTCCAGCCCAGATCCTATGCCTGGGCTCTTGCTCCTGGAACCCTGGCCCCTCTGTGAAGCCCACCAGGCCCACTAGGGGCTCACAGAGAGACCACCTGGCTCAGCCTCCAGGATGCAGGGCAGGGCAGTGTCTGGGCCAGTCCCTCACACCCTCACATTCCCCACGACGGGCCGTGTCTCAAAACCTGTACCCTCCCCTTGGCCAAGGCCCACCGGCTCCAGGCTCACACCCTATGCCCACCAGGGTTCTGGGCCATTTTCAGCAGGGGTCACAGCTCGCCCACAGACAGCCCTGGGAGGCCGGGGGCCGCACACGATCAGTAGCCTGGGGTTTCTTAAGCACAACCGTCTGTGCAGGTTCAGCAGCATTTTGGGTGCATGTCCTGTGGTTTATGCTGAGCAGAGAATGTGGAAGCACAGGCGTTAGAGGAGACCGCTGGCCACCGAGCCAGGAGGCTGGGTGCTTTCCTTCCGCCTTTATTCCTGGGACACACGTGGACCTTCTGCGTGGCCCGTGTGCCAGTCAGGGAACAGCTCAAGCTTCAGCACGCACCTTCTTATGGAGCTTGACGTGTGGACCAAGTGAAAGTCACCAGGTGAAAGTGATTTGCTGTTTGAAAAATGCAAATTAACCAAAAATCACAGACACCAAACCAGAATGGTGGTGTCCGCCTGGAGCTAGTGGCCAATGTGCTCCTGGGCACCCTGCCACCTCCCTGTGGCCCAGGCGCAGCCCAGAGCACCATGGCCAGCGTCACTGGGGCCGAGCGGCCAGCATGTGGGAGTGGGCGGTGCAGCCCACTGGGCTAAGCAGGCCTGGCCTATCTCCCAGGAGACACAGGGACCGGCACAACCTGTTCTGTGGCCTGAGGCCAGATAAGGATGGCCTTTGCTATGTGGGAAGATGGGGTCTGACACAGCCCTGGATACACCTCTCAGACCCCAGTCTTCTTGGGAGGACCCCAGGCAGAGAACAGCAGCACTGACCAGGCACGTATGGCCACAGCACTGCTCCAGGGGTAGGGGGCTTCCAGTGTCCTCTGGTCAGTACAACCAGGGGACAGAGTTGTCACAGGAAACAAAAGGGACAGCAAGAGCCACGTTCCCAAGCACCCAGAGTTCCCGGTCAGAACAAGAGCAGGGGAGAGGCCAGCGGGGCTTCCTCAGGCCTCCTGTCCCCACATACCACGGCCCCTGGTTACAGAGTAGAAAGTCAAGCGGGGGCTGGCTCAGGTCTGCCGCGCCGCCCCACCCACCCCAGCACACCCAGCCCAGCACGCCCCTCTGCAGGTCCTCAGCCCTGCCACAGGGCTCCCATCTCTATGGGCAGTTAATCATTAATGCTGTCTCCAGGGCTGCAGGCACACCCTGAGCCAGGCCAGACCCTGGCCCTCCTCAGCCCACAACCACCACCACCACCATTTAGGGAGTGCCTGCTGTGTTCACAGCACACACAGGCCCAGGACAAGCGGGGACTCCTCCTCCCCTACAGGAGCACATATAAATGTGCAGATGCTGGGGGCCTGCCCCGGGCACAGAACGGCCTATGTGTCCCACCCAGGGTACACAAAGGGGGCGGGGGCCTGCCCCGGGCACAGAACAGCCTGTGTGTCCCATCCAGGGCACAGAAAAGGGGCAGGGACCTGCCGGGGGCACAAAACAGGTACAGAGACCTGCCCCGGGCACAGGGCAAGGGGTGCCTGTTCAGACAGGCGGAGAGGGTGGTCTGCCTGGGGTCAGAAGGGGCTGCGAGTGGGGGTCTGCCCCAGGGGCCAGGGCTGGGGCCGAGAGTTGGTCCCAGTGTGTGTGGGGTCTGGGGTGAGGTAACAGGACTCCTGCAGGCAGGCTGCACCTCCCCGGCAAGTCTACACCTGTGTTTGGTTGTTTATACCACTGCAGTGTCCCGCGGGCACAAGCCAGCCTCTGGGGTTACAAGGGCTTCCTCCAACTCCTGAGCGTCCCATCCTCCAGCATCCCAGAGTAGGAAGAGCCCTCAAGACGCGGGTGGGGGCAGAGGGACTGTGAGCAAAGGCGGCAGAGCCAAGGGCAGGCTGTGCCTCTGGGCTGGGTCCTGGTGGCCACATCTCCCTCGGTGTCCCGTGTGGGTGGCCTCGCAGGGCAGCGCCCGCTCACTCTAAGGCCGGACAGGCGTGGCACCCAGTGCTCCTTGCTCTTGCTCTGCCTCAATGGGGAGCCTCAAGGTCCCCATCTGTGGAATGGGGGCATCCAGCCCTCCTCGTGGGTCATTTGAGGAGTAAATGAGTTGATGTCTGTGAAAGGCAGCTCAGAACACTGCCTGATGGAGAGAATGCTTACTGAACCAGTCACTACTATTGATATAATTATGAATTATCTGAACTTTGGGGAAAAACCACCATACTTTGGCAAAAAATGTAGACAACCAAGAGACACGTATGGGATGATCACGAGGTTATGACTTGTGCAGAAGCCCCGTACTTTCCCAGGCAGGCTCCGAAGGGCAGAGGAAGGGACATGAAACCACCCTGGGGTGCTGTGGCTGTGTTAACGCCACGCAGCAGCAGACTTGTCTCACTATGACCTGAGGGGCCAGCTGGTCTAAGCCGAAGTCACCAAAACCCACTGAACCCACTGCCTGCAGGCTGGGGGCACGTGACCCTGCCAGAGCAGGTGGACAGCCAGTCAGAGCCGCTGCGGGCAAAACACGTGGGCCTGGGATTGGCCCTGGATCTCCTGAGTACAGTTCATCTCCTCACTCAGATTCCTGACACACGCATCTGGGGCACTTTCTACACATCGAGCTCTTCCCGGCACCAGACCCCATAGGAGACACACAGGACAGCACAGTGTCTGCTCTCTTTCAGCTTACAAGTTCTTGTGGGAGACGAAAATGGAGAGCAAAGACATTCTAAAACAGCTTTGCAGAGTGGGGATGACAAAAAGAAGGTGGGCAACGTCGACGGGGGTGGGGGGCACCACTTCAGAGGAGTCTGAGGTGACGTTTTTGCAAAGACACAATGGCACCAAACATAAAGCAGACAGAGAACGGCAGGGTACAAGGGCTGACCCGCTCGGAGCAGTGAGGAAGCCGCGGTTAGGGACCCAGGAGGTGCAGGTGGGTGGCGACAGCTCTGGAAAGTGGGCATCCTCGTGGTCTCAGCTGCAGTGCAGGAGCCGAGCGCAGGGCCTGGCTTGCAGTATTGCTCAGTACACGTACAGTCTGTGTCATTATCACCACTGAGAGGGCAGAAGACAGCCCCAGGGCCATCCCGTCCCAGCACAGAGCAATGGCGTGTGCCAGCCCTGGAGCCATCTAATAATGTGCAGGACAGAGGATGGCCAGCCTGTGTGATGAGCCTGGCCACCACCCACCCCGTCCTGGGCCCACAGGAGCCCCAGCTCTGTCCGTGCACTTGGGACACGAAGCCCCAGCTCTGACTGTGCACTCGGGACACGATGCGGCACCTGTTCTGGGGCCACTTCCCTGGCCACCGGCCCTGACCCAAGGCTCTCTACAGTCCCCAGAGTTTGGATGAGAACTTGAAGAGGACTTGCTGCTTCAGGGGCCTGCAGTAGGCATCTCCCCTTTTCCCAAAGCTCAGCTTCTGAGACTGGGGGATCCCAGGCCATGGGCTCCCAAGCCCCTGGAAAAGTGAGAGGGGTTGGAAATGGGGTGATTCTGGGAGTCAAAGTCCAGCAGATGAGGGTCCCCCAAAGTAAGTGCTGCACGGGGCACACCTCGCTGGGCGGGTCTCGGCCCTGGTGCAGGGCAACTTGCTAGCATTCCTGCCCATGCCAGTCCTGGGGAGACAGCGCCTGCCCCAACTCTCAGACAGCATTTAATTTCCTTCTCTGCTCAGCTGAGTTCATGTAAGAGGAGCAGTATTTGCTCAGCAAATACTGTCCGTCAGCCAGACAAGCAATATTTTTGGCCAATCTATTAACCATGCAGCAGGCAGCAGTCACCAAGAGGGGTCTTGAGATTAACCCTCCTTCTCCCCTTCTCAGCAGAGCCCTCGAAGGGAGGAGGGAACGGGATGGCCCGCGGAGTATCCATTTTATCACCACCTCCCTAAGATCCAGCACTGCTCCCTAGCACGTCCTGAACCAGGCAGAGCGATATGCTGGCCACAGAAACACAACTGATAAAAGGCCGACGGTGCTGTCAGACAGCCCCCAATTTCGAAGCGTAGATTTTTTTGCCTCTGCAACTTAAAACGTCCCCAAACCCACCCGACGCTGCTGGGTCTTCCAGATGCGACGGTCTGGGCGAGCGGTGGGCACCCAGGGTCCCTGGAACGGGTACCAAGTGGCCGGGGCTTCCCTCAGGGCTGCCCACGGCGCGGGCGGTCGCAAGCCCAGGGGTCCCGGGATCGCCCGACGCGTCAACTCCGGGCCCCGTTCTCGCCTCAACGCCTGCGAAGCCGCACCCGTCCACCTACCTCCAGGGCCTCCAGGGTGCTGAAGCTGGCGATGGCGAAGCCGTCGATGACCTCCTCCTCCTGCGAGCTGGACTCGCGGCGGCGGCGGCGCGGGGGACGCGCGGTGCGGGGCGCGGGGGCGGCGCCTCGGGGGGGCGCGCCGCGGAGGCCCGCGTTCTCCTTGCCGGGGCTGGGCTCGGGCTCGTCGCCCGACGACGGACTCTGGGCGCGGGCGTCGCGGGCGGCCTCCCGGCGCCGGCCACGGTCCCGCTGCGCGCGCGAGCGCCGGCTCGGGCGGACCTTGGCCTCCATGGCCGCGCGTGCGCCCCGTCGGGCCGGTGACCTTGACGCCCCGCGCCTGGCTCGCAGCAGGCGGGCTCCCTCGGCTACGCGGCGCCGCCGGGCTGAGTGTGCGCCGCGCGGGCTCGGGCCCTGGGCGGCGGCGGGCGGCGGGCCGGGCCGGGCATGCCGGGCGCGGGGGGCGGCTCAGCCCCGGGCCCGGCGCGGCCTGGGACCCCCGGCGCGGGCGGCTGGGCGCATCGGCGGGGGCGGGCCCGGCGCTCAGCGGCCCTCGGCCGCCCCCCCGGGGGCGCGCCCCATGCGCGCGGCGCGGCGATCGGGCCGAGCGGGCGGGGCCGGGCGGGCGCGGCAGGCGGCAGGCGGGAGGCGGCCGGGCTCCTGGGCACCGGGCTCGTGAGGCGGCGGCGGCGCCCCGAACAGATAACAACTGACGCACTTCCGCCCGGCTGCGCTCGCCAGAGGAAGTGAGGGCCGCCGCGGGCGCCCGCGCGCCCCGCCCCGACCACGCCCCTGCCCCGCCCCGCTCATAAGGCTCCGCCCCCACCCCGCACACGCGGCCCGCCCCGCTCACAAGGCTCCGGCCCCTCCCCGCCCCATTCACGCAGGCCCCGCCCCCCGCAGGCTCCGCCCCCTCCCCGACCCGCTCACGCAGGCCCCGGCCCCGCCCCTCCCGGGCGCTCCCGCTAATTCAGGCCCCGCCCCACCCGCAGGTGCCCGCCCTTCGACCTCGCCCCCTAGCCGCGCCCCTCCCCGGCGCCCCGACCTCCGCTGCAGCCGGCGGTGATCCGCTCGGCTCCTTCCTGGGAGGGCGCTGGGATGCCGCGGCCCCTCCGTGGGCACCTGCGGGCGGCGCTCTCCAAGCGGGAGGCGGGGGCAGCGCCGCCCTCCTCTGCGGGACTGGGGTCCCCGGCCGCGGGCGGCTTCCGAGGAGGACGAGGGGCCTCCGGTCTCGCGGAACCGAAGTCCTGCCCTCGGCGAGCGTGGAAGGGACGGGGAAGGGGCGGGGAGGACCGGGGGAGGGTCCTCGGCCAGGCGGTGCCCCCTCCCCGCGTCCCCGCGGACCCTCCCAGGCCTCCTAGGATGCGGGAGGGGTCTGTCCGCGTCCCCGCCCCGCGCCACGTGCCCCCAAGTCCCACAAGAAGGCGGCTCCCGCCACCGAGACCCCCGGGAACGCGCCCAGCGAGGCGGGGGCTGCTGCCAGACACGGAGCGCAGTGTGGAGGGCGGCGCGGGCAGGAAGCGCACGGAGGCGGCTGCGGTTGCGAGGCAGGCGCGGGGCGAACTTCCTCCTCCACCCCCAGGACAGGCCGAGCTCGGAGGGGCCCGCCTGGTGGGGTTTTCTGAGCCCAGGGGCCCCTTGCGCGTGGGCACTGGAGTCATTGATTCATGCAGCGCGTATTTGCCAGATGCCTCCTGTGTCCAGGCTCTGTTGGTGACCCCGCAGCGGCTGAGATAGACTACCCTCTTAGAAGTGGGAGAGAGACCCTGAACACAGGGCCAAATAGAATATCAGCCAAGGATAATCTGAAGAAAATCGAACGGGGAGGTGTCACAGAGAGTGGGCATTGGGTGGTCCAGAGGGCCTCCCCGAGGAGTGACGACTCCGAGCCCCAGCAGTCATGGGCACCCTGTTTCAGGTCGGGGCTACACCCCTGCACAGGCCCTCGGAGAAGAATGGTGGTTTGCTGGAGGGCGGAGGGGAGGGTGCCCAAGACAGTGGTGGGACCCTGCCCTCGGTTGCCCTTAGTGGGAACGGGTCCTCGCCCACTCTGCGGGGTCCACTTTACCCTGCCTCTGGGAGAGCCTACTGGCGGCCTCTTGTGCAGGGCAGGAAGGGTGTGGTCCAGGCACCACTGGCTGTTTGCTGGGCTGAGGCAGTTGGGAAAGTAGCTCACTGGGGTGGGGGGACTTCCTGTTCACCCAGCCTCCTCCAGTCCACCCAGCCCGCTCTCTGGTTCCCTGTCAAAGCCTCCCCAGGGTGGGGGCAGGGTCCCCCTCCCCCTCTTCCCATTCCGGGTTTTGTTAAACCGTGGTTTCACCCTCCAGCATCCTCCCTTTTGATTTTTAAAAGCCTCATTAGGAAGACAGAAACGGACCCCGAGTAGTTTCTCCATGCACGCCTGCTCCCGAATTCCCCTCCCTGGACAGAAGGCCAGGAAATGTGGGCGAGGGTCACCCAGGTGGCATTTGAGGCTCTTGTTTAAATACAGGCCTCTTCCCAAGTAGCCTGGGAGTCCTCACCTGTTCCCCGAGGCTCCCAGAGGCCATCCCACCCTAGGCTGGGCCCAGAGGTCAGTCAGACTGCAAGGGGCATCCTGTGGGCACCCCCTCCCCCCCAGAAGAATTGCTTGGGAAGGTCTGAGGTTTTGGATTTGAAGTTTCTTTCTCTTTTTCTTTTTCTTTTTTTTTTTTTGAGACAGATCTCACTTTGTCACCCAGACTGGAGTGCAGTGGCGTGATCTTGGCTCACTGCAGCCTCCGTCTCCCGGGTTCAAGCCATTCTCTTGTCTCAGCCTCCCGAGTACCCAGGACTACAGGCCTATGCCACCATGTCTGACTAATGTTTTGTATTTTTAGTAGAGATGGGGTTTCGCCATGTTGGCCAAGCTAGTCTCGAACTCCTGACCTCAGGTGATCTACCCGCCTCAGCTTTCCAAAGTGCTGGGATTACAGGCGTGAACCACTGTGCCCAGCCTGAAGTTTCTGATTATAGACATACACTGTTTGTTTATCTGATCTCCGAAGATGTTCAGATGTGTGACCCCAGTGAAGGGCAGGGGCTCTGTAGACCTCCTCAGGGGCTTCCTTTTTGGGCTCCCCCCCGGGTTTCCCTGGCTGTCCTGGGGAAGGCGTCCCCAGGTGCCTTCTCTCCTTTGATCCATTTCCAGGTGTCCAGATGGCCAACCAGGGACCAGCCGCCATCTCTGGAGTTCTGGGCTCAAGTGCTCCCCAGGGACCAGCCGCCGATGCTGGAGTTCTGGGCTCAGGTGCTCCCCAGGGACCAGCCGCCGTCTCTGGAGTTCTGGGCTCAGGTGCTCCCCAGGGAGGGCTTGCTTTGGGAACCTTCTCTTACAGAAGAAAGCAGCTGGGCTACGTGCTGGATGGGAAGCCCTTGGGAGGGATGGTGGTTCTGGGGGTGGTTCTGGGGGTGGTTTCTGACAGATGCGTACTTGCCTGCTTGCGGACCGGGCTGTGTGTCTCCGGGAGCACGCATCACAGTGACCGGACATCCCACCCAGGACTCCGAACCTCCCTGGGGCTTGCCAGGGCCCTGGGCAGAGCTTGCAGCACGAACCCCACCCCCCACACTCCCACTGACTTCTTGGTGTGGTGCAGGTTGGACCTCCTGTGCTTGTTTGGTTTTTCAGTTTGTGTGCTCACACATCTGCCCTCTCTTGCCCCGGGCAGGATGGGGTGCTTTGGAAGGTAGAGACTGCAGCGGTTAGGAGACCTCCAGGCCAGTGGCCTGCAGAGCTCGGAAGTGGAGGGAATGGCTGGGTTGTCCGGACGGTGGCCGCCAGCCACGAGTGGCTCAAGCCTCTGCAGTGTGGCAAGTGCAGCTGAAGAACTGGATTATACATTTTACTTACAGACTTTAATCTAAAATATAATAGCCTGTGGGGCTGGTGGCTACCATGCTGGACAGGGAAGTTCTAGACCGGCTCGCCTGGGCCCCAGCCTCAGCTGTGCCACCCACTTAGAATATTTTGGGCAAATGATTTAACGTGCTTCCATCGTCCCGTCTATAAAGTGGGGGTGGCGTGGCGATGAGGCGTCCCGCCGTCGGGGGTGTGAAAGCCCCTGGGTGTGTGTGAATCGGTGTGTGAGTCAATGGAGGCCTCAGACCCACGACGGGAGGGAGGTGTGAGCACACACAGCTGAGCCCACCCCAGGGTTCCCCACCCCTCACGTCTGAGGTTCTCTGGGGCTGGTCGGGGACCACACTCTGGGAACCATGGGTTTGAATGCACCACAGTCAGGGCCCTGGTACAATCAGGGCCGTAGGTGGGTGCTCATCAAGCCCTCCAGCCCCTCCCCACCCTCTTCCCCAGCTCTTGCCAGCAAAACCCCTTTTCTCTCCACTCTGCTGGAGGCCCACAGCTCCTGCCCACAACTCCTTCCCAGCCCCTAGGGCTCAGCTCTCTGGCCCCACCACCAGCCCAGGTCCCTTTCCTGCTCACGCCACACCCCTTAGCTCTCATCCTTCCAACCAGCCCGGGTCCCTTTCCTGCTCACGTCACACCCCTTAGCTCTCATCCTTCCAACCCGCCCGGGTCAGAGCCCTGAGTGGTGCTATGAGCATCGGTGGGCTCCGGGATGGCACATCAGCTCCTCCATCGTAGCCACTGGCCTTTGCTTTAGAGAGTCCTTCCCTGCCATCTGTAAGGCTCTGTGCAAAGTTAATTGATGTGAAATTGTATTCAAAATTCAATTTGGGGCAACGGATCCAAATTAGGCTCTATAAATCAGCTAAGCCATTTGCCCTTTGGGTTTCAAACTTGCCTGTGGGGTGACAGCCAAAAAGTAGAAAGTATGTTCCATTTCTTGCAGCCCCCAGCCCCATCTGTGAGCCGGCTGTCAGCTCCAGCCCTCCGCATGCACCCCTCTTCCTTCCCGTAATGGCACCTCAGTGTATTTTGGATGCATAGTCTGCTCTTGTGGGTGCCGTCTGGTGACACAGCAGGTCCTAAGGCCCCATGCTCCCCTAGAAAAGGAACAAAGGAACGTCAGTCAGCTCTTGCTTGGAGAACGCTGTGTAACAAACAGCCCCTGGGCCCTCAGTGACAATGCCTTGCTCACAGGGTTGCAGGGTGACAAGAGGGGCTTTGCTTCTTCATTTGGACTTTGGTTAGGCCCAGCTATAATCCACTGGCCTCTTTCTGTGGGATGCAGGCGTTCATTCTCCCTCAGTGGCTCAGGAGGCTGAGCAGAGCCATATAAACCTAGGAGAAGCCCGTGCTTGAAGCCTCATGTTGTGTCTGTCAAGGAAGTTTCAAGGCTAGGACCAGCCTCCACGGGGCAGAGAAGTCGTGCTTTCTGCTCTGGTGGGGTGTGATGGCTCAGTTTGTCATGCAGGTGACCCAGGTGACACCAGTCAGGTGGCCTCTTCCTGGCATTGCAGTTAGAATGTGCCTTGAGCCACATGTCAAGGCAATTGAGTGTTTGGAGTCCTCAACGTGCCCCCTTCCAGTCATCCTGCTCCTGAGGATGTGCTGTTGCCTGGTTCCGAGCCTGCTGCAGCTCTGCGGGCCGCCCCCTCCCTGTTCACCCAGGGGAGCAGGCGTGTTCCCTCCGCAGGGGCTTGAGACCTGCCGTCCTTTCCCCTGGACCCTCCCTCTCCCCCAAGCCCTAACCCAATGCCACTCCTTCCTGAGGCTGATGGTGGCTTTGCGTGAGGTGGGCCCTGCTGAGCAGCAGAGAATTTCTTAGAATTTTCATCGCCAGATGGCTCTGGGTTAGGGCTGACCACAGAAAACCAGCAGGCATGTTGGAAAGCAGGAGTGGAATGCAGAAGGCAGAGGGAGCCACACGGAGCAGCCAGGTTACACTCCTGCCGTCGTGTGACTGCTGCAGACCCCCTGTCCCCGCACCTCAGCGGGCTTGGGCCGTTCCAGGCCTGCAGCACCGTGGGCTCCAGCCACCTCCTGCCACTGCCCCTCCCAGTCTGTGTCAGGAGCACTGGAGTCTCCCAGTCAGTTCCTCAGGACGCTATGTCACCGTCATGATGTCCGTGAGCTCCCATGCGCCTGGCTCTCCCCGTTACCACACTTACCTTTCTCTCCTGGCAGCCACTCCCTGGCTCTCCTTGGAGAGTGTTTCAGCTGGCCATGCTCCGTGTGCAGTGTGAGAGTGCACAAGCTTGCACAGGTGCTCACACCAGAAAGGGACGTTGCAGGTTGGGAGGAGGGTCCTTGTGCCAGGCCCTGGCCCCCGAGTCTGCCCCTTGCAGTGGGGTGCCCAGCCTGGTGTGGGGTCAGGCTGTGGGAAGGAGGAGAGGCCAGGGACAAGCAGCCGGGATTAGCTTGGGCTCTTTCCCTTGAAAGTGGCAGAAATGCAAACCCAAAGCAGCCCGTACCTGTGGGGTTCCCGACAGGCCCCGGCTTCAGGCAGGGCTGGATTCAGGCAGCAGCCCACACCCCGTGGGGTTCCCGACAGGCTCCGGCTTCAGGCAGGGCTGGATTCAGGCAGCACCCCGTACCCCGTGGGGTTCCTGACAGGCCCCGGCTTCAGGCAGGGCTGGATTCAGGCAGCACCCCGTACCCGCTGGGGTTCCCGACACGCCCTGGCTTCAGGCAGGGCTGGATTCAGGCAGCACCCCGTACCCGCTGGGGTTCCCGACATGCCCCGGCTTCAGGCAGGGCTGGATTCAGGCAGCACCCCGTACCCCGTGGGGTTCCTGACAGGCCCCGGCTTCAGGCAGGGCTGGATTCAGGCAGCACCCCGTACCCGCTGGGGTTCCCGACACGCCCTGGCTTCAGGCAGGGCTGGATTCAGGGACAGGGGTTCCAGCAGCCTCAGCTTTAAGTGGGGAGTTAAGGGGTTCAATGTCGACAGGAAAAATAGAATTTTATGAAGCTCTGAGCAAAGTCCCGAGTCCTCTCTGAATGGGATCTTCAGGCCGCCAAGTCCCTGCAGCTCGGGGGTGTGAAGCTGTGACTGACAGGCCTCGGTCTACCGAGACCACAGACTGAGGAGGCAGAGGCGGGCCCTAAAACTAGATGGGAACGGACACCGTAGGGGGCCAGGTCCCCACCTGAGGCCCACCTGCCTCACTGGACCAGCACCGGGGCTCGAGTCTGCACCCCACCTACCCACCTCCCCGCAGTGTCCCGGCCACCCCACGCAGCTCTCTGGACATCGTGTCCCGGCTGCCCCACACAAGTCTCTGAGGCCCGGGCAGCTCTCTGGACACCTTTCTGCTACTTGTGCCACACTGTTGGTTCTTGGGCCCGAGCTGTTCCCACCTCCCATGCCCAGCAGGTCCCGGTTATGTCCCGGTTATGTCCGGTTTACGTCCTGGTTATGTCCAGGTTATGTCCCGGTTGTGTTCCGGTTATGTCCTGGTTAGGTCCCGGTTATGTCCGGGTTAGGTCCGGGTTAGGTTCCGGTTATTTCTGGGTTATGTCTGGTTAGGTCCCGGTTATGTCCGGGTTATGTCCCAGTTAGGTCCCGGTTATGTCCAGGTTGTGTCCGGGTTAGGTCCCGGTTATTTCCAGGTTATGTCCAGGTTAGGTCCTGGTTATGTCCGGGTTACATCCAGGTTACGTCCTGGTTACGTCCAGGTTAGGTCCCGGTTAGGTCCGGGTTATGTCGCGTTAGGTCCCGGTTAGGTCCGGGTTATGTCCGGGTTATGTCCGGGTTAGGTTCCGGTTATTTCTGGGTTATGTCCGGGTTAGGTCCTGTTATGTTCCGGTTATTTCCAGGTTAGGTCCCAGTTAGGTCTGGGCGCATCTGTCAGTCATTGCTGTGTCCCAGCGATGGCAAATCTCAGTGTCTGCGGCCGTGAGCGCTCACATTCTTCTCAGCTCTGCAGGTCAGCTGCAGGGCTCCCATCCACCCCAGGGAGGAGTCATGCCCGGCTGGAGCCTGGGTGACTGTGTTTCCCCATGTGAGACCAGGGGATGGGTGAGCCAGGCCTGTGAGGTATAAGGCAATGTCTGCAAGGGCGTCTGGGGAAGATGCCCCTCTGTGATGAAGAGAGAAGGACACACAAAGATGTCATCCGTTTTTCATCCTGCCCACTCGCCCCACTCCTGGCTTTGAATGCTGCCCTGTGAGCATATGCTCCCTAGAGCTGTGGCAGCCTTTTTGCACTCATGAGGCAGCGAGCTCCAGGAGGAAGAGCCAACGTGCTGACACAGTGGGGCAGAAAGACAGAGACAACAGAATGGGGAGCTGGCGGCCTGGACCAGCTACCTCCAGACATTTCATCCGGGAAGTAGCTGTCCGTACAGTTTGAGCTGCTCTTTGTTGGATGTTCTGTTACTTGCATCCTATGGATTTGGCCTCTGGCTGCAACGTGACAGCATCAGTTTGGGGAAACAAAAACATGTCTGTATTCAGGCAGAGAGGCATTTAACGTGGGGACAGGTACACAAATGTCGGAAGGGCTGTGCGGCCATCGCGGACACGAGGGGGCTGGGACACTCTCAGTGCCAACGGGACTGGACACGAGGGGGCTGGGATGCTCTCGTGCCAATGGGACCGGACATGAGGGGGCTGGGACACTCCCAGGGCCAATGGGACTGGCTGGGGAGCTCCTGGTGACCTGCAGAGCATGATTTTTGGCTGCCTCTGTGCAGGTGTTTCCAGAGGAGACTGCAGTGTGTGTCCGAGTGGCGGAGGTGAAGATGACCTGCCCTCAGTGTGGGTGGCACCTTCCAGCTGGGGTCTGGAGAGAACAGAAACAGAAAAGGGGAATGTGTCTCTCCCCACGGCAGCTGGGATGCACGCTTCCTCTCCTGCCCTCAGACAGAACTGCAGGCGCCCCAGCCTTTGGGCTCTAGGACTCGCACTGGCAGCCCCGGGTCTCACGCCTGTGGCCTCGGGCTGAGTCGCGCCATCAGCTTCCCGGGTTCTGATGCCTTCTGACGTGGACTGAGCCACACTACCGGCATCCGGTGTTGTCCAGCCTGCAGACAGCCTGTTGTGGGACTTCCCAGCCTCCATCATCTGGTTCCCCTAACAGACCCTGCTCACTTCTCTCTCTGTGTCATGTTGGCTCTGTCTCTCTGGAGACCCCTGACTAACACAGTTGTGCTGGAGGTGAAGGAAGTGAGGAGGCTGTGTTATGGGTTACCGTGTGTCCTCAGTATCACTCACTGGAGTCCCAACCCCCAGAACCCCAGAATGTAACACTATTTGGAAATTGGGTCTTTGCAGATGTAATTGCAAATGTTAAAATGAAGTTCCCAGATTTGGCTGGTCTCTACATCCAAACACTGGCCCCCTTGTGAAAAGACACACAGGCCTAGGGGAGACGGTGTGTGGGGACGGGAGCAGAGGCTGCAGCGACGCAACCACACAGGCGGGAAGGCCAACACCACCAGGAACAGGAAGAGACACGGGTCCTCCCCTGGAGCCTCCTGAGGCAGCGTGGCTCCAATAACACTGGTTCTGGACATCAGGTCTCTAAATCTCAAGGGAAGACATTTCTGTGCTTTAAGCTGTACTTTTTTTTTCTTTTTGACGGCGTCTTACTCTGTTGCTCAGGCTGGAGTGCAGTGTCGCGATCTCAGCTCACCACCATCTCTGCCTCCTGGGTTCAAGCGATTCTCCTGCCTCAGCCTCCCAAGTAGCTGGGTTTACAGGTGCTCACCACTATACCTGGTTAATTTTTGTATTTTTAGTAGAGACAGGGTTTCACCATGTTGGTCAGGCTGGTCTTGAACTCCTGATGTCAAGTGATCCACCCGCCTCGGCCTCTCAAATTGTTAGGATTACAGGCGTGAGCCACTGCACCCAGCCTTCCACTGCACTTTGCTATGGAGCCTGGGAAACGACCACAGGGTGCTCCCAAGAAGGGGAGCTTCTACCCCACACAGATGAGAGCCCAGCAGGACAGCCTCAGGGAGGCCCACAGTGCACAGGGGCCAGGGCTGCTGATGGGAGGGGGCCGCTGGGTCCCTAGGGGTGCAGCCTCACTGGTGTGGAGGCCGAACAGCTTCCCTTCCAGTTGGCAGGGCCACCTGGAAGCCCAGCTGCAGGGAAGCCTGGGGCACACAGGGTGTGGACGGCCGGCCCGCTCATGCACCGTGCCCCAGGGTTGGGGTGCTGCCAGGAGGAAATGACAGGGGCCTGGGGCCTCGTGGACAGTCTGGAAGTTTCTCTTTCCTGAATGCATAATCAGTCCTTCGAAGATCCCACAAACCCAAACTTAACCCACAGAAGCCGACCAGCGTGTCGGATGCAGCAGCTCCGGTGGGAACGGGCCCTGAAGCCAGTGTCTTTCCTGGAGGACACAGGGGACAGTCCCGGCTGAGAGCCGGGAGTTTCATTAGAAACCCTGGAGGAGAGCAGCTGCCCCAGAGCCCCATCTGCGATAGAACATTAGAAACAGTCCCCGTGGCCTTTGTTACGGAAAAGGCTCGCTGCGGCGGCATCCTTGAGCGCAAACGCTGCTGCGGCTAAGGCACGAGGTTGCTCTGGAGGTGACGTCGCGGAGGGAAGAGGCCATACGGCAGGAGGGGTGCAGCCGCTCGTGTGAGCGGGAGGAGCCCCGTGGGACGGTGCTATGCCTTTCCCGAGGGTCCCTGGGAGTGTCCGAAAGTGCGGAGAAAGGTCTGGAAGGTGGCCCCCTGCCGCCACACTCGGAACCTTATTTTTTCAGCAAGTGTGAGCTTTGGAGCGCACCAAGATACGGGCGTGTGTTCTGGGGTGCGTGAGGTGGTGGTGCCGCGGCAGCCCAGGCATCCCTGTGGCTCTCCCAGAGGCTCTGTGAGGCCGCCCGTGACCCTGGAGGGGTGGGCTGTGAGGGCCACCTGCGACCCTGGGGGGGCTGCATCTGCAGAGCTCAATCCTCTGGCAAGGTCAGGGGTGAGGCGAGGGGCCAAGCTGAGCTCCCCACCTCCCTATTCCCCCCATGCACTTCCCAGCGTCATGGTGTGCAGCCCACACATCCTCCCAGGACGGCCCTTGGAGCCCTTTCCTCCCCATTTCTCCAGTCTGAGTTTGGGGCGAGAGTGCCGACATCTGACTTGTAGTTAGGAGGGTTCCTGCACAGCACTGTAGACCGTGGGCCAGGGGCCAAGAGTAGAAGTGCTGAGGGGCCAAGGAGGCTGCTACAGGGCCCAGGGAGAGGCAGGGGTGGCCTGTACCTGACCAGCATGGGGGCTCACTTGGAGGGCAGTAGGGGAGTGTTTCCAACAGGACTTGTTCCTGGCTGTTTGGGAAGTGAGGCAGAGCTGAGAGCCACAGCCGGAGGTGCAGGCCTGAACCCTCACCAGCCTGTTCAGGGCATTGAGGGAGGATGCTGAGGCCGTGGGGACCAGCCTTGGGCTCCGGGAGCTCCATGCCCGGTCCCAGGAGCCTGGGATGTAGCACCTTCCGTGGTGAGGAGACTTGGTGGATATGGTTGAGCTGAAGATCTTGAGATGGTGACGGAGCCCTGCATGGTCCAGGCGGCCCTGGATGTGTTCACAAGCGTCCTTGTGGGAGGCTCGGCACCCTCCGGACGCTGGAAGATTCAAGGGTGGGACCCTCCCACAGCCTGCAGAGGAACCCGGCCTGCCCACACCTCCACGTCAGCCCCAGGAGCCCCTCTGGGACTTCAGGCTATGAGAAGGTAAGTGTGTGGTTTTAAACAGCCCAGTGTGTGGTGGTTCATTACGGCAGCTGCAGGAAGGGAGATGGTGTTCCAGCGACAGGCGGCTGCAATCCCTGCATCAGGAGCGTAAGTGAGAAGAGCAGCCCGCCGTGCAGGCGACACAAGGAAGGGTCCACTCCGGCCTCCTGCGGCCCACTCTGGCCCACTCCAGCCTCCTGTGGTCCACTCCGGCCTCCTGCGGCCCACTCTTGCCCCCTGCGGCTCACTCCTGCCTCCTACAGTCCACTCTGGCCCACTCCAGCCTCCTGTGGCCTCGTCAGTTTGGAGGTCTGAATTTCATTCCTAAGGCAGGTCTGGGAGGTTGTGAGTCATACAACGCAGGTTCCCTTCTGAGAGCATTGCTCCTGCCGGGCTGGATGGTGCCCCGTGGCCTGCACAGATAGACGGGCATCCTCAGAAGCACATGCCAACTCCCAGTGCGGCCTGAGTCCTGGGACACCCCCCCCCCCACCAACTCTGGGCACTCTCTCCACCCCTGCCCACCCTGCATCCCCGCCTCAGAGCGGCTTCTGCCTCGGGGCCTCTGCCTGTGTTCTCTCCTTGCTGGCAGCTTCCACTCATGCCTTCTCGGAGGGGCATGGCAGGGCTCCTCAGGGTGGCATCAGGTCACCTTGCCCCACGCTGGTGCCCACAAGACCGATGGTGGCTCTCACTGGTGTAGTGCTGCCTGCACTACACCGTGAGCCCCGGGGACACTGTCCCTTCACTGCTGACCCCCGCGGCTGGAACATCACCTGGTGCACAGGGAGCTGCTCACATGAGTGGCGTGAAGAAAACGGTTCCCAGCAGAGAACCTGGTGTGTGGGATACCGCGAGGGGGGCGGCCTGGTGCGTGGGATACCTCGAGGGGGGCGGCCTGGTGCGTGGGATACCTCGAGGGGGGCGGCCTGGTGCGTGGGATACCTCGAGGGGGGTGGCCTCTGGACGGTGCTCATGAGGCCCAGATCAAGGTGTGGGCCAGGAGGTTCCTCCTGGAGGCTCCTGGGGAGAATGTTTCCTGGGAGGATAGAAACCAGGCCCCTGTGGGCATCGTGCGGGAAGGGTGAGCTGGTCTGAGAGTGGAGCTGACTCCAAGAGTGAAGGTGAGAGGGAGACAGAAGCAAGGCCCCCATGACGTCCTTTGAGCCCCTGGATCCAGCTAGACCTGAAGCCACCCACTCCAGGACGTCCTGGTTATGTGAGTCACTAATTTCTCCCTTGGCTTCAACCACTTTTGTTGCCTTTTCTGTCACAATTCAGAATGCCCTGACTTGTGTGGGGTTGTGCAGTCAGGAAAGAGGAAAAGGTGTATCCAGAAGGGGAATCCCCAGGGCCAGAGCTCAAGAATCAGCCCCCGGCTGAGCACCACATGTAGTGGATGGAGCCCAGGGCCCCCGAGGTGCACGGCCCAGGCAGATCCTCAGGCTGTGGGGCAGGAGAGTGCTGGGGGTGGCGGCCTCTCTCACCCCCACCTCGGCCTCTCTCACCCCTACCTCAGGGTCTGGCCAGCTGTGGTGCTTCACAGAAGGGATGGAAGTGATTGTGAACCTATCACGAGCCCAACTCCAGACACTGATCCCAGGAGGATGCGCCCAGGCTAGTCCACTGGCCCCAAAAGGACACACCCAGGCTAGCCCACTGATCCCAAGAGGACACACCCAGGCTAGCCCACTGATCCCAAGAGGACACACCCAGGCTAGCCCACTGATCCTGGGAGGAGCCCAGGCTAGCCCACTGAGGAGGCAGGGGAGAGAGATGCAGGTGGGGTGAGAGGACAGTTGGGGATGCATCTTGGTGATCATGATTGGGGAGGACCTCCTAGTGCCTCAGCTGTGGTGGGGGAGGGGTGGGGGATGGGAGGGCACTTTGAGGCTCCCAACCTGGGAGGAGCCACCACAATCAGCCCAAACGTCACTGCTCCACCAGGCTGTGTGACAGCTGCAGTGTGGTCAGGCTGCAAATTGGCCCTTGGTTCTGCAGGGACTTGGAGAACCTCTGCGGCGTGCAGGGGGTGGACGCTGACCCGGGGCACAGGCCCCACCCAAGCAAACCGCAGCAGCTGCAGCAGGGCTGGGGAGGGAAGCTCAGGGGTAGGAGCCGATCTGATCTGTGCGTTCCAGGGCTTCCCCTGGAGGAGGCACTCGGGGTGAGGGGGCCCTGCAGAGAGGCCCAGAGCTGGGGAGGCCAGTGGAGCCGGGAGCCACCTGGAGGGAGGAGGAAGGTGCGGCCGGGTCAGCGTTGGGAGGGGTGTAGCTCAGCCTAGGGGCCGGTGGTAGGAGGGGTGCAGCCCAGCCTGGGGGCTGGTGGGGAAGCTGCATCCCATGAGGGGCCGGAAGCACTGAGGGCAGCTCAGGGCTGGGTTGTTTCCAACAGGCCAGGTGTCATGGGGTGAATGTGTCTGAGGAAGGAGAGGGCAGGCTGGGGAGAACTGGACAGTGATGGAAGCTGGGGGGACTCCAGCCGTCCTGGCCTCTGGGGGCTCCTGCCAGGGCGCAGGGTGCGGGGACAGCCTGGTCTGCATAGCTGCGAGTCTGAGGACCTCTTCAGGAAGACTTGTGGGGTCAGAGGCTGCACGGTCCGTGAGGGGGGCGGCAGCCGTGAGGTTCGGGATCACAGGACAAGGGCCGTGGGGTGTCCGGCATGGGCATTGGAGACCGCGATGGAGTCAGGTTCTGCTGGACATGGACCAGAAGTCCCCAGTTCAGTTCTGAGCACGTGGGTGAGGGGACTCCTGGGGGGCCGCCAGGGGCTCCGAGGAGATGTGGGCTCGGGAGCTGTGATGGCTGGGCTGTGTCCCCCACAAATCCACATGCTGAAGTCCCACCCCCACGACCTCAGGATGTGACTGCATAAAGGGGTCTTTAATGAGGGTGTCAAGGTAAAGCGAGGTTGTTGGGGTGGACCCTGATCCAGTCCCATGGGTGACACAATACGAAGAGGCGATCAGGGAGGAAAAGGCCCCGGAGAGCGGCTTTGAGAGTGACGACCGCCCGTGATGACCGGCCTGTGATAACTGGCTGGT
The DNA here is from genome assembly GCF_000001405.40 of Homo sapiens. Classification (NCBI taxonomy): domain Eukaryota; kingdom Metazoa; phylum Chordata; class Mammalia; order Primates; family Hominidae; genus Homo; species Homo sapiens. The sequence goes on along the minus strand of NC_000012.12, from coordinate 132,476,256 downwards.
GATAACTGGCTCGTGATGACCGGCCCATGATGACTGGCCCGTGATAACTGGCTCGTGATGACCACCCGTGATGACCGCCCGTGATGACCGGCCCGTGATAACTGGCTGGTGATAACTGGCTCGTGATGACCACCCGTGATGACCGCCCGTGATGACCGGCCGTGATAACTGGCTGGTGATAACTGGCTCGTGATGACCAGCCCGTGAAGGACAAGGAAGAGGTAAGGATGCAGACAGGCACAGGGGGCCACCAGGTGAACGCACAGAGGAGACACCGACTGCCGGCCAAGGAGGGAGGCACAGGATGAACCTGCCCTGCCGGCCCCAGGGTGGAGACTTCCAGCCTCCGGGGTGGGCGACGGGTGCCCCAGCCTCCGGGGTGGGCGACGGGTGCGTGTGGTTTGAGCCGCTGGCCTGTGTCGTTTGTTGTGGTGGCCTGAAGAGACCTGCACGGTAGCTGAGTGTGGTGGACACGCCAAAGCCGCAGGCAGGAGACCTGCAGTGAGGCTGGCAGGACCATGTGGCGGCAATGGCCACCCCAAGCCTCAGGGGCTTCCTGCAGGGATGGCTGCTCAGATGCCGGGGCCTGCAGTGCTGATGAGGGTGTGCCTGGGCCACATCGCCATGGAGGACGGGAGGGGCCTGTTCGTTTCTAGAGGGACACGCCGGCCACCCGGATGCAGATACCACGTCCTCACGGATGCGCACACGTTGCTTAGACACCATCACGTGAGCCTTTTGAGCTTTGAAGGTTGAGAACATATTCCTAAGAACACACATCAGCGCCATTTAGAGCTTCTAAGGGGTTACCGCGGAGGAAGGGGCGGGGTCACCGCGGAGGAGGGGGGCGGGGTCACCGCGGAGGGAGGGGGCGGGGTCACCGCGGAGGGAGGGGGAGGGGCACCGCGGAGGGAGGGGGAGGGTTCACCGCGGGGGGGGGAGGGTTCACCGCGGAGGGAGGGGGAGGGTTCACCGGGGAGAGAGGGGGCGGGGGGGTCACCGCGGAGGAAGGGGGCGGGGTCACCGCGGAGGAAGGGGTGGGGTCACCGCGGAGGAGGGGGCGGGGTCACCGCGGAGGAAGGGGCGGGGTCACCGCGGAGGGGGGGCGGGGTCACCGCGGAGGAAGGGGTGGGGTCACCGCGGAGGAGGGGGCGGGGTCACCGCGGAGGAAGGGGTGGGGTCACCGCGGAGGGGGGGCGGGTCACCGCGGAGGAAGGGGCGGGGTCACCGCGGAGGAGGGGGGCGGGGTCACCGCGGAGGAAGGGGCGGGGTCACCGCGGAGGGAGGGGGAGGGGCACCGCGGGGGGTGCGGGGTCACCGCGGAGGAAGGGGCGGGGTCACCGCGGAGGAGGGGGCGGGGTCACCGCGGAGGAAGGGGTGGGGTCACCGCGGAGGAGGGGGCGGGGGTCACCGCGGAGGAGGGGGCGGGGTCACCGCGGAGGAAGGGGTGGGGTCACCGCGGAGGAGGGGGCGGGGGTCACCGCGGAGGAGGGGGCGGGGTCACCGCGGAGGAAGGGGCGGGGTCACCGCGGAGGAAGGGGCGGGGTCACCGCGGAGGAGGGGGCGGGGTCACCGCGGAGGAGGGGGCGGGGTCACCGCGGAGGGAGGGGAAGGGCACCGCGGAGGGAGGGGAAGGGCAGTCTTGTTTTGAAAATTCCAGTGCAAAGACAGTGTTGTTTCCGGAGGCGCCTAAGTGATCCCGCAGCGACTCTGAGGAGGACCCTGAGGGTCGGGCATTCTTGCCCTGACCGGCCTCTGCTGGACGCCCACCGGGGAATCAGGGAGATACACGGGGCCCCGGCTTCCAGGAGCGCAGCCAGGCCACAGCCCTGAGGACGGGCAAACCCACCCAGGCGCGGTGAGAGGGAGGCCGCCCAGGCCTGGGGCCTGGCGGCAGGGGATGAAGTGGACCAGAGCCCCGCAAATCCTAACGTGGGTGAGCAGTGAGCCTGTGTGGCTGCGAGTGGCTCCGTTTTGGGGCTGTTTGTTCCTGCAGCAAATGATGCCAGCCCTGACGGAACCAGTGCACGTCCACCACGAGCTGCCCACGTCCTCTCCAGGAAGGGACCCGGGTCCACGAGCTGCCCACGTCCTCTCCAGGAAGGGACCCGGGTCCACGAGCTGCCCACGTCCTCTCCAGGAGGGGACACCGGGTTCACGAGCTGCCCACGCCCTCTCCAGGAGGGGACACCGGGTTCACGAGCTGCCCACGTCCTCTCCAGGAGGGGACACCGGGTTCATGAGCTGCCCACGCCCTTTCCAGGAAGGGACCCCGGGTTCACGAGCTGCCCACGTCCTCTCCAGGAGGGGACACCGGGTTCACGAGCTGCCCACGTCCTCTCCAGGAAGGGACCCAGGTCCACGAACTGCCCACGCCCTCTCCAGGAGGGGACCCGGGTCCACGAGCTGCCCACGTCGTCTCCAGGAAGGGACCCGGGTCCACGAGCTGCCCACGTCCTCTCCAGGAAGGGACCCGGGTCCACGAGCTGCCCACGTCCTCTCCAGGAAGGGACCCCGGGTTCACGAGCTGCCCACGTCCTCTCCAGGAAGGGACCCCGGGTTCACGAGCTGCCCACGTCCTCTCCAGGAGGGGACCCCGGGTTCACGAGCTGCCCACGTCCTCTCCAGGAAGGGACCCCGGGTTCACGAGCTGCCCACGTCGTCTCCAGGAAGGGACCCGGGTCCACGAGCTGCCCACGTCCTCTCCAGGAAGGGACCCGGGTCCACGAGCTGCCCACGTCCTCTCCAGGAAGGGACCCCGGGTTCACGAGCTGCCCACGTCCTCTCCAGGAAGGGACCCCGGGTCCACGAGCTGCCCACGTCCTCTCCAGGAAGGGACCCGGGTCCACGAACTGCCCACGTCCTCTCCAGGAAGGGACCCCGGGTTCACGAGCTGCCCACGTCCTCTCCAGGAGGGGACACCGGGTTCACGAGCTGCCCACGCCCTCTCCAGGAAGGGACCCCGGGTTCATGAGCTGCCCACGTCCTCTCCAGGAAGGGACCCGGGTCCACGAACTGCCCACGCCCTCTCCAGGAGGGGACCCGGGTCCACGAGCTGCCCACGTCGTCTCCAGGAAGGGACCCGGGTCCACGAGCTGCCCACGTCCTCTCCAGGAAGGGACCCGGGTCCACGAACTGCCCACGCGCTCTCCAGGAGGGGACACCGGGTTCACGAGCTGCCCACGCCCTCTCCAGGAAGGGACCCCGGGTTCACGAGCTGCCCACGTCCTCTCCAGGAGGGGACACCGGGTTCACGAGCTGCCCACGTCCTCTCCAGGAGGGGACACCGGGTTCACGAGCTGCCCACGCCCTCTCCAGGAGGGGACACCGGGTTCACGAGCTGCCCACGTCCTCTCCAGGAAGGGACCCGGGTCCACGAGCTGCCCACGTCCTCTCCAGGAGGGGACACCGGGTTCACGAGCTGCCCACGCACTTTCCAGGAAGGGACCCCGGGTTCAGGTCTCCTGCCGGCCCACATCGTGCCTTTGTGTAAATCAGAAGAAAGATGAGGAACAGGCCCTCCTCTCTCTCCAGGCAGGCTTTGGTGGAGGGGCTGGATCTCCTGCCGCACCTTCCCTGGCAGGGCACCCTGTGCTTGAGCCCCAGAACTGCAGGCGGCCGGCAGAGAAGGGGTCCATGATGGCGCCTCGGTGCGCAGCCTTGGACCTGCCCCCATGGACCTGGGTGAGGACTTCCCAGCCCTTCCCCGGCTCCAGCTGCTCTCCCTAAGGGCCGCCTCACCCCTTCCTCGGGCAGGGGGCAGTGGACGAGGGTTCCGTCCCTCCAGGGGATGCTCCCAAACCCCTGCCAGGACTTGGCAGATCCGGCCTCTCATCTTGGCAGCTAGATGGTGGGACGGGATCATCGTGGTGGCTTTAATTTGCATTTCTCTGATGACTGATGATTTCGAGCATCTCTTCATATGTTTGCTGGCTTTGGGGATAGAGATATTTCTTCCTAAAGCAAAACTTGATTATGTCATTTCTGCTTCAAGATGCCAGTGATGCCTGAGGTCTGCAGGGCAGTGCAGACGCTCACCGCCTGGCCGCTCAGGAGCCTGTGCTTGACCCCCAAATCCGCCCCCCAACTCCCTGTTACCGGCTCACTCCTTCCATGAGGGGCCTTCCCCAGGGACAGCCGATGCTCTCCTGATGGCTCCTGCCCTTGCAGAGTGCTGCCCCCGCCTGCCCACCTGGCCTGGACCCTCGCCTGAGCCCCCTCAGGGCTCTGCGCCACCTCAACCCAGGCGTTTGTTCCGCAGGAACCTCCCGGCTCTTCCCACTCGGGAAAGGAAGGCTCTGGGCATGGAGGTCGGCCAGGCCCCATCCCCGTACCCTGGCCCTTCTTCCTGCTTCCTGTTTGTCACTGCCCCGGGGCCTTTGCACCTGCATTCCCTCTCTCTGTGAGTGTCCTGGGGCCCGTTACCCACGTCACCGTCCCAGGATACCTTTTCTTTTCTTTCTCTCTCTCCAGCTTTATTGAGGTATAGTTGACAATTCAGGACGGTGTGCACTCAAGGTATGCAGCATCACAACCTGACACACGTAGGCATTGTGAAATGAGTCCCACAATTGGGCTAATTAACACACCCATCACCTTACATGGTTACTTCTTTCTGTGGTGAGAACACTAAATTTTAAATAGAGGACACACAGCCTGGGCAACATAGTGAGACCCTGTCTCTACAAATATAAAAAAATTATCTGGACGTGGTGGTGCACACCTGTGGTCCCAGCTACTTGGGAAGCTGAGGCTGGAGAATCACTTGAGCCTGGGAGGCGGAGGTTGCGGTGCACTCCAGCCTGGGCGACAGAGGGAGGCCCTATCTCAAAATAAATAAATAAAGGACACATTCTTATCAGCTGTAGTCACCACGTTCATTACATCTTAGAACCCGCTAATCTCATAACTGCACCTTTGTTCCCTGTGACCCTCAACTCCCGGTCCCCTCCAGCCCTGACAGCCACTGTTCACTCTGCTTCTGTGAGTTCCGCTTTTTCACACGTCACTCGAGTGAGGCCATGTGCTGTTTGTCTTTCTGTGCCTGGCTTATCTCACTTACCACAAATGCCCTTCAGGTTCATCGTGTCCTCACAAATGGCGGGCTTGCCCTGCCCTGCCCTGCCCTGCCCTCCCTTCCCTTCCCTTCTCTCTCTCTCCTTTCTCTCTCTCTGTCTCTCTCTCTCTCCCCCCCTTCCCTTTTCCTCCTGTGGAATAACACTCCTGTATGTGTGTGTACGCATGTGTGTGTATACGCGTGTGTGTACGCATGTGTGTGTATACGTGTGTGTACGCATGTGTGTGTATACGTGTGTGTGTACGCATGTGTGTGTATTTCTTCCCTTCCCTCCCCTCCCCTTCCCTCCCCTCCCCTTCCCTCCCCTCCCCTTCCCTCCCCTCCCCTTCCCTCCCCTCCCCTTCTTTCCCCTCCCCTTCCCTTTCCCTCCCTGTGGAATAACACTCGTGTGTGTGTGTGTGTGTGTGTGTGTGTGTGTGTATGCATGTGTGTGTATTTCTCCCCTTCCCTTCCTTTCCCTCCCCTCCTCCCTCCCCTCCCTTCCCCTCCCCTTCCTTTTCCCTTCTGTGGAATAACGCTTGTGTGTGTGTGTGTGTATATATGCATGTGTGTATATTTCTCCCTTTCCCTTCCTTTCCCTCCCCTCCTCCCTTCCCTCCCCTCCTCCCTCCCTTCCCCTCCCCTTCCCTTTCCCTCCCTGTGGGATAACACTCGTGTGTGTGTGTGTGTGTGTGTGTATGCATGTGTGTGTATTTCTTCCCTCCCCTCCCCCCTCTCCTCCCCTCCCTTCCCCACCCTTCCCTTTCCCTCCTGTGGAATAACACTCCTGTGTGTGTGTGCATGCATGTGTGTGTATATTTCTCACATATTTTCATTCATGCATCCGTTGATGGACACTTGGGTTGATTCCGTGTCCTGGCTGCTGGGACAGTGCTGCGATGAACACGAGGGTACAGACGCCTCTCCTACACGCTAATTTCAACTCTTTGGATATACACCCAGCAGTGGGATTGCTGGATCAGGTGGGAGCTCTATTTCCACATTTTTGAGGAACCTCCCTGCCGTCTCCCATGGTGGCTGTGCCAACGACGTTCCCAGGGACAGAGTGCAACGGGCCCCTTTCCTCCATGTCCTCGCCAACACTCGCTATCTTTTGCGTTTTGATGACAGTCATCCCAATAGGTGCCAGTTGGTACCTCCTGTGGTTTTTATTTGATTTTCCTGATGATTAGTGATGCTGGACGTTATTTCGTCTACACTTCGGCCACTTACATGTTTTCCTTCGAGACACGCAGATTCAGGTCCTTTGCACGTTTTAAAATTTTTTTTGTTTGTTTTTGTTATTGAGTTGAATTCCTTCTACAATTTGCAAATTAACTCCTCATCATATACATGGATTGCAAATACCCCCGCCTCCCCCTGGGGTTTTGCCTTTTCACTGCAAATACTCCCGCCTCCCCATGGGGGTTGCCTTTTCCCTGCCAATACCCCCACCTCCCCATGGGGGTTGCCTTTTCCCTGCAAATACCCCCACCTCCCCGTGGGTTCTGCCTTTTCCCTGCCAATACCCCCGCCTCCCCCTGGGGGTTGCCTTTTCACTCTGTTGGTTTCCTTTGCGGAAGCTTTCTGGTTTGTTGCACTCTCACTGTCTATTTTTGCTTCTGTTGCCTGTGCTTGTGGGGCCATATTTTAAAAAAATCATTGCCCGGACCAGCCTCAAGAAGTTTTCCTCCTACGTTTTCTTCTAAGAGTTTTATGGTGTCGGGTCTTAGGTTTGAATCTTTAATCCGTGTTGAGTTGATTTTCGTAGGTGGTGTCGGATGAGGCCCTTTCATCCTCCTCCACTTTTCCCAGCACCACCTATTGAGGATGCCCCTTTCCCCGTCGTGTGTCCTTGGCGCCTTTGCTGAAGGTCAGTTGGCCGTAACTGTGCATGGGGACCCTTCCTGGCCCCCCTGGTGCCCTGTGCCCCATATGTCCCACCCCCTCCCTTACTTTTTCTCCATGGCATGAATCACCCCAGACCTACTATACATATTTTATCTTATTTATTTTTATTTATTTATTTATTTTTGAGATGGAGTCTCACTCTGTCACCCAGGCTGGAGTGCAGTGGCACGATCTCGGCTCACTGCAAGCTCCGCCTCCCAGGTTCACGCCATTCTCCTGCCTCAGCCTCCCAAGTAGCTGGGATTACGGGCGCCCGCCACCATGCCCGGCTAATTTTTTTGTATTTTTAGTGGAGACGGAGTTTCAACATGTTAGCCAGGATGGTCTCGATCTCCTGACCTCGTGATCCACCCGCCTCAGCCTCCCAAAGTGCTGGGATTATAGGCGTGAGCCATCGCGCCCGGCCTATTTTTTTTTTTTCAGACAGAGTTTCACTCTTGTCACCCAGGCTGGAGTGCAGTGGCATGATCTTGGCTCACTGCAACTTCCACCTCCCAGGTTCAAGCGATTCTCCTGCCTCAGCCTCCCGAGTAGCTGGGATTACAGTGTGCACCACCACACCTGGCTAAATTTTTGTATTTTTTTTTTTTTACTAGAGACAGGGTTTCAACATGCTGGTCAGGCTGGTCTCGAATTCCTGACCTCAAGTGATCCTCCCACCTCGGCCTCCCAAAGTGCTGGGATTACAGGCGTGAGCCGCCATGCCTGGCCATGGATATTGTAAATGTTCTTGTTTGTTGTATGTTTTCCTCACTGGGCTGTGCACTCCTGAGGGCGGGGCATCTGTCCCATTCTTCAGTGCTGGGTCCCCTGTGTCTGGGACAGTGTATACATACAGCAGGTGCATAATCAGTCTTGACTGGAAGGGTGAGGGAGTCAACGCACATGGCAGTCATTGGACTATGTGTCTGAGAAGCATAACTCACTTAATCTTGAAGTTCACTTATGGATTGAAGTGTGCGGTTCAGTGACTTTTAATATATTTACCGAGTTGTGTAACCATCACCACCATCTAATTTTAAATCATTTTCATCATCCCTAAAAGAAACTTCAGACCCACTAGCTGTCCCTCCCCCTATTCCTCCCACCCCAGCCCTGGTCCTGGCCGCAGGCTGCTCACCTGCATCTCTCTGTGGATCTGCCGGTTGTGGACATTTCACACACCTGCGTGCAGTCTTCTGTGCCTGCCTCTTTCACTCGCTGTGATGTTTAAGTTCACCCATGTTGTCATCTATATCGGTACTTACTTCCTTTTTTTTTTTGGAGATGAAGTCTTGCTCTTGTCACCCAGGCTGGAGTGCAGTGGCGTGATCTCGGCTCACAGCAACTTCTGCCTCTGGGGTTCAAGTGATTCTCCTGCCTTAGCCTCCCAAGTAGCTGGGACTACAGGTTTGCACCACCATGTCCTGCTAATTTTTTTTTTTTTGTATTTTTAATAGAGACAGGGTTTCTCCTCATTGGCCAGGCTGGTCTCGAACTCCTGACCTCAGACGATCCACCTGCCTCAGCCTCCCGAAGTGTTGGGATTACAGGCACGAGCCACTGTGCCCGGCCATCATTCCTTTTTACTGCTGACTAATAGTCTGCTGTGTGAATCCACCGCTAGAAACCCACTCATCAGTTGATGGTCATGTGGGTTGCTTCTGCTATTCGCTTATTATGAACAGTGCTGGAATAAACGTTCCTGTGCACTCTTGGGCATACGCCTAGGAGTGGAACTGCTGGGTCAAATGGTGACTTTACGTTTAACGTTCTGAGGAGCCGCCAGGCGTTTTAACACAGTGACTGCACCATTTCACATTCCTGCCAACAATGTGTGAGAATTCCAATTTCTCTACATCCCCAACATTTTCCTTTAAAAAAAAGAAAAAAGAAACATAGCCATCTAAGTGGATGTGGAGCAGACTGTCCCTCTGGTTTGGGTTTGCGTTGCTTTTATGGCTCATGATGTCTGAGTCTCTCTCCATGTGCTCATGGGGATTCGTATATCTACTTTGGGAAATGCTTATTCAAGTCCTTTGTCCACATTTGACTGGGTTGCTTGTCTTTTTATTTCATTTACTACGATGACAGCCCCTACATGGAAGGATTTTGTTTTTGTAATCCCATTACCCCGAGGTGAGAATGAATTGCCAGTTGCTCAAGGCCTTCAGCTCTTAGGGAGGAGCCTGGACCTGGAGCTGCTCCGGGCTCTGGCAAAGCTCCAATCCCGGCCTCAGTCCTTGAGGCCTGGTCCTCACCCAGCTTTCTCCTTCCACCGTGCCATGGAGGAAGCCCGACCTCCCTGCACGGCTGGCCTGGGGTTGTTCACGACTGAGTCCAGGTGTCCCCAGAACGGATGTCACTGGTCACAGTGTTCCTGGTAATAGGTGACCCCAGGCACAGGGTGTTCCTGATCATAGGTAACCCAGGCACAGGTGTCCCAGTCACAGGTGTCTCCAGGCACAGGTGTCCCCAGTCACAGGTGTCCCAGGTCACAGGCGTCCCCAGGCACAGGTGTCCCTGGTCACAGATGTCCCCAGGCACAGGTGTCCCAGGCACAGGTGTCTCCAGGCACAGGCGTCCCAGGTCACAGGTGTCCCCGGTCACAGGTGTCCCTGGTCACAGGTGTCTCCAGGCACAGGTGTCCCTGGTCACAGGTGTCCCCGGTCACAGGTGTCCCAGGTCACAGGTGTCCCCAGGCACAGGTGTCCCCGGTCACAGGTGTCTCCGGTCACAGGTGTCCCCAGGCATAGGTGTCCCTGGTCACAGGCACCCATGGTCACAGGTGTCCCCAGGCACAGGTGTCCTGGTCACAGGTGTCCCAGTCACAGCTGTCCCCGGTCACAGGTGTCTCCAGGCACAGGTGTTCCCGGTCACAGGTGTCCCCAGGCACAGGTGTCCCGGTCACAGGTGTCCCCAGGCACAGGAGTTCCTGGTCACAGGTGTCCCCAGGCACAGGCAGCCACAGGAAGCCGATGCAGGGAACAGAGAGAAACAGAGACACAAAGAAAAGAGAGTGAGAGACAGAAGAAATGGGAAACAGAAATGGTTGGAGAAAAGCATCCAGTAGAGATGAAGAGAGAGGAAGAGGAGGAGGGGGACGGGCAGCAGAGACCCAGGGAGGCTGCAGTGCCTGGACCCCTCACCACACTTTCCATTCTGCCCTTCCTGGGGAAGACTTCCAGAAAAGTGGGCCAGGCTGAGGGGACGATGAGGACACAGAGGCCCCAGGGGAGGGAGGGAGGAGCGGGCCACCCGGAGGGGCTGTGGTCAGCTCAAAGCCTCTGGAGTCAAGGATAAATCCTCTGACCTTTGACCTCCGACCTCCCTCTCCTTGGCTCCAGGCTCCCCACACAGCTTTCCATGACCAAATCTTACAGGAAGCTGAAGGGCAGTCCGGTGAGGGTCTGTAAGTCACCGCCAGGGCACAGAACGGAGGTTGGCAGGGGAGGAGAGACCCCTGGGCTGCCGTCTGCCTTCACCCTGCACATCAGGCCTGTGTGGGGGTGTCACCATCCTTCACTCCCTGGCATCTGATCCAAGATTACGCCTGGCAGGGCCTCTCCTCTGGGATTAGCTCCGGGAAAGCTCCCATCAGTGAAGGGAGGGGCTCAGGCTCTGTGCACACAGGGGTGCCCCCTTCCAGGGAGGGAGCAGCTCTCCCACATGGCAGAACACTCATTTCCTGTCAGTGCTCTCCTGAGCACACAAGGATTAAACTGAGCAGCAAGCACTCCAGGTGGCCGAGAGGCCCTGGGGGATGGGCCCCTTGCCCTGGCCTCCCCTGCAAGGCAGCTCCCGCCCCGGGGCCCTGCCTCTGAGAGCGAGGTGTGCAGGCTCTTCCTATGGGCTACCTGGCCCATCCCCAGAACGGCCTGCACTGTCCCTCCCCGACCTGCACCCAGACATGGACACTCACCCTCCCCAACCCCTGAGACATTCAGGTCCACACTGGGGCCTGGGCCCCCTCAAGTTGCATGGGGACTGGGGTGCCTTGGCGCCTCTTCTGTGAGTATTCCTACACACAGAGCCTGCTTCCTCTCCAACCTGCACCTAAACATGGACACTCACCATCCCCAACCCCCGAGACTTTCAGGTCCACACTGGGGCCTGGGCCCCCTCAAGTTGCATGGGGACTGGGCTGCCTCGGCGCCTCTTCTGTGAGTGTTCCTACACACAGAGCCTGCCTCCTGTCCGGGTGATGTTGGGTCGTCCTCCGCCTCTGGGAGCACCTGCAGGGGCTGTTGCTCTGGGCTCCCTGGAGATGCAAGCCCCCGGGCCTGCCTGCCTGTTCTGTGTGTATTCACTAAGCCCATGCCAGCGGGGGTCTCCGCAAGAAACAGGCACAGGCTGTGAGGGGGCTAATGAGGCCTGACTTCTCCAGGGGCAGGCAGGACGGGAGCCCATGAGGGTTGCTGAGGACCCAGGGATGTGCACTGTGGGAAGCCACCACCACCCAGAAGCCGGCAAGGGCAAGGGAGAAGTTAGTGGTGCCAGAACATGGCTAAACGAGGCAGCCATGGAAAGGGGATGCAGACAGGAAGTGGAGAGGAAGGCGGTTCTCCAGGAGCCCTAGGACCTGCTCTGGGGCTGCTGCTGCTGAGCCCAACTGGGAACCAGAGCACAGGATAATGGTGACACTGGTGATGATGGCGATGGAGATGATTATGATGGTGATGATGATGGTGATGGTGGTGATGATGGTGATGATGATGGTGACGGTGGTGATGGTGATGGTGATGATGGTGATGATGGTGACGGTGGTGATGGTGCTGATGATGATGGTGATGCTGATGGTGATGGTGACGGTGATGATGATGGTGACGGTGATGATGGTGATGATGGTGATGGTGATGCTGATGGTGGTGGTGGTGATGATGGTGGTGATGATGATGATGATGATGGTGATGATGGTGATGCTGATGGTGATGATGGTGATGGTGATGATGGTGATGATGATGGTGATGGTGATGATGATGATGGTGATGGTGGTGATGATGGTGATGGTGATGATGATGATGGTGATGGTGATGATGATGGTGATCGTGATGATGATGATGGTGATGGTGATGATGGTGATGCTGATGGTGATGATGATGATGATGATGATGATGATGATGATGATGATGATGATGATGATGATGATGATGATGATGATGATGATGATGATGATGATGATGATGATGATGATGATGATGATGATGATGATGGTGGTGATGATGGTGATGGTGATGATGATGATGGTGATGATGGTGATGCTGATGGTGATGATGATGATGGTGATGGTGATGATGGTGATGATAGTGACTGTGATGGTGATGATGGTGATGGTGGTGATGATGGTGATGGTGATGGTGACTGTGATGGTGATGGTGGTGATGGTGATGGTGGTGATGATGGTGATGATGGTGATGCTGATGGTGATGATGATGGTGATGGTGATGATGGTGATGATGGTGACTGTGATGGTGATGATGGTGATGGTGGTGGTGATGATGATGGTGATGATGGTGATGGTGATGGTGGTGATGGTGATGATGGTGATGGTGATGATAGTGATGATGATGGTGATGATGGTGATGCTGATGGTGATGATGGTGATGATGCTTATGATGATGGTGATGATGGTGATGGTGATGATGATGATGGTGACTGTGATGGTGATGATGGTGATGATGGTGATGGTGATGATGGTGATGGTGATGGTGATGCTGATGGTGATGATGGTGATGGTGATGCTGATGGTGATGATGGTGATGGTGATGGTGATGATGGTGATGATGGTGATGGTGATGGTGATGGTGATGATGGCAATGGTGATGATGGTACTGATAATGATGGTGATGCTGATGATGATGGTGATAGTGCTGTTATTTAATCCAGTTCAGATTCCTAGTTAGGCTCCCCTGTTTCTCCTCAGGCACACTGTGGGTCACTGGCTGGTATGTATGGGTGGTCAGAATGCCTGTGTCCAATCTGTGTTGTACTCTTTTTCTCAAAGAGAACTCAGCTATGCTTTCACAAGGAGGGGGTTGTGGGAGGAAGAGTCTGCCAGGAGAGAAAGCTGGATATGCTGGCACCAGGAAAGAGCCTCTTAGTTTACTGTCCCCAGGCAGCATCCCCATCCACATCTGAGCTCACCTTCTGGGTGCTTGCCCAGGGGGCCTTTTGAATCTCAGCATCTCTGGAACAAGACTAAGGCTGGGAGACATCTGGAGTGGAGTTTCTGTCCAGCAATGGCAAGTTCCCTGCTGAAGCTGAGAATGGGGAAGGCATGGCTCTCAGGGCTGAGCGCCCTTGTGCTGGGCGGTTCACCCGTCAGCAGGAAGGGGGAGGGCACTTTGCTCTTCATGGTCAGCCTTATGCTGTGGGGATTTCCTGAAGAGCGCACCTTAGTATTTTGCCACCCAGCTTCCAGTCATTCTTTGGGTTAATCAAGAATGCATTCAGCTGCAAGTATTAGAAAACCTAGTAATTAAGCAACAAAGGCTTTTGATTCTCTTAATCAGAAGCTCCGAGTTACAGTATTTGAGGCTGGTTAACCAGTTCACCCATGTTTTCAGGGGTTTGCTCTGCCATCCTCAGGGTGTTAGATTTTTACCTAACTGTTTTGGTGAGGTATAACACACTAACAGAAAAATGCACAGCTCCTTGAATTCTCACAAAATGTTGTGTGTTACATGTTACAAATGTAACAATCAGGAAATAGAATATTACTAGCAGTGTTGGCTTTTGTTTCTCCTACTTGATGTCTTATTGACCCAACAAGGCTGCTGCAGCTCCAGGCATCATGTCCACATTCCAGCACCCTGTGCAGAGAGGCAAGTAAGCAGTGGTGTAGCAGCCAGAGCTCCCACCTGGCTTCTCAAATCTCATTGACCAGAAGAGTGTCTCATGGCATTGCTTGTGGTGAAGGAAGCTGGGAAAGTGGAAATCAGGCAAAGGGGATGGATTTACTGTGACTGTCTCAACCCAAATAGAATTCATCACAAGGCTGGGGGATGGAGTCTATCTTTCCTGAGACCAAGAGGTTTCTGCCTCTTATTGGAACAAAACTGGGGTTCTCTGAGCAGGACAGAGGAGGCGCGGGTGGCTACGTGGTGGGCAGTAGCACTGTGTACCATGCCCTGCCTTTGGCAACAGTTTCCCATTTTCCTCTGGGAAACGCTGCTCTCCTGTGTTCCGCCCATGAAGTTAGGGAGGTTCAACTCCATCCTTGGGTCCAGGTGTGAGTGTGTCCCTTAGGCGTTGCCAGTGGGAGCACCCCGTTCCTCTTTGCCCCACGATTGGCCCAGTCTTGGGGCATGGCCCAGGACCTCGATGGCAGTGAGTGGAATAAAGTTCCCTCCTTCCCTCAGGTCTTGGGGCAGGAGGTGTAGGCTTGGGTTTTTGTGTGCTCGCATGGAGGATGGTGGGCAAAGACACAGAGAGACAAAGACCGGAGGACACCGGTAGCCTCTGGATGCATCCATACTTGAAGCTGACGCTGCTCATGGACTTCACAGATGCACGGTTCATTGCATTCCCTCACTGCGTAAGCTGAGTTTTCTGCCACAGGCCACATCTTACTGGAAGAATGCTGTCTGGAATGCCACTATCACCTACCAGAGCTGAGGGAGCCACAGAAGGGGGATGCGACCCAGTTCTCCAGCTCCTGGGCCTCGAGCCCTGATCCTCCCTCCCCAGGCTCCTGGCGGCCCCTCACTCAGGGCTGAGGCCACGAACTGCCTGCTCAGGTCAGGAGACAGACTTGAGGGGTCTGGCACCCACAGCTGTCAGGAACCAAGCTGTCCTTTTCTTTGTTTATACATCAAATATTTCCTGAGCTGCCCTGAACTCCAGCATTTATCTCAGGTTATGGAGAACCCACAGGTGAACGAGCTTCCAGACACCCGTGTCTCTGAATGTTCCTTTTTTGCTGTTGCTGCAAATGGCAGACACCCAACTTTAACTTCAACTGACTTGGGCAGAAAAAGGGCCACACTGGAAGGATCCTGGAGGTTGTCCAATTGGAGGAAGGCTGAACAAAGAACTCCTCAGGAGGTCAGGTGTGGGTGGGCCTCAGGAGCAGCTGGAAGGGGGGTGCAAACGTGCTTCATGCGGTTAGGACTTGTTTTGTTTTTTGTTTGTTTGTTTTGAGATGGAGTCTCGCTCTGTCACCAGACTGGAGTGCAGTGGTGCGATCTCGGCTCACTGCAACCTCCACCTCCTGGGTTCAAGCAATTCTCCTGCCTCAGCCTCCTGAGTAGCTGGGACTACAGGCACGTGCCACCACGCCTGGCTAATCTTTGTATTTTTAGTAGAGACAAGGTCTCACCATGTTGGCCAGGCTGGTCTCGAACTCCTGAGATCCAGGTGATCTCGCCCGCCTCGGCCTCCCAAAATGCTGGGATTCCAGGCATGAGCTGCCGTGCCTGGCCTATGGTTAGGAATCCGTAGCTGCTTTTGCTGCTGCGTCCCTCTGTCTCTCTGTCCCGTGTCTTTCCAGGCACAGCCTCTTCCCAGGCGGCGTGAAATATGGAAACGTGCCCTACAGCACCCCCTGTTGGAGAGAGGTGAGCTTTCTTCCACAACCTGGTTCCAAAGTCCCAGGGAAGGGCTCTGATTGGCTTAAACAGCAGTGTTGTTGAGATACGTATAATTCACATACACGATTTACCCATTTAAAGTGTAAGATTCAGAAGTTTTTGGGATTATTTTTTAAGAATTGTAAAATATATATGGCATAAAATGTGCCATTGTAACCGTTGTGAACGTGCCTGGAGTGGCCTTAATTCCAGTCACACTGTTGTGCCGTCACTGCCACCATCTGTTTCTGAGTCTTTTTCATTGCCCCAAAAAGAAACCCTGTGACTGTTAACCAATAACTCTCCATTCCCTCCTCCGCAGCCCCTGCTGGCAATGGATAATTTTTTGGTTTCATGCACCTTTTGGGATGAACTCATGTGAAAAATCACTGTTTTGGCCAGGTGCAGTGGTGCACGCCTGTAATCCCAGCACTTTGGGAGGCCGAGGTGGGCGGATCACGAGGTCAGGAAATCGAGACCATCCTGGCTAACATGGGGAAACCCCGTCTCTAGTAAAAATACAAAAAATTAGCTGGGCGTGGTGGTGGGTGCCTGTAGTCCCAGCTACTTGGGAGGCTGAGGCAGGAGAATGGCGTCAACCCGGGAGGCGGAGCTTGCAGTGAACCGAGATTGCGCCACTGCACTCCAGCCTGGGTGACAGAGTGAGACTCCGTCTCAAAAAAAAAAAAAAAAGAAAAGAAAAAAAGAAAAATCACTGTGTTTCTCTGACGTTCTAATTTAATTGGTTATCCTGTCTTTTACCCGGCAACTCTGCCTAGCAGGGGGTGGGGGCCGTGAGCCACAGCACCCTCCATAACACAGTCTGCTGCTTTGGGCCCAGCTTAGGGGGCTGAAAGGTGAGGCCTGGGTGAGCACAGGGTCCACACGGTGGTCCGGCATGGTGGCAAGGCCAGGGAGGGCCTGCCTGGGATAGAGGTGCGAAAGGGGGAGAGACAGGCGGAGAACGCTGCACACTCAGCACTCGGCTCTTTGCTGGAGACTGGGTTTTCTCTGGTTGGTTTTTGTGTTCATGAGTGTCGTGGGCACTGGATGCCCCCCCGACCCTCCCCACTGCTGGGAACGCTGGGACGTCACTGCATGTGTCCTCAGCCGTGTCCTCCCCAGGACTGCCCTCCGCTGCAGAGAGCCCCCCTGCACAAGGTTACACCCCTCCCAAGGTGGTCTCAGCCTGGGGCAGTGCTGACAGCGTCTCAGCCCAGGGCGTCCTGTGGGTCGGCCGGGCCGGTTGGGTCAGCTGCACTCTACACACCCTGCCTTCCTCACCTCCTACATCTGCCTCCTAAGATCACGCCCTGATAAACCTGCTCCCAGCCCAGCTCCTTCGCAGGGCCTGTCTCCAGGAGATCCAAGCTAAGACCCGAAGTACGTGGGCGGCTTTGGGAGTTTTGCTTTCTGTGGCTCCTCCGGCCGCTGCTTCCACGGTGACGGGCCTGAGATGGGCTGGCTGCTGCCTCTGGCCTTTCCTCATGTCCGCCGCTGTCCGCGTCTGCTTTTTAAACATAGATAGGATCATGCTTTGAGTTTATAAAGGGACAAAAATGTCCTGTGCCTTCCAAAGGTTCAGCAGACACAAAAGCCTTTGTGTGCTGAGCAGTGCGGAATAGAACTAGACCACACAAAACTGGAGAAATCGGGCTGGGCGTGGTGGTGGCACCTGTGGTCCTAGCTACTCCGAAGGCTGAGGCCAGAGGACGGCTTGAGCCCAGGAATTCCAGACTGCAGTGAGCTAAGATCGCACCTGCACTGCAGCCTGGGGGACAGAGCAAGACCCTGTCTCTGAAAGAAAAAAAAAAAAAAAAAAGGAATTTCAAGAGAAATTTGATAAAACCCATCACAGGGGAGGCATCCTGCCCTCTCCGGACAGGACAGGTGCGGTGGCCATTGGCCATTCTTTGCCTACCCAGCATCTGAACCCATATCCTGTGTAGGGAATTCTCCACCTCACGGGCAGGTGGGACGCAGAGGCAGTGTCTTGCTGTTAAAGCCAAAAGTGTGATGCTCAGTTTCCTGCCCCCCAACCCCTGAGGTCCCAGGGGCCTGTCCCAGGCTCAGCTTTCGGGCACCACCACTCCTGGACAATGAGCTGGGAGCGGACGGCATGGAGGGTGCACTGTGGTGGGGTGGACCCAGCAGAGTGCAGCCGGGGCCTGAGGCCAGCACAGGGCTGAGGTGCTGCTGGCAGCGTTCATATTTGCACTCAGCCACTAACCCCAACAGATCACTCCATCCCTCGGCCTCAGTCTCCTCACCTGTAAAGGGGGAGGATAGCAGCACCTCCCTCGTGGATGCTGCAAAGACCAGATGAGTTAAAGAAGTGTGGAGAAGAGTGCCAGACACACAGGGAATGCTACGTGTGTGTGGGAAATGCTCAATCAATACTGACAGCACACAGAATGTTTGAAGGAGCGGAAACCGGATTCGATATATACCTGTATTCATAAGGCTGAGATTTCAATACGTATCTGCATCTCTCTCTACTTAAGATATGAAGCTTCACAGCCATCTGTCCACCCACCTGCCCGCCCAGCCACATCACCCGCCCATCCACTCACCCGCCCACTCGCTCACCCATCACCCACCCACCCGTCCACCCACCTGTCCACCTACCCACCCGTCCATTCACCCACCCACCCACTCACCCACCCACCCGCTCACCCGCCCGTCCACCCACCTGGTCACCTACCCACCCGTCAACTCACCCACCCACCCGCTCACCTGCCCGTCCACCCACCCGTCCACCTACCCACCCGTCCACTCACCCACCCACCCGCTCACCCACCCACCCGCTCACCTGCCTGTCCACCCACCTGTCCACCTACCCACCCGTCCACTCACCCACCCATCCGCTCACCTGCCCATCCACCCACCTGTCTACCTACCCACCCGTCCACTCATCCACCCACCCACTCACCCGCCCGTCCACCCACCCACCCACTCACCTGCCCGTCCACCCACCTGTCCACTCACCCACCCACCCGCTCACCCGCCCATCCACCCACCTGTCCACCCAATCCACTCACCCGCCCATCCACCCACCTGTCCACCCAATCCACTCATCCACCCAGCCACTCACCCGCCCGTCCACTCACCCACCCACCCACTCACTCGCCCGTCCACCCACCCACCCATCCACTCCCGCACCCACCCACCCACCCAGCCATCCACTCACCTGCCCGCCCGCCCACCCAGCCACTCACCCGCCCATCCACCCACCTGCCCGCCCGTCCACCCACCCACCCACCCACTCCCCCGCCCGTTCGAGCCCAAGGACTGGGGGGCGTGGAAGCCAACGGAGCCCTCTCTCCCGACGCCTCACCATGTGAGAGCTTCCTGTGGCTGCCGGAGCAAGTGACCGCAACGCCGCACAGATTTATCATCTCGCAGCTCTGGAGGTTGGAAGCCCAGTGTGGGGCGAGCAAGGCCGGTTCTGCTGGGGCCTGGGGAGGACCCGCCGCCTGCCTCGTCAGCCCCAGGAGTGGCCCGTCCGGGCCAGGCCCTCCCTCCGTCTTCAGAGCCTCGGCGGCCGCAGAGACTCCCTGCAGCGTCTCCCGGCCTCGTCTCCTGCCTCCTCCTCCCCATTCGAGGACCCTTGTGATTGCACTGGGCCCACGGATAATCCGGGTAATTGTGTTTTAAGGTCAGCTGATTAGCAGTTTTTCCATCTGCAGCCTTAACTCCCCCGCCCGGTAACCCGACACAGGCGCAGGCTCTGGGGATTAGCACGGCGGCCACGTCTGACCTCCATCCAGCACGAGCTCCCTTCTCCACGCAGAGGCACCTTCTTGGGTGCTGGGGCCGGGATGAGACTGGTCTGGGGCACGACTCAGCCTCATCAAGTCCTGGGGACAGCACCCAGCACCAGGAGCTCCACACCCCCCGGCCAGGTGGTCCTGCTCAGCCTGGGGTGAGGGCAGGAGCTGTCTCCTCACTCTGCTCCACAGGACCCTCAGCCACACCAGGCCTCTCGCCCCCATGGACCCCTCGCCCTGTGGGGCCCTGACCTCTTCTCTGGCAGATGAGTGCGCTGGGGTCCAGCGTCTGAACCTCACTTCTGCTGTGAGACTGTGAACACCTGTGCTTGCCGAGGGTCTGTGAGCCTCAGGTGCAGGGAGTTGCTGTCTAGGCCCCTCTGCTGAGCTCCCCGGGTCACCTCTGTGTCGGTCATCAGCTGCTCAGCTGGGCGGAGGTCTCACCTGGCCTCACTCACACATTGGGAGCTGTTGCCGGCTGCCGCACGGTTCCTCTCACGCAGCCCTGAGTCCCCAGGGCTTCCACGGCACGAAGGGAGAGTGGACGGCCTCCCGAGGTCATGCCCCATCCTAAGGTCAAAGCCAGATGCCAGGGCAGCTCTGACTGGAGGGGAAGCAGACCCCGCACTGAGCTCCATGTTCATACACACACACACAGATTCGTGCACACCCACTCACACCCGTGTTCACACACACGCGCCCACAGGCACACAAGCGCACACACATCCACACACACACGTCCAAATGCACTGCGGCAATGCACATGCATACATATCCACACGCATCACACACGTCCACACACACACGTCCAAATGCACTGATGCAATGCACATGCATACATATCCACACGCATCACACACGTCCACACACACATGCAGACACCACACGCACACGTCCACATGCACACATCCATGTTCACACACACGTTCACATGCACACACGCGCACACACATCCACACACACACGTCCAAATGCACTGCTGCAATGCACATGCATACATATCCACATGCATCACACACGTCCACACACACATACGCACACACATGCACACACACATCCACATGCACATGCATCCACTTGCATACACATGCCCACATGCACACATCCATGTTCACATGCACACACACGTTCACATGCACAGACGCACACACACACAAGTCCACACACACATGCAGACACACCACACGCACACGTCCACATGCACACATCCATGTTCACACACACACGTTCACATGCACACACACGCACACACACACAAGTTCACACACACGTCCAAATGCACTGACGCAATGCACATGCATACATATCCACACGCATCACACACGTCCACACACATACGCACACACATGCACACACACATCCACATGCACACGCATCCACTTGCATACACACGCCCACATGCACACATCCATGTTCACACACACGTTCACATGCACACACATGCACACACACACAAGTTCACACACACATGCAGACACAACACACGCACACACATCCACATGCACACACATATGTCCACACGCACACACATCCACATACATGTTCACACACGTTCACATGCACACATACACAGGGTCTGCTGTTGGCAGGCATAACTCATGGATCCTAGACCTTTCTGTGGTCCCCAGTCGGTGTCTGTCCAGGTGCTGCTGTGAGGTTGGAGCTACTGCCCCCGGCTGTTCCTGGTGGCCCTGACCCCACTCTCCTCAGCCTGGGCCTCTGACCAGGGTCAACAGCTTCCTCTCCCCTGGCAGTGTCTGCTCCTTGGAAACCAGGGGTCCCCCTGACCTGCTGCCCCTCCCAGAGGTCGTGCCCAGACCTGCATCGTCCCCACTGGACTCTGCTCTCAGAGGGTGACAGATTCCCCCATGTTTACCTGGGACCCCCACGGCCCACTTCGTCTTGGGGAACACGGGTGGCTGGTCACCCTGGCTCCCACCCCATCTGCAACCGGCTACCCCTGGCCTTCCAGTTGCTGGCTTAGCATGGAGGAGAGCCCTGGGGTGGCCGCAGCCTCCCCCAGCTGCCCCCTGCACGGCCGGGCTGCTCAGAGCTGCCTCTGGCCTCAGACTCCCCGGGAGATGCAGAACCCACTTCCTCACCCTGCCCACCCTCCAAGCTGCCTGCCTGGAAGCCAAAGGCAGCCCTCACTCTTACCACAGAGAAGAGCAAACTCAGGGAGGGACGCTGGGCAGAGGGAGGGGCTCCAAGGACACAGGGGTTGGGGGAGGGGTCTAAATAGCATCTGGTCAGAGGAGGCCGGTGCTGGTACCCTGTGCAGCCCAGTGCAGCACCTCCCCCAGAATAAAAGCCAAATCCTCCTGCGACCACACCCCAACACTCATCACATCTACCCCAACCCTAATCCCAGCACTAACCCTAAACCTGACACCACTGCCCCCTCACCCCCAACACCCATCACATCTACTCCAACCCTAAACCTAACACCCCCGTTCCCTCAACCCCCACACCCATAACATCTACCCCAACCCTAATCCTAACATCCCCGCCCCCTCACCCCCAACACCCATCACATCTACTCCAACCCTAATCCTAGCGCTAACCCTAAACCTAACTCTCTCCCCGCTCACCCGCCAACACCCATCACATCTACCCCTAACCCTAATCCTAACAACACCCACGCCCCTCACCCCCACCACCAATCACACCTAACCCTAACCCCTAACTGTCCCTCCTCAGGACCTAAGACTGGCTGTCTCCTTGGCGCCAAGAGCTGTTCCGCCTGACTCCATCCATCTCTCTTCTTCTGGCCCATGAACTCAGACACGGCCTTCCCAGGAGGCCCGGGCTGGGGGTGGGGGGCAGAGTCGGCCACAGCTGTCTTGTGTCCCTGGCTCCGAGCAGGCATCTCTCCACCCCATCACTGCTGACCAAGCCTGCTGTGCTCTGCCCAGCCCCTGGGATGCACTTGGGATGGTTAACTAGCTAGTTTCCTTGGCAGGGTGCAGGCCAAGCACCCAGAGGGAGCGGCAGGGCTGCGGGATGCTCCCCTCCACCTCAGGGCCTGCCACCTGCAGGCTGAGCCCGGGCACCGATGCCAGCAGCCCTCCAGCCCCAGCCCTAAGGCCCGGCTCCCCAGGGCCAGGGAGGTTAATTGGAGCAGCAGGCCTGGAGCCACTGCAGGGCTCCTGGCTCCAATCAACCTCCCCGTGTGAGGAGTAACAAAGCCCCAAAGGCGTTGGCCGGTCACCTCAGCCCCACAAACCGCAGGCACTCACTTCCCGGCTCATGACGGATTCTGGAATTCAGTTACATCAGCCGCCCTCTGGCTCCTGGGTTCCTGGAGAGGCTGGCCCAGGAAGGTGATCAGGAGCCCGGCTGGCGAGCCTGGCCTGACAGCAGCCTGGGAGACCCTTGGCCACGGAGGCTGCCCCCCACCCCCCGACAGGACCCAGACCTCCCTGGAGCTGGGAGGCACCACAGACATGTGGGACACAGCCGTGAACCGGAGACGAGCCCTGGCTTGGGGGGTTGCAGTCTGGGCAGGAGGCACAGTGGGTGGAGGCACTGGCGGTCAGTGCCCTTCAAGGCTGTGGAGTGCCGGGGAGGGCGTGAGCAATGCCTCACGGGGTGACCAGGATGTCTCCGTGAGGTGATGGTAGAATGAGGAGGTGCGGGGAGATCCTGGCATATTGGGGTGCAGGGAGGGGCACACAAGCCAAGGAGCAGCCAACGCCAGGCCTGAGGATGGAGGGCTGCAGCGTGTGAGGCCCCTCCGGGAGGTGTGGTGGCTGGGGGGCAGTGTGATGGGGCCAGCGGGGGCAAAGTGGCAAAGGCTGCCCCATCAGGATGTTGGCTTGCTCTGTGGGGGACGGCGCACTGGGTTGAAGAGTGTCCCCGAAATTCACCAGGATGAACTCAGAACGTGGCCTCGTTTGGATGGGATTAATGAAGGGGAGGTCAGTGAGGGGTCTGTCCGCAGGGCCGCAGGGTCCAAGCACACCTGCTCCTGGGAGTTGCTTTCAAAGCTGGGCCAGAGGAACAGGTGGCAGTTCAAAGGTGCCAGAGAGTAACCAAGGCAGCTGGGACTTGAGGGGTGACGGCCCCAAGGAGGAGGAGGAGACCTCATTTCCCTGAGGCAGCCTCAGGTTTCCTGGCAGTCAGAGCTGGGAGGGAAGAACTTGCATCAGGCTTTCTGTTGATGCCCTTGAATGCCGCAGCCTGGGAGTGAGGGGGACCAGAGGAGAGCAGCCTCATGCAGACCGGCGGCCTCCAGTTCCCGCCCTCGTGGAGACTGGCGGCCTCCAGTGGTCCCGGCCCTGATGGGGTCATGGCAGTCGACCCCTAACCCTAACTACCATCCTAAAGAAAAGCAACTCATCTCCAGAGGAAGACAACATCACCCAAGCCCACTGTAAATGTGTATTCACAACGCCAAGCATTCAATCAAAAATATCCAGGCATGGGGGTGACAGGACCAGGTAATAAGGCCAGCAGCAGCAGCAGAGGAAAGTCAATAGAAACAGACGCAGCAGCGACGGGAGTTTAAAACAGCAGCATCGGTGTATTCAAGACAATATGTAAGAGGGAGAATTTCATCAGAGAATTGGAAATCGTGACAAAAGAATCATGGACATTTTAAGACTGAAACACGCCGTAGGTGGAGTTCAAACCCCCGAGAGGGTTTGACGGCCCCTCTGGCCTGTTGTTCCTCTTCCCTGAGTATGTGTGTATCTGTGTGCGTTTCTGCCTCCCTCTTCACGGTCATCCCCTCTCTGTGTGTATCTGTCTCTCCTCTCTTATGACACCAGTCATTGGATTTAGGGCCCACCCCAATCCAAGATGACCTCATCCTCACTTCACATCACACCTGCAGAGGCCACGTTCCGAGGTTTCAGTGGATGCGAATTTGGGGAAACACCACTGGATCCCGTGCAAATGCCCTCCCCTCTAGCTGGGCTGTGGCCACACCACGCCAGCCTCATGGCCTCCTCCTCATCTCTGCCTTGACCGATGCGGGCCGGGAACCCTCCTCAGAGCGCAGACCCCGTCCTCTGTGGGCCACAGGCTGTGCACTCAGGGGCTGCCCTCCCACTGCAGCCAGGGTGGGCTGGCCCCTCCACCTGGGAATCCAAATTAGGAGTAATGAGGGGGATGTGGCTGAAGTGTGGCAGGATTTAGGGCACAGAACCCGGGGAAATCACTAAAACCGTCCCCAGCGTGGACGGCGGGGAAGAGACAGGTCCGGCAGCGTGAGATGGAAGAGTCGCGCAGCAAGACCCCTGTTCGGGAGAATGGATGCCCCCGCCCGCCCTCCGCCCTCTGCCTTCCAACCTCCACCCCCGACCCTCCGCCTTCCTGTGGCTGCTCCTCACTGGCCCAGCCCAAGAGGACGTCAGAGGGTGAGGGGCCATCCCAGACCACCCTGCAGGACTCGCGTGGCCTGATGAGCTGTGGGGGGGACTCTAAGCTCCCGCCCCTGCTTGGCGTCCTCCCCTCCCTCCCCGAAGCCTCCAGGGTCAGGGAACACCCGGCGGCCCTGCCAGCCCCTGCCCCGCCCTGGAGAGTCGCCGTCTGTGTCACCCGCGCCACAGAAAGGAAGTCAGCGCAGCCTGGGACAACCCCCCAGAGGGGTCACTGGCAGGTGTGGGCCCTCCAGATGCCTCGCGGGCCAGTGACAGCAGGAGGGGAGACTGGGAGGACACCCCAGCCGCACAGAGGGTGCCCTGGCCCCTCCTGGATGCCCTGAGCTGGTCGGGGTCTCAGAACCTGCTCTTCCTCGGCCCCCCAGGGCTGGAGCAGGGGGCTCAGCTGGGCTCGATCATGGGAGTTTCCCCTCTGGCCTGCACTGGAAAACCCAGCACAGCCAGGAAGAGATGGGCCCCTCCCTGCAGAAGCCGGGCGGGCGTGCTGGGCTCCGCGTGGGCAGCTCCCCAAACGGGCCTTGGGGGCCTCCCTGAGGGGATTCAAGGCTGTGTAGCTCCTGGGGGGCTGCCATGGGGCCAGCAGAGGAGGAGGGGAGGGAGGGAGTGGCCACACCTGCGCTGATGCTGCCTGGCCCTCCCTGTCGGACCATGACCCTCATCAAGGAGGGGTCCAGCCTCAGGGACTGAGATGGCTGAGCCCCTACATCAGCCCAGGGACCCTGGGAGAAGCCTCCCCCATTCAGATGGCCCTGCTTGGAAAATCAGCAGCTGCAGGCTAAGGCCGAGGGCTCCAAGGCACTTCATTAACCTCCTCTGGGGCTTCTCATTGCCTTTCCAGGAGGAGCAAAAGCAGCTGTGTTTGATTTTGGAGGATTTTACTGTGTGTGCGACTCTCCTGGACCGGCAGGCACCAGACCACCAGATGATTACGAGGTGATGGAGCCTCCCGGCCTGGGGAGCTGGGCCCTGCCGGCTCAGCTCACCCCGCAAGCAGGTCTGTGTGCCCTTGGTCACTCCAGGCCCACCCGGGGCCCCAGGCAGCTTGGGACGAGGACTCTGAGACATGTCTGGGAAGACTGCCTGTGCAAACTGGGGCCTCCCGCCTGCCTGGCGCGGCTCCGAGCACCCCCAGCGGGTTAACACTTCATTACCAAGGAAATCAATTTTCCTCCGCAGAGCTGCTGGCAGAAAAGCGCTTCTCCCTGGCAGCTTAGGAGGGCTTAGCCTGCAACTCCACCCTGAGCGTTCACTGCCCCCACCTCGAGCTGGTTGTTTCTGGGACCAAGGCTGGGGGAAAGGGACTTCGGGAGAGGTCGGGAGGAGCCGGGCCTGGGCCTTCCTGGGCTGTAAAGCTGCGAGATGGACAGGCAGGGACTGTGTGATGCAGGCAGGTATCCGGGAACGCCAGGGGATGCATTTACATGGCATTAGGTATTACAAATCATCCAGAGATGACTGAAAGTATTGGGAGAAGGTGGGTAGGCTCTATGCAAATACCAGGCCACTTTATACCAGGGCCTTGGGAACCTGCTGATTTCAGGATCCAAGGGCGGTCCTGAAACCAATCCCGAGGATATCGAGGGATGACTATACTGCAAGTGGATTAAACGCTTAAGTGTGAAAAGTGAAACTGTAAAAAAAAAAATTTAATTGAACATTTACTATGTACCAGACACAGTTCTAAGCACTTTCAAAGCAACAGTGAACACAGCACATGCTCTCTGCCCTCCTGGGGCCCCCGGAGGTTGGTGGGGAGATATGAGCCGCGGTCATCACAGGTAAACACATCACTCAAATAAGTCAAGGGGAAGTGGGGTGCCGGGAGGGGCAGGCTGCATTTACGCCTTACCTAAAATATGCTTGCCGCAGGGAAGGTGACATTTCAGCAGACTTGAAGGAACTAGAGATATCGATGGAGGTTTCATCCTGAAACCCGAAACTAGAATGCAAGAAAATATGTTTTGTTTATTTATGAAACTGGGTAGTGTTAATTACAACACTTCATTTTTAGAAAGAAACACAATGAATCTACAGCTGATTTTTGGAAGTTGCTTTTCAGACAAAAATGGTTGAATGCCACGACATAACAGCCTTTATTTGTGACTTTCAAAGCATGCTCCAAGCGGGGCAATTTTTGAAAGAAAAAAAAAAGGTAAGTTTATTGAATTTCCTAAGCACTTCTCTCTTTTTAAAAAAATAAATTTTTCAGCCAGGTGCGGTGGCTCACGCCTGTAATCCCAGCACTTTGGGAGACCGAGGCAGGCGGATCACCTGAGGTCAGGAGTTCGAAACCAGCCTGGCCAACATGGTGAAACCCCATCTCTACTAAAAATACGAAAATTAGCTGGGTGTGGTGGCATGTGCCTGTAATTCAAGCTACTCAGGAGGCTGAGACAGGAGAATCGCTTGAGCCTGGGAGGCAGAGGTTGCAGTGAGCCGAGATTGTGCCACTGCACTCCAGCATGGGCAACAGAGCAAGACTCCGTCTCAAAAAAAAAAAAAAAAGGGCGGGTGCAGTGGCTCACACCTGTAATCCCAGCACTTTGGGAGGCCGAGGCGGGCATATCACAAGGTCAGGAGATCGAGACCATCCTGGCTAACACAGTGAAACCCCGTGTCTACTAAAAATTAGAAAAAATTAGCCGGGCGTGGTGGCACGCGCCTGTAGTCCCAGCTACTCAGGAGGCTGAGGCAGGAGAATGGCTTGAACCCGGGAAGCGGAGCCTGCAGTGAGCCGAGATCGCACCACTGCACTCCAGCCTGGGTGACAGAGCGGGACTCCGTCTCAAAAGAATGAAATAGGGTCATCAGAGGGTGAGCTTATTTAGAAATAGGGCCGTGTCGCAGATGTGATGAGCAAAGATGAGGCCATCCTGGACTGGGGTCCTTCCACAAGGGGAGATTGCCAAGTTATCCTCAAGCCAAGGAACTTTTGGAAGCCGGAGGGAGGCTTGTGTAAGTCTCCCAGTTTGGGATGATTCAGTCTGTAGCTCGGGGCCAGTCCAGATTCATCAAGGGAGAAGCCAGCACAAGGGGCGGCCACCCTCTCACTCAGTGACCCTTAGCTCCACGTGAAAACACACTCAATCTCCAGAGACCTCGGCCTCTCATTCCGCTGCATCCTCAGGCCCAGGCTTGGAGTCCTTGATCATATCAGAACGAGGGCTGGGGAGGAGGCCCTCAGCGTCTCTCACCCACATCTCCATCTGAGGAACTGAACTAAGAAGCCTGGGATCACAGGCGTGCACTTCTCTGGGGCCCTAGACCCAATATGCGATGACAAGGCAGGGGCGGGACGAACACGCCGACACCCCCGTTCAAACAGCAGGGACAGGAGGAGCAGACACGGTTGGCAGAAACCTGAGCTCCAGCCAGGTCCACACCAGCAGCTTCTAGGTGAGCACCGCCTGCTCCTAGGAGCTGACTCTTTGTGACCCCAGGCTGTGTCTCCTGGGCTCTTGGCTGAGGTCAGAGTTAAGGTCCCTCTTCTGCAAGAGGTGGCCTGTGCTTGTGGCCGGGCAGCTTCTCAGCCTGCCTCCTGAGCATAAAGAGGCCTGTTTCCACACCGAGCCGCCTCTCTCTGACGGCACTTCCACAACAGAGCTCTCTGCAGAAACCCTGTGTGTCTCCTGCGGGCGTGACTGAGTTAACCCACACCTGCTCGCTGGGGCAAGCTCTTGTCTCCTTGGGCTGAGACCCAGGAGGCTGCGGAAGGGCGCCCTCGAGGTTCCCAGAGGCCTGACTGTATCGAGTCTAAAAGATAGCTTGTGAATCTTGCAAATCTCAATAAAGCTGCTTCAGCCACGCCTTTGAGGTCTTCACCCTTAGGCCAGAGGCCATTTCTCACTTTGAGAACCTGGTACTGGCTTAAAAGACTGTCCTGGGCCCTCTTGATTCCTCCAGATTCTGCAAACTCAACGGCTCCTCACGTGCCTGCCCCCCACCTCCCCGCCCCCAACTTCAGCCTCTGTCTAGACAGGTCCTCGCAGGGCCACGACCTTCCCCGCAGCCAGAGGTGGTGCCACCCCAGCGCTCCGCCTGCCCTCAGCGGGGGTCTCCTTCCCATCCTCCTCCCCAGCCTTCCCACCATCCCCCGTAGACTCCTGGAGGCCCCCAGGTTCTGCGTGACTCCAAAGGTGACAGCACATATTTGGGGTGCTAATCATGGTGGCACCCCATTTCCTGGCACCCACTTCTCACTCGTAAGATGGCTTCTCAGGATGGTGCCTCCCCAGACGCACGGACTCTGGGCCTGTGTAGCCAGTGGCATGAGCTGGAGGTGGCAGACTGTGACTCTGAGACGGCGTCTTAGTAGCCCTGGAACTCCTGCCTCAGCTTTGTGGGATTTGTCCTAGGGGAGGCCAGCTGCCTGCCAAGAAGCTTGATGACCCTGGCAGCCATGCTGTGAGGGGGTCCAAGCTGAGCGTGGAGAGGCTACTCAGAAAGAGATGCTGGACAGCTCCAGCCTGCATTTGCTGCAACCACACTGGAGACCCTAGGCAGGAAGCACCCAGCGCAGCCCAGTCAACTCCAGAGCCCTGAGCACTCACGGTAGATTGCTATTTAGGCCATCAAGCTCCGGGGAGGCTTATTTATTTATTTATTTATTTATTTTTGAGACGGAGTCTTGCTCTTGTTGCCCAGGCTGGAGTGCAATGGTGCAATCTCGGCTCATGGCAACCTCCACCTCCCGGGGAAGTTTATTACGTAGCAGGAGATAACTAAAAGAAAGTGCATTTTGTTACATTTTGTTGGCTGATGGGTACATTGTCAACAAAGCTGTGCCGGGATTGCAGCAGTTTGAGCAGGGAGGGTGTGGGGTGGGACCTACTGCATAAACAGAGATTTTATTAGTGGATAGTTCTCTGAATATAGCCTTGAAACTGTAACCACCCAACGGGTTCTTCTTGCCTGACAGCCGATTTATCAGGACAGGAGAATTGCAATAGAGTCTAGTGCATCCAGAGCCAGCTAGCAGGAGACTGGAGTTTTATTATTACTCAAATCAGCCTCCCTGAAAATTTGGAAACTGGAGTTTTTTAAAAGATAGTTTGGCAGGCAGGGGGCTAGGGAGTGGGGAGTGCTGGCTGGTTGGTCGGGGATGAAATCACAGGGGCTGAAGCTGTCCTCCTGCACCGAGTCGGTTCCTGTGAGGGCCACAGACCGGAAGAGCTAGTTTACCCGTCTGGGTGGTGCCAGCGGAGCCGTCAGAACGCAGGGTCTGAAGAACCTCTCCAGCATCAATCTTAGGTCCTACGGCGGTGACGTCATCCACAGGAGCGGCTGGGAAGGGTCCTGTGGGCCTACGATGGTGACGTCATCTACAGGCGCGGCTGGGGCGGTATCCTGTGGTCTTACTGTGGTGACGTCATCTACAGGAGCGGCTGGGGCGGTGACTTGTGGTCTTACGGCGGTGACGTCATATACAGGAGCGGCTGGGAAGGGTCCTGTGGTCTTACGATGGTGACGTCATCTACAGGCGCGGCTGGGGCGGTGTCCTGTGGTCTTACGGCGGTGACGTCATATACAGGAGCGGCTGGGGAGGAGTCCTGTGGCGTCTGGCTGCGTGAATCCTGAGCCGGAATTCCTAATCCTGCTGTTATTTGTCGGTTTTACAACGGGACTGGTCCCCCCAAGCGAGGAGGGAATCTGTTTTGGGGAGGGGCTGTTATCCTTTTTGTTCCCAACTTAAACTGTAAACTAAGTTCCTGTCAAAGTTAGTTTGGCCCACGCTCAGGAAGCAGCCGGGCGGGTTGGGGTGGAGGCAGGTGGAGCGGGTCAGGTTGGCCTCTGCCACTGTCGTGATTCCTCACTACTACCGTCTTAGCAAAGGCGGTTTCAGAACAGGGAGGGCTGAGGCCAGGAGCACGCCGGTGGCGGAGCCTCTGCGCCTGCTGTTCATTAGCGGATTTTGGAGGAGCCAGGGGAGTGTAGTCCCTTCAGGAGGCGGCGGAGGGAGGTGGGAGGTGTTTGGGGAGCTGGCAGGTGGGCTGGGGCCGAGCTCACAGCCTTCCTTGCAGGGGGAGTGGGGCCTCGGGATCTGAGAGCTCCTCCCCGCGGCCCTTCCCTCCTTTCTTAAGGGCCTAGAGTGGGTGGAGGGTGGTGCTGGCTGGCAGAGTGGGGGTGGGGGCAGCGAATGAGGGGCAAGTGTTTGCGTCCTCTCAGGCCTGGGGGCTAGTGCCACATGGAAGTGAATGCTCTCTGTCAGCAGGTCGGGGTAACTGGCATAACTGCGTTGTAATTACAGGAAAATTGCTCATTAATAACTGTGTTAGCGAGGCAGGGCGGAGGCAGATGGCCAGGGCAGATGCAGTGGGGCTGGGGGTTTCGGGGGTGGGGGTGCTGGGCTGAGCCTGGAGATGGGGGCGGAGCCCTGGGGTGGAGGAGAAGATGGTGTTTGGCTGGGCCCGGGCCAGGAAGTGGTTTTGCAGAGGTGTTTCTGCTAAAACGTTCTCCGTGCCCGGCAGCCAAGGCTGCAGAGTAGGAACTAGGCCTTCTGCTTCTGCTCGCGCGCAAGGCTGCCACACTGAGAGACCGGCGTTGGGCCTGCACCCGGTTCCCCCTTCTGCAGAGGCTCCGGGCCTGCCTGCTGTGGGGCAGATGGTGATAAAGGAGAAATGAGAGAAGCCTCAGAATACCAAACCGATCCCACTACCAACGCGGGGGACTGGGGTGGGGGCGAGGGAAACGCAGCCTTGGCCGGCGGGGGGTGAAAGTGATGTGGGTTGGAGAGAGAAGAGACCCCTCCCCACCCCACAGCGGTTCAGAGACAAGGCGGGAGGAGTGACGGGGGCTTCTGTATGCCTGCAAAACACCCCCATTTGTGCCCCTTTAAAAGATTCTAGTAAAAATATAAATCACGGAGGACTTCTGTTTCTGGCCAAAATGGAGTGAAAAGGACTGGATTCGCTCTCCCATTTGAAAACACAGAAGAGGTGCTTCCGGACATCGGGCACCAGGTTGGAAAGGACGAGAATCCCTGAGAAAGACACAGACAAGGCGGGGCTCACAGTTTCCTAGCCCCGGCCTCCAGCGTTGCTCCAGGCTGCATTCAGGGCGGGGCCCGGTGGAGCCCAGCAGACCCCCTGGGACAGGGGAGACAGAGGGCTCCGGGAGGCCCAGAGGGTTAAAGTTCCCAGGACAGGGCATGGAGGGGAGCGTTCAGAAGAGCCCCAACCCAGCTTGGGAGGAAGCCGCCGGAGGCCAGGGGCAACACTGTCAGAGAGCGTCCGGCCCTACACCAGCAGCCCACAGTGCCCGTCCCCCAGCCTGGAGGCCTCCCGAGGGTGGCGGTGGCATCTCACAAGGGTCTTGCTCCCCAAAGAGGGATAATTAGTGTGGACAAAATGGGCAGAACATTCGGCCCTGACGGCCACTTTAAAATAAGACCTGAGAGGCCAAACCTTTTCCATGTAACTGAACCGCACGCCAGAAAAAGGTGCAGGAATGTTTCCACATAAACACAAACATCCACACCCAACAAAGGCGATGTTAACAATGTCTGCCATCGATTCAAAGATTACATTCGGGGAAGCAGGAAAACCCACCCGTAAGGGGAGGAAAAATCCACTGCGAAATCCTGGTCAGAACTAACACAAGTGTTAGAATCGCCAGACAGACACTGACAGTCATCCTGACTGCATTCCCTGTGTTGAAAGAGCTAAGTAGAAACATAGACCATTTAAAAATATGCAAACCAAACTTCTAGAAATCAAGGCTACAATGGATGGGGTTCACAGACCACACATGGAGGAAAAGGTGAATGATCTTAAAGACAGAGCCAACGATACAGCACCGTATAAAACAGGAAACATAATAGAGTAAGTTAAAAGAGCATCCTGCGTGAGTTGCAGGTTCCAGGGGCCCGGCACCCCCGTGAGTGTAAGAGTACCCCACGCACAACCGTAATACGTATGGGGGTCCCTGAAGAAGAGCCGACCATGGAGACACTGAAAAGATATGAAAAAATCATGACTCCAAAATTTCCAAATCTGACGCCAACTGTGAACTCACAGATGATAGAAGCTCAACAAGCCTCAAGGACATGAAAGGCGAAGAAATGGGACAGAGGCCCATGGAAGCCAGAGTGCCCGGCCAGCCACAGAAGGTCCCTTTCCAGGTCACCGGAGGAAAACACACGCTCTCATTTCTCCTGAGGAGCAACGCGAGTGAACCCACGCAAGGGCAGCGTCGTAAGAAGAAACCTGTCAGCAAGAACATCTCTCAGAGACAAAGGTGGAACGAGTGTCTCCGGAGGTAATGCCTGAAAGAGCAGTGGTGAGCGGACCCGCTGTGGGGCACGGGCGTGTCCTCCCGGCAGGAGCAGCGCAGATGTGGGACGACAGACGCGGAGCCCCCGGAACAGCCACGGCGTGGTGAATTAGATACCTGAGATTTGACAAATGGATGAAGTATCCGTCGAAGGTAATTGACTGTTTAAACAAAATATTCACAGTGCACTGTGGGTTTTTTTTTTTTCGGGGCGGAGTCTTGCTCTGTCCCCCAGGCTGGAGTGCAGTGGCGCGATCTCGGCTCACTGCAAGCTTCACCTCCCGGGTTCACGCCATTCTCCTGCCTCAGCCTCCCGAGTAGCTGGGACTACAGGCGCCCGCCACCACACCAGCTAATTTTTTGTATTTCTAGTAGAGATGGGGTTTCACCATGTTAGCCAAGATGGTCTCGATCTCCTGACCTTGTGATCCGCCCGCCTCGGCCTCCCAAAGTGCTGGGATTACAGGCATGAGCCACTGCGCCCGGCCTGCACTGTGGGTTTTAAAACACGCATAGAGTGTGGCAGCCATGGTGCCCAGGCCATGCAGAGAGACATGGGGACGTGGGAAGGTTCTTGTATCACCGTGGAGTGGTGGGTTTCACCTGCAGGAGCCGGGGGTCCACGGGGACGTGCACTGTAGACCCCAGAGCAGCCGTGGCACCGACGTCCTTGCGGGTTGTTCAGAGACGCCAGAGTGTGGGGGGATTCAGTGACTTGGGGTCTCATGGGCTCGTTGGCTGATTTCTGTCTGGAGCACGCGCCGGCTCTCTCCCATTTTCTACTCCGTTGAGACCAAATTAAAATGGAACCGGCCACAAAGCAAGTGGGGCTTCGTGTCCACTTCTCCGAGGCTGGGGCCGGGGGCATCGCCTTCCTGGGAGTGCAGAGGAACGCGGGCAGAGTGTGTGCCATGGCCTTGGCCAGAGGCGATGGAGCCAACGCAGGAGGCTGCACCTGCCTTCCCCGAAGTCCACCGACACCTGTGAGGAACCAGAGAGGAGACGAGAGCTTCATCCAGTGCGGCTGCGAACAGCCGGGATTCCACCGAGGCAGGTGAGGAAGACCCAGTGATCTGGGAGCCTCCCCTAGGAGAGCGAAGCCTGAGGAGTGGGTGGCCGGGGTTGGGACCCAGAGGGTGACCGCAAACCTGCTCTGACCAGACGAGTGGGTGGCCGGGGTAGGGACCCAGAGGGTGACCGCAAACCTGCTGTGACCGGACGCATGGCAGGAGCAGGGAGGGCGTGGGAACCAGGGTGCCTCCACTGGCCTCTGGCAGAGCCGGAGCTGCTGACGCCAGGACCCGTGGCACTGAACCTGGACACATGGCTGAATGCCAGGGCCCATGGCACTGGACTCAGACGGATGGCTGAGTGGGGAGGGATTGGTAGAGGCCAGTGCCCAGCTCTTCCCATCTGAAGACAGGCAGAGGAGCCACGGCAAGCTCGAGCTCTGGAGGCTGGAACAGGTGCAAGGCTGGGTCCATCTCTGTTCTCCATGGACCTAGGAGGAGATGTCGCGGTTCCTGAATCTGAAATGGACATAACAACATTCCTGCTCTGAGGAGCTCCCGGGAAGAGCACATAAGCCGACCGAAGCCCCTGTGCCTGGCGCCGAACGTGCTCTCAACCCACACCCGGCTCCTGACACGCCCTCAACCCACTCGCTGGCAGGGTCAAGCCACCCCCGAGTCTGCCTCAGCAGAGTCCCCAAACCTGAAGCTGGCAGATTTGAGGCTAAAAAACTAAAGACAGAGCTCCAGGCCGGAGGCCAACTGTCCTTCCCCAGGAACGAGAAGAGGTCTGTGGTCCGGATGAGCAGAACAAGGGCCGGAGGCCCCTTGCAGGGAGCGGAGCGGACAGAGGTTCTGTTGGAGCCGCAGCTCAGAGCCCCTGAGGGACCCCCTACTCTGGGGCCCTGGCCCTTACCACAGAGCCTTGTGTGTGTTAGGACCGCCTGCCCAAGACCGGCAGAGCCAGGGAATCTGCATGTTTAACATGGCCTCAGATTCCACGTGGGGTGGGTTATGGTGGGGGAGACCAGAGAGGAATCCTTGCTTCACAGTTCGAAGTCGGAAGACAACGTTAGTGCTACACAGCCGGGGAGCAGCAAGCCCTGCTTGTCATGCAGAGACCCGGGGCTGCGTTTCGGGAATCAGGGGAGAGAAGTCTAAACGGGGCTGTCTCCAGGGAGAACGATGGATGAGAAGGTGGGGCCGCTCTTGTTTGTAGCAGCCTTGTAAAACTGGCATTTTTGTTTTTGAGACAGAGTCTCGCTCTGTTGCCCAGGCTGGAGTGCAGTGGTGTAATCTCAGCTCATTGTAACCTCTGCCTCCTGGGTTCAAGTGATTCTCCTGCCTCAGCCTCCCGAGTAGCTGGGATTACAGGCACCTGCCACCACACCCGGCTAATTTTTGTATTTTTAGTAGAGACGGGGTTTCACTAAGGGAGGAGACCACTCCTCATATTGTCTTATGCCCGATTTCTGCCTCCAAAGAAAGAAAAAAAAAAAACTAAAAGGCAGAAATGAAATCCACAAGCAGACAGCCCGGCGCCGTGTCCTGGGCCTCGTAGTTAAAGATTGACCCCTGACCTAATCGGTTATGTTATCTATAGATTACAGACATTGTATGGAAAAGCACTGTGACAATCCCTGTCCTGTTCTGTTCTGTTCTAACTACCGGAGCATGCAGCCCCCAGTCACGTACCCACTGCTTGCTCAATCGATCACGACCCTCTCATGCACACCCCCTTAGAGTTGTGAGCCCTTAAAAGGGACAGGAATTGCTCACTCGGGGAGCTCAGCTCTTGAGACAGGAGTCTTGCTGACGCCCCCAGCCGAATAAACCCCTTCCTTCTTTAACTCAGTGTCTGAGGAGTTTTGTCTGCGGCTTGTCCTGCTACATCACTGTGTTGGCCAGACTGGTCTCGAACTCCTGACCTCAAGTGATCCCCCTGCCTCGGCCTCCCAAAGTGCTGGGATTACAGGCGTGAGCCACACGCCTGGCCGTAAAACTGGCTTTTTAAGCCACATGGATGTTTACTTTTGATAAAACTAGAGCCATTAAAAAATGCGGTGTGCGTCCCCCAGGCTGTGAGTCCCTCGCCATGACCGCCCCTGCGCGGTGGTTCCTGGCTTGAGATGTCAGGCGGTCCAGTTCGAGGTAGAGGAGGGTAAAGACGGCTTTCACCTTCCCCAAATCTGGAGATCCTGGCGAGCCTCAGGGCCTTGCGAGCCTCCACCATGGGGGAGGATGGGGATGGAGAACGAGGTTGGATCTCCCATGTCTGGAAGTGATAGGCCATAGTTTTATATTTTTTGCTCGTATATTATACTGTGAGCTCTCGCTTTCAGACGACAGAGTTCCAGCCACCTTCTCCATTTCCGGAGCAGCTCCGGGAGCTCCTCAGAGCAGGAATATTGTTACCTCCAGTTCAGACTCAGGAACCGCGGCGTCTCCTCCTAGGTCTGTGGATAGCGGAGATGGACCCAGCCTTGCGCCTGTTGCAGCCTGTGGAGCTCGAGCTCACTGTGGTTTCTCCCCCTTCTGGCTGAGATTGTGCTGCTGCACTGCAGCCTGGGTGACAGAGGGAGACCCTGTCACAAAAAGAGAAAAAAAAAAGGAAGGAAGGAACGCAGTTCCTGTGATCACGCCGTTTTCTGCTTTTAGAACGAGGGCCCTGCCCGTTGGTTTTGCACCAGGCCTCATGCGATCCACAGCCGGCCCCGGCGAGGCCACACGTGTGTGCTGATCTGTCGCTGCCTCTCACCGTCCCTGGACCAGAAACTGCCTGAGCAGGGCCCCTGGCTGTCAACTTCACTCTGGGTTCCCCAACACTGGGCCAGGCCCCACGTGGGGGCTCATGCTCAGCCTGTCGGTGGCAAAGACAAGCCGGCCGGCAGCGGGGCCGTGTTGGCGGCAGGGATGGTGGTAGGGCCGGGGGTGCTGTGGGGCTGGTCTGGGGCGGGCGGTGGTGTTGTGTCTGGCGGTGCTGCCACTGGGGCCAGTGATGGTGTGAGTACTGTGGACCATGGTGGTGTGGGGTGAGCAGGTGGCTTGGGGGTGACGGGCGGCAGTGGGTGTTGGTTTCTAGGATACGGAGCTGCATGAGGCCCTCTTGCCTGCAGCTTCATCACCTCCAGCCTCATGGCTGCCTTCAGTCAGCGTTGGAGACCCAGTGGTGTTCTCAGTCACCAAGGGCACCAGCAGGAAGCCATTGACATGAACATCGGCAGACAGATGTTCCCAGAGGCATGGGCAGGGCCGAGGGGCCCCGGAGGCCACCAGGCAGGACATCCTCGCCTCCCTCACGGGGCGGCGGCCCCGAGCCCTCAGGGGCTGTCGAGAGACGCAGTGGCTGCTGCACACGTGGCTCCCGCGCAGGGAGAGAGTGGGACACATGAGGCCTCGTCAGACCGCCCGCCCGCCTGCCCGCCGCCCCGAAGCCACCGGGGAGCTCTGGGGTGCAGCCCGCTCCTTGCACAGCACGGAGGCTCGGGTGGGCCGGACGCATAGCGGTACTGGTGTCACGTGCCCCATCACCCACCCTGGAGCCCTCCCAGCTCTACTCTAGGGCCTGTGGCTGTGCAGGAAACAGGGATACCTTTGGAAGTGATCCTGAGCCCCAACCCGAGGACTGGGTTCCTGCCCTCCGCTGGGGGGATGGGGTCATTTACTTGAAAGAGGGGCAAACAGAGGTGTCCTCGATGACCTCAACCTCAGTCTCCAGAAATCTCCTGACTCTTGCTAGTGCTTGGCCCCCAACCCTTCAGACCCCGGGAGCCCCACCGTCCGCAGGCCTGGGGTCTCGCAAACGCTGGCTGTGGCCATGGACCCTGCCGTGGTGGGAGGCAGTGTGAAGGTGACAAGCATTCATTGGTTCTAACTGTTTTCCCGACGACCCTCGAGCGGCCTCTTGCTTTGTTCCACATCTGCGGTGTCCCAGCTTCCTGCCAGCCCCCACGAAGCCACGCTGCAGCTCAGCAATTTAAACACGAAACACGGCAGATCAGTATCACGGGTGATCATAGCCCATCCTTGCAGAGCTCCAGAGAGAAGCTGGCGGTGGGAGCGTGCGGTGGGGCGTGGGGCCACATAGCCTCCTCCCCTGGCTGCACAACTTTCCGTGATGATCAACGCAGCCCTGGAGGAGGGACCTGGCCCTTGATTCCCAGGCTGCAGTTGGAGGTTGTTCAGGCACCAGCATGATCAACACAGCGCTGGAGGAGGGACCTGGCCCTTGATTCCCAGGCTGCAGTTGGAGGTTGTTCAGGCTCCAGCTCCGTCTCTGGGAATTCTGTTTCCTCCGCTTTCCTCCACGTGGCGTCTCTTCCAGCCTGAGCTTCAGAGAACCCCCATTGTGGTTGTGGATCTCCCAGACCCAGGCTGAGAGGGCAGGCAGGCAGGCAGCACCCGCTCAGCCTCAGCCCTGGCTCAGGGGCCACAGGGGCAGCGCAGTGCTCGCCTGCACCGGCCCAGGCACCCCTCCCAGATGTCCACCGAGCCTGAGGTGTGTGGCTGGGGGCTGCTCTCCGGCTCCTGCACCCACAAAGCCTGGCTCCTGATTGCATAAGCCTTGGGTCCCCGGCCCCAGGAACAACCCAACCCTGTGTTGGGCAGGCCTGGCCAGCCACTACCCGTCTGCCGTTCACCACTGAGCGCTTGCCCCCTTCCTCCTCCCTCCCTCTCTCCCTCCCTCCTCCCTGCCTTCCTTTTTCCTCTGTCCTCTCTCCCCTCCCTCCTCCCTCCCTTCCTTCCTCTCTCCCTCCTTCCTCCCTCCCCTCCCTTCCTTCGTCTCTCCCCTCCCTCCTCCCTCCCTTCCTTCTTCTCTCCCCTCCATCCTCTCTCCCCTCCTCTCCAGTGCTTCCCTCCCACCCCCCACATTCCTTTCTTCTGTTTATTCATTTGACAGATACCTACTGAGTTCCCGCTCTGTGTGAGGTCGGGGGTGGAGTCTGGGGAGAAGGAAATAAGCCAGGAACCTGCGTTTGCCGATGTGATGGTGTGAAGTGGTGACTGGCCTGAGGGCCCCTCCTTATGGGATTAGTGCCCCCAGAAAGAGCCTTATCGGGGGTCTGTCCCTCCCGCCATTGCCTCCTGAGGACCCGCATTTCTCCCTCCAGGGGACACTGCACGCCAGGCACCGTCTTGGGTAGAGAGCAGCCCTCACCAAATGCGGGTGCCTTGGCCTTGGACTTTCAGCCCCCAGCACTGTGAGAAGTAAGTTTCTGTGAGAATTACCCAGTCTCATTGTGTTCTTACCCCAAAGCCCTGGGGCTGAAGCCAGGTGCCTCTAAGCCGGCTCTGCTGCCCCCGAGCAGAGGGTGCAGGGGAGCCAGTGGGGGTTGGGGGGCGGGAGCAGAGCCCTTCGATTCAGGAGGGAGCCTGGCGGGCCGGAGGGACAGGTGGGCTCAGGCTCTCTCTCCCCTTCGGGCTCAGGGTCTCTCCTTCTCCTTCGGGGCAGGAGCAGAGCCCTTCGATTCAGGAGGGAGCCTGGCGGGCCGGGGGGACAGGTGGGCTCAGGGTCTCTCTCCCCTTCGGGCTCAGGGTCTCTCTCTCCTTCAGGCTCAGGGTCTCTCTCTCCTTCTCCTTCGGGCTCAGGCTCTCTCTCCCCTTCGGGCTCAGGGTCTCTCTCTCCTTCTCCTTCGGGCTCAGGGTCTCTCTCTCCTTCTCCTTCAGGCTCAGGGTCTCTCTCTCCTTCTCCTTCGGGCTCAGGGTGTCTGTCTCTTTTGGGCTCAGGGTCTTTCCCTCCTTCAGGCTGAGGGTCTCTCTCTCCTTCGGGCTCAGGGTCTCTCCTTCTCCTTCGGGCTCAGGGTCTCTCTCTCCTTTGGGCTCAGGGTCTCTCCTTCTCCTTCGGGGTCAGGGTCTCTCTCTCCTTCGGGCTCAGGGTCTCTGTCTCTTTCGGGCTCAGGGTCTTTCCCTCCTTCCGGCTGAGGGTCTCTCTCTCCTTCGGGCTCAGGTTCTTTCCCTCCTTCGGGCTCAGGGTCTCTCTCTCCTTCGGACTCAGGGTCTCTCTCTCCTTCGGGCTCAGGGTCTTTCCCTCCTTCGAGCTCAGGGTCTCTCTCTCCTTCAGGCTCAGGGT
The DNA here is from genome assembly GCF_000001405.40 of Homo sapiens. Classification (NCBI taxonomy): domain Eukaryota; kingdom Metazoa; phylum Chordata; class Mammalia; order Primates; family Hominidae; genus Homo; species Homo sapiens. Next base: position 132,436,232 of record NC_000012.12, on the reverse strand, counting down.
CTCTCCCTCCTTTGGGGTCAGGTTCTCTCTCCTTTGGGACCAAGGTGGAGTCTTGCTTCTCCGTGGGCATGTGAGGGTGAGTGAAACCACGACACTTCTCTGCATGGTGCTCGTCTGTGTTCTCCGGAGAGGCCGCTACTTGCCGGGGCCCTACAATCAGGACGATGATGACGGATGCCGGCTCCCACCAGCGAGGTCACGTGTCCAGGCCGTGATGTCGTGAAGGCTGGGAGATGCTGGCACCGCTCACCGGGGTGGTAAACTCTCTGCTGCAACAGGTGAGGGGCTGGGCTGAGCGCAGGAAGGGGACCCCGAGGATGGGGCTTGCCTTGGGCTGGCGCTGGGGGCTCGGGCTGTGTCTGCAGAGCCACAGCACGGGGTCAGTAAACGGGGCCCACTCTGAGCCGACCCTCCGCTCCTACCGCAGTGAAGCTGGGGGCCTGGCTGCCTTGACTGTAACGTGCTGGAATCCACACAGCCCCTTTAAGAGAGAAAAATGCTGACTTCCACCTGGCGGGCTCATAGGCCAGCCTCGCTCACTGCAGTCACCTGTGGGTGTTTCACACACTGGGGGTGCGGCCGCCTCGTGGAGCAAGTCTGTCGATGCCACTTTTCCAACAGCCAGTGCTCACGTCGCCACGGGTCATGATTTGGTAGCTCTTGCAGTTTCAAACATGTTCCTTTTCTTTTTTTTTTTTTTGAGACGGAGTTTCGGTCTTGGTGCCCAGGCTGGAGTGCGGTGGCGCGATCTCAGCTCACTGCAACCTCTGCCTCCCGGGTTCAAGTGATTCTCCTGCCTCAGCCTCCCAAGTAACTGGGATTACAGGCACCCACCACCCCGCCTGGCTAATTTTTGTGTTTCTAGTAGAGACAGGGTTTCACCGTGTTGGCCAGGCTGGTCTCGAACTCCTGAGCTCATGAGATCCGCCCACCTCGGCCTCCCAAAGTGCTGGGATTACAGGCGTGAGGCACTGCGCCCGGCCAGAACATTTCCATCTTTATTATATCTGTTCGGTGATCTGTGATCAGTGAGTTTTGATATTAGTATGATCATTGTTTTGGGGCACCACAAACTGTCCCCATATAAGACAGGAAGCTTAATCCATCCATGTTGTGTGTTCCGACTGCTCCACCGACCAGCAGCTTCCCCATCCCTCTCCCTCTCCTCAGGCCTGTCTAGTCCCTGAGACACAGAGCACTGAAGTCAGGCCACGTGATACCCTCCAGTGGCCTCGGATGTTCAAATGGTAGGAAGGGTTGCAGGTCTCTCCTTCAAATCAGAAGTTAGGAATGGCTAAGCCTGGTGAGAAGGGCATGCCAAAATCTGGACAGACGGAAAGCCAGGCCTCTTGTGCAAAAGAGTTAGCCAAGTTTTGAGTATAAAGGAAAAGTCCTTGAAGGAAAGTGTAAGTGCTACTCCAGTGGACACACGATTGGGAAGGAAGCGAAAAGGCTGTTGCCAATGTGGAAAACGTGGTGGCGGTCGGATAGAAGATCAAACCAGCCACGACGTCTCCTCAAGCCACAGCCGGATCCAGACCAAGGCTGTAACTCTCCTCAATTCTGTGGAGGCTGAGAGAGGTGAGGAAGCTCCAGAAGAAAAGCTGGCAGCTGGCAGAGGTGGCTTCCTGAGGTTTAGGGACAGAAGCCACCTCCATCACACAGAAGTGCAGGTGAGGCAGCACGTCCAGCTCCCCGATGGAAGATCCAGCTGAGATCACGGATGAAGGCGGCTACACTCACAGCAGATCTTCAGTGTAGATGAAACAGCAGCAACAGTGACAGCAGCAACAGGGCACAGGCCATCTCTAGAACTTTCTGGAACAGGACACGCAAACTGAGCCCCGTTGCCCCTGTTGTACCAATGAGGACGGAGGCTGCAGAGTGGGCGGGCGTGGCCTGGGTCAGAACCAGCCCCGTGGCTGCACCCGTGGGTGCACGAGCTTCGCAGCCAGCTGCCAGGGCGCTTTGGCTCAGCACGGCCCTGGTGACCCCAGGCATGGTGCCGATGTCACCCCAGGCATGGCGCCGACGTCACCTCAGGGTCAACTCATGCCTGACGGCCCCGGGATGTGGTGATGGGGTCTCAGCTGCGCACCTGTGGGCGCCACCTGCAGTTCCTTCTGCCGTCCCCGTCTTTCCCTGGGCTCTGGGCACCCTGGGAGAATGCCCGTTCCATCTCCAGGGACTGCTCTGGCCTCGGAGATACTGTCGCCCAGTGACTCTCAAGTCAGAAACCACAGGCCGACGCCCTGCTTGCTGGGCTGTGCCGCAGCCTTGGTCTGATTCCAGGTGTGTCCCTGCCCAGGGCTGTCTGCCTGCCACTGCCTCTGCCCAGGCCAGGACAACGGGGGCAGCTCAGGGGTCCCTCCAGCACCTGACCAGGGTGATGGGGAGACCCTCTGCAGGTGCAGGGGCCCATGAGCTCCCACCCCAGCCTGCCACACCCGCGGGGGAAGCACCTGCCCTGGTAAGCAGCGCCTGCCTGGGGCCCTGGGAGCAGACCCGGGGGGAGGGGCTGTGCCGAGGCCACGTGCAGATGCCAGGGCTTGCCATGGCAACCAAGGACAGGCATCCTCGGCTGGCCAGGCGAGGGCGTGTCCTTTCCAGCTCCCCGATCTTACATTCTTTCCCTGCACCCACCATATGCACACATGCACACAGACATCTACTCTGTACACCAAACATGCAGACACGCCAAGATAAGCATGAACATACAGGCACATGTAACCTTGGCAAACACACACACATGCCTACCAGGCACGCCGCAGACCCCGACACCATCACACACAGGCCCTCAAGTCACATGCGGTTATGTTTCCAGCCTCCTGTGCAGACAGGCATACGTGCACAGCCCCACCCGCCTCTGCGTGTCCACGAGCAGACGCGCACCTGTGCGGATCCAGACACGCGTGCACCTTGTGGATAAGCAGACGTGCGTCTCTCTGGACGTGCGTGCTCATGGGCACGTGCGTCTGCATTCAGATCTGTGTACACATCGCACCCTGAGTACCCACAGACACGCGTGAGCTCTCAGGTGTGCACACGCGAAGGCACGGCTCGCGGCTTCTGCGGAGGCCTTTCTGATGGATGGAACAGGTCCTCACTGTTCTGGACAGGAGTGGGAGGGCAAGAGGCCCAGCCTTACACAGTCAGTTAAACGCCGTCGGCAGGGCTCCCCACGGCAGGGGCGGGGGTGGAGGGAAGATGCGGAGGTGGTGCACTGGAAGAAAGGCTCCAAACAGCTGCAGCCCAGTCCCTCTCGGGGCCCCACTTGGCAGCGTCTCCTGCAGGGCCTCTGAGCTGCTGGTTTTGGAAATGCAGCCAATGCTGAGGTCCCTCAGCAGCCCAGCAGCAGGCCAGGAGGGCTACGGAGCTGCCAGGGGCTTCCAGGACAGCTCTGGGAGGGCCAGGGAGCTGCTAGGGGCCTCCAGCAGCAGGCAGGGAGGGCTGCGGAGCCGCCGGGGGCCTCCAGGACAGCTGTGCCCTGTGGTTGGCCTTCTGTCTTTGGGCCTCTGTGCTGGGCATCTTGGAGAAACCAGCTGTGGCTGTGTGTGCTCAGGGCTGGTCAGGGGCCCCACGTCCCACCCCCTCTGGTGCCCCTAATTTTAGGAAAACCCATGAGAAACTACCATCTCTACTGAGCACAGAACGTGCTTTCTAGAAGATTCCAACCCAGGAGTCTCGTTAGGAGGTAGCGGGCCTGCAGCAGGAGGATTTTCTTTCGGTGTAATTTAAAAATTAACTTTTCCATCCCTCTGAGAATCTAGAGTAGCAAGTTCTTGAGGGAACGGGACAGGCAGCGGCCAATGCTCACAGGCCTCTGCTGCACGCTAGTGACGAAACGCAGCGGAACGCGTGCTCCCAGCCTGGGGCCAGGAGTCTGGAGTCAGGCATCGTGGGGCCGAGGCTCCAGGGGAGGATCCTGCCACCCGGTCTGGCCTCTGCTGGCACCCAGGTGCTGGCTGTGGCTGCAGCGCTGCAGTCTCTGCCTCCTTCCCTTGCGTCTCCTCCTTGTCTCTGTTTTCTCTTCTTATAAGGATGCCTGTGTTTGGATTTAGGGTCTACCCTCATCAGCTGGGCCTCATCTTAACCAACTCCACCTGCAAAGGCCCTGTTTCCAGATGAGGCCGCAGCCTGAGGTTCTGGGTGGACACCATTCTACCCAGTACCACGTATGTACATACTCACGGAACCCTCCAACGCTCCTAAGAGAGGGGCCCCTGATGGTCCCCAGTTTACAGGCGTGAAAGTTCCAGGAGGAGGCTGAGCTGCACAGGGTCACTGGGTGCTGGGCACTTGCCCCCGTCGCCAGCTGCTGCCCAGAAACCACCCCCACACTTTGTGACCTGCAGCAACACCAGGGATGATTTTTATCCTGAATCCACAGCTCGGGCAGGTTTGCTGCGGACGGCTTGTTTCTGCTACACTTGGCAGGAGCTGGGGCTGCCCACACGCTGGGGGCCGAGTTCGCCCAACGCTCAGGCACCTGGTGGGTCGTGGTGGCTGTCGGCTGAGCCCTGGCCAGGCTGTGACCAGACACCTGCAGGGGCTCCTCTGTGTGGTCTGGGCTCCCACACAGCCTGGCAGCTGGTTCCATGAGTAAGAGCCCAGAGCCCCCAGCCCAGAGCCCAGAGCCCGGAGCAGGCCAAGTGGGCCGGCTGCAGCCTTCTGCCCTGTGCTCCTCCCCAGCCCGCCATGAAGGCCGTGCATTCAGGCAGCGGGGAGCGGGGCTCCTCTCCACGGGGGGGTTGAGGGGGAAGGCAAAGGTCTGGAAGAACACGCAGGACTGAAAATATTGTTTCGGCCATGTGTGCATTTTTGGCACAATCTACCATATTAGTAGACGCCAGTTCCAAACCTGGAAACTTGAGCCTCTGGACCTAGGTCTCTGGATCCTCAGCACGGACCAAGCCGCATCTGGGGAGCGCCTGCCGGGGAGCCAAGCCCGCAGGAGGGGCAGGTGCTGGCGGGGGCCGTCACTGCAGTCCTCATATGGTTAGGCCGGGGAATGATATTTCCTCTCCACCTCTCTCGGTGGACCCTAAATCCAAGAGAGAAGACATCTTTCTCACGGCAGCCCCATCTCAGGCAGATCCTGTCGTTTGCAGCCTCTGACCTGTGGGAGGAGCCCAGGCCTGCCGGGAGGCGGGTGCACACTCACAGAACGTGCAGCGCAGGTGTGCACTCTAGAGCCCACCTCAGTGCTGAGGTCGACGTCACCCCCGGGCTCTTGGGCCGTGGCCAACGGCAGGTATGTTGCAAATCTGAACAGCATGGTGTTTCTAAATGTGGGACCTTTGCCCCCAAATCCAGACTTCCGGCTTTTCTTTTTTCTATTTTTTTTTTTTTTTGAGACGGAGTGTCGCTCTGTCGCCCAGGCTGGAGTGCAGTGGCGCGATCTCAGCTCACTGTAAGCTCCACCTCCCAGGTTCACGCCATTCTCCTGCCTCAACCTCCTGAGTAGCTGGGACTACAGGCGCCCGCCACTACGCCCGGCTAATTATTTGTATTTTTAGTAGAGACGGGGGTTTCACCGTGTTAGCCAGGATGGTCTCGATCTCCTGACCTCGTGATCCGCCCACCTCGGCCTCCCAAAGTGCTGGGATTACAGGCGTGAGCCGCTGCGCCCGGCCCCAGCTTTTCTTTAAAAGAACAGAAGGTGGAGCAAGGCTGAGTCCACACCCTGCGAGTCAGGAAGTAGCTGCAGCTGTCTGCGGGCCGCCGCCTCGCCCCGCGGGCTCCTGCCTGCTGTGCCACGCCCCTCACTGCTCCCCACCGCGTTGCAGCTGGCGCTCCACCTGCCGCTCACCAGACCAGGGCTGGCAGCCCCTTCCCAGACCTGCCTCTCTGTGATCTCATGTGACCATGGCAGCTGCAGCTGTCTGTGGGCTGCACACCCGGGCACGGTGGCAAGCTCCCGGGATGGGGGATGATGAGCAACCCTCAGATGGCCCCACAGTGTGCCAGGTATCGCCCTTACACACCTGTAAGGGCGTCACCTCATTTCATTCTCATGACAGCTCTCTGGGGGGGGGCATCATCACTATCACCTTACAGATAAGGAAGCTCAGGCACCAAGAGGTTAGATAACTTGCTCCAGGTCACATAGGGACGATGAGCGTTGCAGGTGTGTGCAGGTGTGCATAGGTGTGTTCCAGTGTGTGCAGGTATGCCCATGTGTGTGCAGGTGTGCTCCAGTGTGTGCAGGTGTGCTCAGGTGTGCGCAGAGGTTCCCAGGTGTGTGCAGGTGTGCCCAGGTGTGTGCCGATGTGCCTAGGTGTCTGCAGGTGTGCTCAGGTGTGTTGAGTGCCAGGCACGAGGAGCCGAGGCCCTTCCACATGTCTTACCCCAGGCTCCAGCGGCCCAGTTCCAGGGTGGGAGGTCTGCCAAGGCCTCATGGCCGCCTGCTCAGGATGGGGGAGGGCACCTTCCCCTTCTTGGCCATCTGCCCAGTCCTCTCGGGGTTGGGGGCTGTGCTGGAGGGGGCGGGCAAGGACGTGCCTACGCTGTCATCTGGTGGCTGCCTCCCAGGAACTAGGGAATTCCAGGTTCCTGTCCAGAGTCCACCCGCAGGCTCCTGACACCAGTGGCTCCCCCAGGCCCAGAGGACGCAGGCTGCTGAGGGGCTGCAGCCCATCAGGGTCCCTGCCTGAGCCCCGCTGTCAGGCAGGCATCCCACAGGAGCACCCTGGGCTCTGCTGCCTTCCCGCGGTTTCCTGTTGTGGGCAGGGCCACAGGGGCTGTTGGGGAAATTCAAGGCCTGGGACCTGGGAACTTCCAGCCTGGGGAGGGAGACGGGCGAGGGCCAGGAGCGGGTTTCAGGAAGTGACCAGTGCCCTGGGAGAGGGAGAGTGGCCGCAGGTGGCTGCTTCCCACAGGCCCCATGGAAAGGACATCTGAGCTGAGGCCTGAGGATGGGAGAACCCTCATGTGTGAAAATGGGGAAGTGGGCGGGAGGTGGGGAGGTGGGCAAGTCGGCAAGTCACAGGGCGTGGGGTAGGAGCTTGAGCGTCACCGTCGGGAAGAGGCCGTGTGGTCAGGGAGGGAGGAGGGTGGCTGCCGTTGGCAGCTGTCAGATGGGACTCGCAGGCAGGTTTCGGACAGGTTTCCTTTCCCAGGCCATCTGCGAGAACAGAGACGAGGGCTTGGATCAGTTTCTGTCTGAGTTGGCGCCTTCCCAGGCTGGCTGTTGGCTCTGCTCCCTTCTGGGACCTGTTGGGATGAGCAGATCAGGGAGTATTTTGAGCCGAAAGGTACGTGGGGAAACTGGGACTGACAGCGAATTCCCTGTCTGCGTTTGCCCACATGAGTTTTTCTTTGTGCTCTTGTGCTCTCAGGAATTCAGCCTCTGAATCCCTCCTGGGCCTGGGGTGGAGCAGGGTGAACACATACGGAAGCGTAAACACAGCGGGCCGACTTCAGCCTGCAGCTCAGCCCTGCGGTCTCCTGGGCAACGCGCTGCGTGGGGACATTGTCTCTCACCTGAAAAGCTGCTTACGGGCCCCCACCTCGTCGTGGGTTTAAAGCGGATTAATGGGAGGGTTGGTGGTTCTGGGGCTGGCAGGGCTTCCCAGCAGGGGCAGCCCCTTCATGTGGTGGCGAGCTTGGTAGTGACAACAGGCAGGCCGCTGTGCCCCGGGTGGGTGGCTGGAGCTGGGCGTGGGGTGTCTCCCCGTGAGGACTGTCTGCCCTGCCCGCTGCTCACAAGCCTTCTGCGTTTCCCACCACGCTCTCCTCACCTTCTACTGGGAGGAAGGTCCCAGGGCACGGGAGGGACCCTGTCTAGAGTGGAGCTGGGCTGCCCCATCTCAGGTCATGGGTCACGGCTGCCCCATCTCAGGTGACGGCAGCCCCCTTCAGGTGAAGGCCAAGGCGCGGCTCTTCTCCTCCCAGCCTGAAGCAGATCCTGTTGTCTGCAAGTACCCAGCATCCGATGGCTTCTCACGGCCTCCACCCCGGCCACCTGGTCCGAGACACTGCTGTCTCCGGCCTGGACTGGTGCAGTAGCCAGCAGCTGCTGCTCTCGCCCTCTATGGGGCAGCCTCACACGGCCCGTGGTGCCCCTGCTGGTGCTCAGTCCTTGTGCGCTCCCTCCCTTGAGCATGTGCGGGACCTGTGGTTTATCTCAAATGAATAGAAAATGGCAAAAGCAATGGGGTGTCACTTCCAAATCTGGTCGCGGAAAGACCCTGGTCTATCTTGCTCATCCCTCTCACCCTCTCCCACGGTCTGGTGAAACCAGTGGCTGTGCCGAGAGCTGCCATGGGGCAAGAGACTGAGGGCGGCTTCCAGCTAAACGCCAGTGAGGAGCTGAGGCCCTGAAGAACTGAATCCCGCCCAGAACTACATGCCTGAGCTCGGAGCCATTTCTTCCCCATGGGAGATGAGACCCCTGCCCAGCTGAGTCCGGATTGCAGCCTGTGAGACCCTGAGCCTGCGGATCCAGCCAAGCCATACCTGATCCTTGATCTAAGGAAAATGGGAGCTGATAAGTGTGTGCTGTTTTCAGCTGCCAAGTGTGGGACCCTTTGTGATGCTGGAGTCAGTAGATGCCGCAGGCTCACCCCGCCCTCTCCTCCCAGCCAGCATGATTATGTCAAGACCAGATCAGCTCACAGCACTTCCCTGCTCATGGCTCCTAGTGTCTCAACAGCCCCAGGCCCTGCCCCATTTGTCACCTCCCAGCCACCCACCCCAGGCCCTGCACTGTTCGTCACCCCCTGGCCACTGCCTGCTCCCCAGGCCTGCCCTGTTCATCACCCCCCCAACAGGCCTTGAACCATTCATCACCCCCCGGCCACCAGCCCCAGGCCCCGCCCCGTTCGTCACCCCCCCCCGCCACCCACCCCAGGCCCCGCCCCGTTCATCACCCCCCCACCGGCCACCCGCCCCAGGCCCTGCTCCGTTCGTCACCCCCCGGCCACCCGCCCCAGGCCCCGCCCCGTTCGTCACCCCCTGGCCACCGCCTGCTCTTTCCTTGCTTCCTGGCCTTGAGCCACATGGGGCAGTTTCCTGAACATTCCCACTGTGTTTGCACAGGAGGTTCCCTCTGCCTGAGATGCTGCTCCCTCACGCCTTCCAACATCAGCTTCTCAGTGAGCCCCTCCCTGATCTCTCTGCTTAGCCTCAGATTCCTCCCGTGTCCCTGCCGCTCCTGCTTATTTGTCTCTGCAGGATTCATCAGCATCGGGCCCTTCCAGCTGTCAACCTACCCCCGCTGCCACTGGGACGCACACTCCACAAAAGCAGGGTTCTCCTGTGTCTTCTCTCTCCCCTGCAGCACCCCCAGGGCCTAGAGCAGTGTCTGACACACGGTGGAGTCTCAGCAAACATTTGTTCAAGGAGTAAACCGCAGGAGTGGAGGGCAAATCCAAGCGTGAGCCTGAGCCTGCGTTGCTGCGGGAATGTGAGCAGGTGCCCCGGTCCACCCCGGCAGAGGCCTCCCCCGCCCAGCGCGTTTCGCCACATCTCCTCTGGCCAACTGAGTCCTCGCAGAAAGGTGTGTCAAACAGATCATTCCTCCACCTGCATCCCTGAGTGAGGACAAACAGCAGGTCCCCTGAGGACGTGTGAGAGCAGTTGCCTGAGTGAGAGATACGCCTTCGCCATTGAAGGCACTGAGTCTGGGGACTGTTTGTTAGAGCAGCAGAACCAAGCAATCCTGACAGCGCAGAAACCAGCTCCAAGAAATGAGGTGCTGCCGCAGCCACAGGGCACCTGGAGCACGTGTCCTGCTCACGTGGAGGACAGAGAGAAGGCGGGGCAGAGGCCGGAGCACACTCGGTGTGGAACACTCGGTCAGACTGGACTCGGCAACTTGGAAGTTGGACCATGAACCTGACGAAACCGCAGCTCTAGGGAAAGGCTGGAAAATCGCACGTCGGCAGACATGCCAGTGAGATCTTTTGAGGAGCCAGACCCAGACAGGAATTGTCCATCCTGCCAGCAGGCGTGAAAGTGAACAAGGAGATTTCAAAATATGACACTCCCAGAAAGCTGGAAGAGCCGGCTGACTGTAGACTCCAAGTGATCAAGAAAGTGCACTGACAAAAGTCTCAAGCAGGGCACGGCGTCACAGCCTTGTTCATCTCCCGTGCATCGAGGCGTCTCATGGTGAAGGTGCCATGTGGGCATGGTGATTTTCACTTGGACAAAACGGCGCAGGGGAAAGTGACCAGGTAGGGAGAGGAGGATGACGTCCCTGAAACTCAGCTGAGCCATCGGCATGGGCGGAAGGCTTTGTGGCCCTGGGAAGGTCGATGGCGGAGGAGCTGCAGGGGTGGCTGCTGCATGTGGAGCTGGCTGAAGCCAGAGATGAGAAAGCTCCTGGGGTCTCGAGAGAGTCGCGATGACAGGATGGCACCCACTCAGTCTACAAGAGAAACGTGTGCGTTAATGCAAACCACCACTAACTCCTGCGACCAGGAGGTGGGCGGCGAAGACTCACCGGCCCCAAGGAAGGCGTGTCCTGGGTACCCACCTCGTACTGGCCGAGAAGGGTCATGGAGGAATCAGAAACCTCTCGGAGGGCAGAGCCAGGGGCCTCGGAGGATGGCAGAAAGGGAGGTGACCTTCAGGTAGGAACTGAATCTGGACTGAGTGAGGGAGCGTGGACCAGCACCAGGGTGGGTGCTCAGGGGCCTTCCCGGGGGTTTCAGGTCCTCTGTGGACCAGCGACTGCCGCCATCTCCCTTCTCTCTCTCCCTGCTGCTGGGGCCATCATGTCCATTCCCTGCCACCCACTGTGCACCGAGCATGAGGGAGGCAATGACCAATCTCTTCAGTCTGTGAGTCTCCGGTGAAGAGGTGTCTGGGGTCACCCAGACCCGATATGGCTGTGATTTGGGGTCGTCTCACCTGGGGAGCCATGACGGGGAGTGAACACAGTCGATTAGTCCAGAAGGCAGACGTGGAAGTCAGTGGCGCCGCCCACTAATATTTTGGCCTCCTTTTCCAGACGCATTTAGGATTATGCTTTCCCTCTCTCTCCAAGTTAGGCCCGGCCATGTGACCTGCTTTGGCCAATGAAATTCTAGCCTTTAAACACGAGTTCATGATGCTTCCTGCTTTGGGGATTGTGGATGTGTGTTGACACCTGGGTCCCTGTCCCCCAGTGATGACAAAGAGCAAAGGCACCTGCTGGCCCACGCTGGACACACATGTGAGAAAGACATGCATCTGTGAAGTGCTCAGCTGCTGTGGTGTGGGGCTGTTTGTTACACAGCCCAGCCAAGCCCAGCCTGACTGATACACTCCCTCAAGCATGAATAGGGCTCTGCCTCTCCAATGAGGGGAGTGGGGCCCAGGGCTGTTTCTCAGCGATGTCCAGAACACCTTACTCCTAGGTCCCCCAGAAGCAATGACAAGAAACACCACAGGAGGCATCTGTGGAGGAGCTGGTCGTGGCAGGGTGGGCACAGCTCTGCCCTGCTGTGGAAGGAGTTGACGATCCCCCAGGGCCCTGTCCCCGAGGGAGGGCCTGGTCTCCTGAGCAGTGTCCTGGATCGGGGCTGGCGTGTGAGTAAAAGTGGGTCCAGCCCTCCCCACCCCAAGCTGGGAGAGGTGAGACCCCCACAGCCCACTAGGCGCCAGTGACTGATGGGCCCGCCACTGTCTTCACAGCCCCCAGAGTTCTCTGGTAATCACAGGCGTGGAACATGTGCCAGGAACCTTTGGTTTGCGTGTACCTTTAGATGCTCGGATTAAATTACACCCATAATGCATTATGTCATTGATAATAATATCACTGTGTATAAGACACGGCGTGGAAGGAGCCTGCTCCTGGACGGTTCATCCGTCTCTTCACACACAATTTCCATACGTGACTAAAGATCACCATTTTAACAGCCTTTGGTGCAGACACTGAGAGGCAGTTGCAGAGTTAACAGCGCATAAATCTCATTTCCTCTGCACTCCATTTTTCTCAGGCTGCAGAATCAATTTGAGTCTGTCAGGATTTTATTCCAAAGTCTATTAACGGCCCCCGCTTCCTTCTACTCCCCCGCCCACCGCCTTCCCCTTTCGTGAACTCAGTCCTGCAGAAAAAGACGCCTTGCTGATACAAAGTAACAGCCTTTTATCTCTTTACAACAAAATCTAACTAGGCGTGAAGGAGACGCAGCTGGGACAATTAGGCGAGGGTGGAGGTCACTGGCCTGGGGATCCCGCAGCCCAGGCCCTTGTGGGTCTGCAGCTGGGTCCTGGATGCGTAGCTCCCGCCCTGGGAAGGGAAACTGCTGGGCCTTTTCCGCGTGCCCCGCGGGCAGGAGGTGCTTTCTGGAGGGCAGCCCATGTTCTCTCTGTGGATCCAGTTGCCTCGCCCAGGGGAGGTCTCTGCTGTGACAGTAACTTAGAGGTGCAGCCGCCCTTCTGAGTCACGCACACATCAGGGTGAACCCCACAGCACCCGCTTGCTGGCCCCACTTCACAGGCGGGGAACCAGGCACAGAGAGGTTGAGTGATCTGCCCGAGGCCACACAGCACAGTGGCAGAGCTGGGGCCCGGTAATTCACTCTTCCTGTCGCCCTTTGTGAAAGTCCCGCCCTGTCCTGGGCACCGCACAATCCTTCCGGTCCCACGGGAGGCCCAGCCCCTGCTCCGCCTGCAGCCGCCACACCCCCTGCCCCTCTCCCTCCGCGGACCCCGTCCGCCCCGCCCTCCCGGGGCCGCTGCTCCCTGCCCTGGTCCGCCTTCTTCAGGGGAGGGGCGTGGCCACCCAGGCCCTGCCCAGTGTAACACCCAGCGCTGCTGATTGGCTCCCGTCTCGGCTCTGGGTCGCCTGGACACCGTGATTGGCTCAGTGATGAGCACGTGATCCAAGCTAGCCCAATGAAAGCCAGGCCTGGGATTTTGGCGGGGTTCGCAGGAGCAGGAGGGGAGAGTCTGCACCTGCAGGTGGTGCAGAGGCCCCTGGGGTCCCAGAGGGAGTGGAGCAGCCTGAGGCCGACAGGGCTGGGTCGGCAGGAGGGAGAGAGAGATGGAGATGGAGATAGACAGAGAGAGACAGGGACAGAGAAACAGAAGAGAGAGACAGAGAGACAGAGGGAGAGAGACACAGAGAGACAGAAGCAGATGGAGAGAGAGAGAGAGAGAGGCGGAGACGAAGATAGAGATAGAGAAACAGAGAGACGGGGACAGAGAAACAGGAGAGAGACAGAGATAGAGAGACAGGGAGAGACACACACAGAGAGACAGAAACAGATGGAGAGAGGCAGAGAGAGAGAGGCAGAGACAGAGATAGAGATTAAGAGACAGAGAGATACACAGAAAGACAGGGACAGAGAAACAAAGACAGAGTTAGACAGAGGGAGAGAGACACAGAGAGACAGAAGCAGATGGAGAGAGGCAAAGAGAGGCTGAGACAGAGATAGAGATAAAGAGAGAAAGACACAGGGACAGAGAAACAGAGAAGAGAGAGAGAGACGGAGAGAGAGAGAAGCAGATGGAGAGAGGCAAAGAGAGAGAGACAGAGACAGAGATAGAGATAAAGAGACAGGGACAGAGAAACAGAAGAGAAAGAGAGGCAGAAACAGATGGAAAGGGGCAGAGAGAGAGAGAGGCGGAGATGACTGTGCTCTGATGATGTTATCTGAGCCCTCTGTGAAATCTGAGGCGCCCAGATGCCTGTGTTTAAAAGTCCTTCATCCCCTTGTTTTCTGTGAGTTGGTTTCCATAACTTGCATCAGAAAGACCCTGACACACATTGGTGTGGGGTGGAACAGTTGCCAGTGGCAGCTCCTAGAGTGTGGACTGGCAGGTCAGGCCCCGGCAAGGATACCCGTCTGCAGGGGGAGCTGCCGCCCCTGGTCATGGAGTGGGAGGGTCTGGACCCTGGGCCAGCCAGGCTGAGCCGTCCAGCATCCTGCTGCTGCTCGCATTTCCCCAGGTGTTTCCAGGACCTCCTGCTCTTCCAGAACTGACTGTTGCCCATTGAGAGGTGGAGTCTGTTCCCCTCCCTGGAGCCTGACTGTGTGACTGTCTCAGTGGAGATGCCATGGGGCTTCCCAGGCCATGATCCGAAGGAGGAATGATGTCAGCCAGCCTCTGAGGTCTGTGCTTGTTCCTGAGCCTGTCGCAGTGGCCGGGTGTCCTAATTCCACGCCGACCCGTCCAGTCCTTCCCCTGGAATCGGTGTCTTCCCTCGACTTCCAGGCACCCCCCATCCCCTCCTTCTCACTGTCCTCCTGCTATGGGGCTGGTTGCTGTTGGTTCTCTCTCCTCCCTCCGCCTCCTGAGGGGGTGCCTTGGGACGCAGTGCCCACAGCCTCTCCTCTGCCTGATGCACACTCACCCCTGGCTTCTCATCCGGTCACAGGACCTGGTACCCACAGCCTCTCCTCTGTCTCTCCTCTGTGGATACCCCATCCACACTCATCCCCTGACATCTCATCCAGTCTCATGGCCTCCATGCCTATCCTCTCACTGCCCCGTCCACACTCACCCCCGGCATCTCACCCGGCCTCGTGGCTTCCATGCCTGTTCCTGCCTATTCTCTCACTGGCCTGGATGCCTCCTGTGGTTTGAGCCTCTCACACCCACCTGCCCGCTCCATGCCCTTCTGCGATGTCCAGTGGGCATCTCACATCCACAGGAGTTTCCTGTCTGGGGGGTCTCCTGGGGATTTTTGGGGATTCCCAGCCCCATTTCTAGCGTCCTCTCATCTGTTTCCTCTGATGTGGGTTAATGCATCTGCGGGACCTGTCTTAATGAATCGATGACGTTATCCCAAATTACCCATCTCAGCTGGGTGCAGGGGCTCACGCCTGTAATCCCAGCACTTTGGGAGGCCGAGGCGGGTGGATCACCTGAGGTCAGGAGTTCAAGACCAGCCTGGCCGACATGGTGAAACCCCGTCTCTACTAAAATTACAAAAAATTAGCTGGGCGTGGTGCCGGGTGCCTGTAATCCCAGAAACTCGGGAGGCTGAGGCAGGAGAATCGCTTGAACCCAGGAGGTGGAGGTTGCAGTGAGCCAAGATCGTGCCATTGCACTCCAGCTTGGGCGACAAGAGCGAAACTCTGTCTCTCTCTATATATATAAACTAAATTAGCAATCTCCCTTTGCATGGCAATGTTGACTCTGCTAATGGGATTTAAATAGTAAGTTGGACATTTTCTCCTTCAATATTTTGCACCATTGATTTGCTTCAAAGTCTTTTCTCACAGTCATCACAAAGGCAAACACCAACATTGGCCAGGCCCCGAAATCATAAAGCCCAATTGACGAGATGTTGGTCCACTCTGAACTCACCACTGGCCAGGACACAGCCAAGCATCGGAAGGAAGTAGCTATGTGCCTGACCGGTCACCTGACGCAGCCTCTTCTGCAGCCTGAACTTGACCCAGCTGTGTGAGGCAGAGTGTGGCAACATTTGAGATGCTGGATCAACTCTTACCTGACGCACTGGAACATTTTGATTATGGGGCAAGACCAGCCTGGGCAACACAGTGAGATCCCATCTCCAAACAACAACAACAACAAAACAATTGATTCCTTTTTTAAAATAACATTTTAGACCCAGCACGGTGGCTCATGCCTGTAATCCCAGCACTTTGGGAGGCTGAGGTGGGTGGATCACTTGAGGTCAAGAGTTTGAGACCAACCTGGCCAACGTGGCGAAACCCCGTCTCTACTAAAAATACAAATTAGCCGGGCGTGGTGGTGGCCACCTGTAATCCCAGCTACTCGGGAGGCTGAGGCAGGAGGATTGCTTCAACCTGGGAGACAGAGGTTGCAGTGAGCTGAGATCACGCCACTGCACTCCAGCCTGGGCAACAGAGTGAGACTCCGTCTCAAAAAAAAAAAAATTTGTTGAGTTGAATGTGGCTTCCAATTATGAGGGTGTTTCTAGGTTTTGCAACCAAACAAATAATCCCTGATAGAGACCATTGAATAGTCTTTCAAGAGCATGTATATGGGTTATACATTTATTCCCAGCCTTTATGCTGTTATTCATACTTACCATGCATCACGTTTCCTCTGTGGCTAATTTTCTTTACCTTAAAATGCAGCTTTTTTAAAAATTTCACTTCTTTCCACACATCTGCAGCTGAAATAGCTCTAACAATGCCCCGTTGATACCACTTCTCCGCTTCTTGGTCATGGGAACATGCATCTCTTAACTCCGGCTTTGCTTTTTGTGCTTTGGTGAATTAACCGGCCTGAATGCGCTCAGCCAGCCAGCGGTCCAAAACCCGATGGCTGTTCCGCCTTCACAAAAGGATTGTCAGGCAACACGTGTTACCGTGACTGACCACGGCAAGATTCAGGAACAGGTGAAAGCTTTCTGTTTTCCTTCCCTTTCATCCATAAAGGAGGGTCTTTGCCAATTTAGCTCCTGGAACATTTCCGATTAAAAAAATTAGGAAGCTGGATCAGGAAGAATAGAGCCTTCACGAAACGGAGTGTGTGGGCGGCAGAGGGCTGGGAGGGCACAGCCAGACGCCAAGTCATCTACAGAAAACATCTGGACGGGGAGGCAGAGAGAAGAAAGCTGCCCTGTGGGTTCAGGCTGGAGAATGGATTTCAGGGTTTGAGGTGCGAGAGGGCTCAGAGCATCTCCCTGGGGCAAGAAAATTGAGTGGAGGAAGGAAGGAAAAGGTTAGAGGGCAGCTCGGAGTTACCCCCCTTTCAGTTTGCAGGTAAAATGAGGGGCCCATTGAAAGTTATCATGTGGCAGCTGAATTATGCCTTTTTTTTTTTTTTTTTTTTTTAGACAGAGTCTCCATCTGTCGCCCAGGCTGGAGTGCAGTGGTGCGATCTTGGCTCACTGCAACCTCTGCCTTCTGGGTTCAAGCAATTCTCCTGCCTCAGCCTCCTGAGTAGCTGGGATTACAGGCTCCCGCCACCACGCCTGGCTAATTTTTTGTATTTTTAGAAGAGATGAGGTTCCACCATGCTGGCCAGGCTGGTCTCAACCTTGTGATCCACCTGCCTCCGCCTCCCAAAGTGCTGGCATTACAGGCGTGAGCCACCGCGTCCGGCCCTGAATTATGCCTTTTTGAAGGGATCTCAGCAGGCACTGAATGCTGCAGGGTCCAGAGTTTATTTGGGTAACTTTACATCAACAAGACAATATATTTGGAGAAATTCACAACCACCGTCACACTTACTCAGCTCTCAGGCTGCAGAGGGTATGGAGGAGGAGCCTCTGACCTCTGAGCCCCTCGGTGTTTCTTCCCTGTTTCTCTTTTGTGGACTGTTGGAGAGACACCCCCTCCCCACGGAACTCCCTTCCCCAGGGCCCACTTCATGGAACAGAGCTTCTCAACACTCAACATGCAGCAAACCACTGCGGGTATTGTTAGAATAAAGATTCTCCACCAAGAGGTCTAGAGGAGCCCTGGATTCTGCCTGCCTTTCCTTCCTTCCTTCCTTCCTTCCTTCCTTCCTTCCTTTCCTTCCTTTTTTCCTTTCCTTCCTTCCTTCTTTCTTTTCTTTCTTTCTTTCTCTCTTTCTTCTTCCTTCCTTCCATCTTTCTTTCTTTCCCTTTCTTTCTCTCTTTCTCTCTCCTTCTTTCTTTCCTTCCTTCTTTCTTCTCTTTCTTTCTCTCTTTCTCTCTCCTTCCTTCCTTCCTTCTTCTCTTTCTTTCTTTCTTTTTCAGACAGGGTCTTGCTGTGTTGCCCAGGCTGGAGTGCACTGGTGCAATCACAGCTGACAGCAGCCTTGACCTGATCGCTTCAACGATCCTCCCACCTCAGCCTCCCAAGTAGCTGGGACTACAGGCACGTGCCACCACACCTGGCTAGTCATTTATTTTTTGTAGAGATAGGGTTTGACTATGTTGCCCAGGCTGGTCTTGAACTCTTGGGCTCAAGCAATCCTCCCACCTCAGCCTCCCAAAGGGCTGGGATTACAGGTGTGGGCCACCGCACCTGTAATCTTTTTTGATTTTAGATATTTGACTTGTACTTATTCAGTTAAGCATCCCTCATCTGAAAATCCACTCTGAAATGCAAACTCTTCCAATGGGCATTTCATGCATTTCATCCGAGCTCATGCCAGTACGCAAAAAGTTTCAGATTCCGGAGCGTTCTGATTTTGGATTTTTGCAGGAGGGATGCTCTGCCTGTAAGTGCCAGGCAGCCTTCCAGCTGCTGGGGAAGTAGCTGGAAACCAGAGGACAAGTCCCACTGCCTCAGATCCCTGTGGGGACAGAGTAGATGGGAAGCAAAGGTGTGCACGAGACCACGCCAGACACACGGATCGCACGGAGCGAGATCTGGCCGCATGGAGAGCCAGGAGGAGCAGGCGGGGAAGGGCCTGGCGGTGGGAGAGCTCCAAGTGTCTGCAGCAGAGCAGGTGGTGCAGCCACGGCCGGGGCAGCACAGTGAGAGGCCAGAGGGGAAGCTGGGCCGGTCCCGCAGGCTCTGCAGGCCCTGGCTCGGGCTTTCACCTGCAAGCAGGAAGGTGCTGTGGGTCTAAGCACATGAGGTGTTGGTTTCAGCTCCAGCTGGGCAGGAGGCTGGGCCGTGGGAGGAGGGGACAGGCAGGGGACAGGCAGGAGGCTGGGGCGGTGCTGAAATCTGTACCCATTGGCTTTGCCATGCTTCCCACAGAGCTGGGTCCGGCCGTTCCTGACTTTGTGGACCGTGGAGGGGTGACACTGTGGGCTTAGTCCCGCGGCCGGCTCTTGAAAGGCCCAAGGCCTCTGCCTGGTTCTTGGAGCCACTGCACTGCAGGGGTGGCCACTGCCTGAGGATTCTGACCCCGGGACCACTGTGTGGGGGACCTTGGGGAGACCCCCACCAAGCCAGGGAGTGCCCAGCCAGCAACTGGGCCAGTGGTTTCCCACGTCCGGCCCAGTCACCCTCATAGGACACAGCCCTGGCCAGCGGCACAACACGAGAGACCCCAGTGAGGACCCCCCAGCCAGGCCCCCTGAGTCCCTGACCCCAGCACTGTGAACAACGTAGTGGAGGTGTCATTTCAAGCTATTGGCTGTGCTGGGACAGAGGACCCTGATGCAGAGACCGGGACGGTGGCTGGACCACCGTGGGGCTGGGTGGGTGGGAGGCGTTTGGCTTCAGCGTGTGGTCTTGGCAGAGGTAGGTGGGATCTGTCCGTTTCTACCTCCTGCCCACCAGGCCTGGTTCCAGGTTGGTGGCATGGCCACGGCGGGACTCGGGGCCCCGCTGAGCTACTGGTCAGCCTTGGCTGAGAACCCCCTGCCCTGCCTCTTTGGGGCTGCCGCCAGCAAGGGGGTGGGGGGCTCCATGCGGACCCCTGGGTGTTGGGGGCTGGCAGGGGTGGGCCAAGGCAGTAGCACTAGGCAGCAAGGGAGCGTCAGGGCCCCGGGCTATAATCCCTCAGGGGCCATTCTGCGCCCTCTGGCCTTGACCCCCGGGGTGTGGGGCCCTTCCCACACTGGGTGCTGCCGGCCATCAGTCTTTTTAGAGGCCTCTCCTGCTGTAGGAGCCCACTGTGGGGTGGGGAGGGAGGACCCTCTGCTGCCCCCCTCCCTCTAGGGATGAGGTCTAAACTCCAGAGACCTGACCGGGCCCCCTCCCTTCCTCTCTCGGCCTGAGCTCTCCTTCCTCAGGGTCTGCTGGATTTGAGTGGGGGTCTCAGGCTGGGGGCACTGGCTGCGTCTGTGGCCTGTTGTCCAGCAGAAGGCTCTGTCCGGGATCGGGAAGTGGCAACGCGTTCCTCAAACCACAGACAGTCGTGTTTCCAGAGACGGCTGCCGCCGTGTCCCCACGTGCTCCTCCAAACCTCAGAACCCGGGACCTGCACCCCTCCCCACATCTGGAGATGGCCCCTGCCCTGGCTCGAAGCTGGGTGGGCTGTGGCTCACCTGTAACCAAGAATCCTTCTCACTCGCGAGGATGGGGTGGGCTGTTACTAAGTTCCAGGTGGCTCGTTAGGCAGCCGGGAGCCGGGACACTCGGATCCCCCGGGCATGGGGGCCTCTCTGGGAGGCCAGGACAGAGTTGCTGACCAGGTTTCCAGGGCTCTGGGGCCAGGCTGCTAGGGCGGTCCTGCCTGGGAAGGCCACCCACCTGCCCCGAGCTGGCCTTAATCATTAGGCTGGCCTGACGTCCTTTTAGAGAACAGCTCAAGCCGTGCTGGGAGCCAGTCAGCGGCGGTCATGAGAGCAGCCATTTGCACTTGGCAAACTTGGAGTGGCGCAATGAATACGTCCTCTCCTTGAAAAGGCCAGGGCACCTCACTGAGCTCTGGCCTTGGGTCAAATATAACTTAAGCTGCAGAAAAGGGAAAACGATGGGAAGTGAGTCTATTTTCTTCTCTGGACACTCCTGCCTGGTCCCCAGAGACGCCACCGTGACCAGGTTCTCACATGTGACAGCCCTGCAGCCCCGTCCTCCAGTGGGGTGGGAGCCGTGCCCTCCCCAGCCTGGCTGTGGCCGTGACTTTGGGAGAGGGTCCCGGGTGTGTGTTTGCTACAGTGAGGGCAAGGGGCCCCTGACTTCCTGGGGGAGGGGACATCCTTCACCAGAGGCCACCACAGCCGACCTTCCGCACTGTCCTTGCAGGGGCCTGGTGGGGAGCCTGGACAAATGGCCGTGTCACCCTCTGCAGCCTGAGGATGGGGCGGCAGCTCCGCCGGCCCCAGGACACTTGCCAGGACCCCAGGGCACGGGAGACGGAGCTGGTGGTGTGGCTCATCCGAGAGGGAGCTGCTGCCTCAGGGCTATGGGACGGGACACCCTTGGCAGAGGGTGGAGAGGTGCAGGGCCAGGAGAGCACCAGGAGTCTGTACCCGTAGAGCTGGGGAAGCACTTTGGGCAGGGACAGATCCTGAGGCGGTTCTCAGGCAGAGGCCTAGCTGCCGGGGTGGGGAGGGGGGTACACCTGGGACCGGGCTTCTCCAGCTGGGGTCCCTCAACAGCAGCATCCACGTCACCTGGGAGCACGTCAGGAATGCAGACTCCCTGGCCCCACCAGCCTTGAGCCAGCCTCGGGGAGCCCCATGCCAGGTGTAGAGACCCCGACCATGCCAGGTGTGTGTGGGGGCATCCTCGGGCCCCTGGGGCTGAGTGACTCTGCCAGGGGCCGTGGGCGGAGCCGCAGCGCTGCCTGAGAGCTCGGGGCCCACCCTGCTCCTGGATTCTGCCCCAGTTCCGGATCCCAGGGCTCCTGGCGACGGCTCTGGCACAGAGCGGAGCAAGAGAGACCCCTAGTGGCCAGAGGGTCAGTCCCGTCCTCCAGCCACCAGGACGGGCACCACGCCCTTCCCAGAACTGTCCCTGTGCCAGGGGTGCAGGTGCCGAGGCCCAGGCCCTTCTCTCTGCTGGAGGAGAAATCACAGAGACTCAACCTCAGGGAAACTGGGTCCTGGCCCCAGACCCACGGGGGCCCCGGGTTGTGCATGGCGGCCGTGAAACGAGGGGAGAGCCTCACCCACGCCTGGTCGGGGGTGCTCCACAGCTCCCTGGGGTGGGGCAGGGCTCCCCAGACCCCGGGCCTCCTCCCGGCTCCCACAGCCTCTGCCCTGCCCTGCGTGCGACCCGGGCCTAGGTGGGGTCTGCCTCCTGCCTGGGTCTCCAGGGGCTCTGTGACCTGCTGTTCCCTGCACGCCGGCACCTTCAAGCCCCAGAACACACCTTCTCCTGGAAGCTGTCACCTGCTCTGTACGCCGGGACAGGCCTGCAGGGCGGGACCCCAGCTACTGGCCTTCCCCCGAAGGTGGCTGGATTTCAACACTCGCTCCCACTTCCGAAGCCAGAGCGTGGAGCCCAGAAACAGCGGCTTGCAGAGGGATGGACCACCGCAGCCTGGACGGAGGCCCCAGACCCTCCACTCCACTGTGGTCGCTGGAGGAGCCCCCGGTTGAGGGATAGTGTAGAAACCTCAGCCAGTGTCCTTCGAAATCACCGAGCACGGGGCGGCAGCTGGGACAGGGTGTGGCGGGTCCCGGGCTGCAGGGAGGGCCCTTGGGGGAAGCGCCTTGGTGGGGGGAGACCCTGAGGTCTTCCCGGGAGCTGAGGTGGGAACACTGGAGGGGCCTCCGGGGCGCCTGCCGCAGGAGGACGTCCAGGTGCGTGGACGCAGAGACTCCCGTGGGCTGGGGTCGCGGTTCTGAGCTGCAGGACCCCAGGTACCCACTAGAGGGTAGCAGCGCTCTGTGGCCCTGGACCACCGACCACAGCCCACTCCGGAGAGCAGGGCCAGGACGGGGCAGGAGCTGGGTTACCCTCCGGAGTCAGCAAGGGTGGGCAGGCAGCCCCTCACCAGCCTCTTAGGCTCCTGATACCTGACAGGACTGGCAAGAAGGCCGCCAGGACGACCTGCCGTACCCTCAGCGCCCGGCACAGACAGGGCTGTGGTCTCTGGGCCAGAAACCCCAGGTCCTGGTGCTGGAGCCCAGCTTGTCTTCTGGGAACCTCCTGCTGCTCTGGAACCTCAACGTCCTAAAACAGCCCAGGCAGCTCTGCAGGACAGCCTACAGTGGTTAACATGGCACCCCCAGACCCCCACTGACACCCCAGACCCCCACTGACACCTCAGACCCCCACTGACACCCCCAGGCCCCCACTGACACCCCAGACCCCACTGACACCCCAGGCCCCACTGACAACCCCAGGCCCCCACTGACACCCCAGGCCCCACTGACACCCCAGACCCCACTGATATCCCAGGCCCCACTGACATCCCAGGCCCCACTGACACCCCAGACCCCACTGATATCCCAGGCCCCACTGACATCCCAGGCCCCACTGACATCCCAGGCCCCCACTGACATCCCAGGCCCCACTGACATCCCAGGCCCCCACTGACACCCCAGGCCCCACTGACACCCCAGGCCCCACTGACATCCCAGGCCCCACTGACATCCCAGGCCCCCACTGACACCCCCAGACCCCCACTGACACCTCAGATCCCACTGACATCCCAGGCCCCACTGACACCCCAGGCCCCACTGACACCCCAGGCCCCCACTGACACCCCAGACCCCACTGACATCCCAGGCCCCACTGACACCCCAGGCCCCACTGACACCCCAGACCCCACTGACATCCCAGGCCCCCACTGACATCCCAGACCCCACTGACATCCCAGACCCCACTGACACCCCAGGCCCCACTGACACCCCAGGCCCCACTGACATCCCAGGCCCCCACTGACATCCCAGGCCCCACTGACATCCCAGGCCCCCACTGACACCCCAGGCCCCACTGACACCCCAGGCCCCACTGACATCCCAGGCCCCACTGACATCCCAGGCCCCCACTGACACCCCCAGACCCCCACTGACACCTCAGATCCCACTGACATCCTAGGCCCCACTGACACCCCAGGCCCCACTGACACCCCAGGCCCCCACTGACACCCCAGACCCCACTGACATCCCAGGCCCCACTGACACCCCAGGCCCCACTGACACCCCAGACCCCACTGACATCCCAGGCCCCCACTGACATCCCAGACCCCACTGACATCCCAGACCCCACTGACACCCCAGATCCCACTGACACCCCAGGCCCCACTGACACCCCAGACCCCACTGACACCCCAGACCCCACTGACATCCCAGACCCCACTGACACCCCAGACCCCACTGACACCCCAGATCCCACTGACACCCCAGACCCCACTGACACCCCAGATCCCACTGACACCTCAGACCCCACTGACACCCCAGATCCCACTGACACCCCAGACCCCACTGACACCCCAGACCCCACTGACATCCCAGGCCCCCACTGACATCCCAGACCCCACTGACACCCCAGGCCCCACTGACACCCCAGGCCCCACTGACATCCCAGGCCCCACTGACACCCCAGATCCCACTGACACCCCAGGCCCCACTGACACCCCAGACCCCACTGACACCCCAGACCCCACTGACACCCCAGATCCCACTGACACCTCAGACCCCACTGACACCCCAGATCCCACTGACACCTCAGACCCCACTGACACCCCAGATCCCACTGACACCCCAGACCCCACTGACATCCCAGACCCCACTGACACCCCAGACCCCACTGACACCCCAGGCCCCACTGACATCCCAGGCCCCCACTGACACCCCAGACCCCAGTCGGACACCCATGCACCCCTTGACTGACACCCTCAGACCCCCAGCCAGACACCCCCAGACCCTGTGGCCCACATCCCAGACCCCCTGGCCCCCAGACTCCCCAGCAGGAAACCTCAGACCCCCTGGCCGACACCGCAGACCCCCTTGCCCACACCCCTAGCCTTCTTGGCTGTCACCCCCAGACCCTGTGACCCCCGGCTGGACTCCCCCAGATCCCATAGCCAATACCCCAGACCCTCTGGTCAGTGGAACTGACTGGCCAAGCCCTGTCCGAGGAGGCAGTTCCTCCCAAGCTGCTCCTTTCCACAGTCAGGGCCGGCCAGGGCAGAGCCTGGCGTCCACATCCCTCCTCCACTCACCACACAGGCCGTGGGGCAGCACTTCAGTTTTGTTTGTGATTAAATGAAGCTGCCTTTTGAAAAATGCTGGCTCTTCACCGTCTAGGCAGCAAATTATCTTAAAGTGGATGTTCTTTGTTCTGGGAAGTCACTTGATTTGCTGAGTGTGCGTGTGCCTGTGTGTGCGCACCTGCATGTGTGTGTGTGAGCCTGTGTGTGTGTGAGCCTGTGTGTGTGTGTGGGTGTGTGGGCCTGTGTGTGTGCGCATGTGTGTGTGCATGTGTGTGTGTGGGCCTGTGTGTGTGTGAGTGCCTGTGTGTGTGTCTGTGTGTGCCTATGTGTGTGGGGGCCTGTGTGTGTGTGTGGGCCTGTGTGTGCACGTGTGTGTGTGTGGGGGGGGGCTGTGTGTGTGTGCGTGTGTGTGTGCATGTGTGTGTGTGTGGGCCTGTGTGTGTGTGCGCGTGTGTGTGTGTGGGCCTGTGTGTGTGCATGTGTGTGTGTGGGTGCCCGTGTGTGTGTGGGGGGCTGTGTGTGCACGTGTGCACGGGTGCGTGTGGGCCTGTGTTGTGTGTGTGTGTGGGTGCCCGTGTATGTGTGGGGGGGAGGTGTGTGTGTGCACATGTGCACGGGTGCATGTGGGCCTGTGTTGTGTGTGTGTGGGGTTCTAGACCCTGGTTACGTGCTAGAACCACCCGACAGCTTTGAGAAGTACAAAGCCCTGCACCGCCACCCCAGAGGTGCTCCCTGAACTGGTCACAGGGGCCTGGATCAGCCCTTCTAGACCCCCCAGGGGGTCCACCCTGCAGCCCTGGGAGGACGACAGGCCCAGGGAGGAGTGGCCTGTACTGCCCGGGGGTGGGAGGAAGCAGGATGCCTTGGGGGTGACCCAAGGCCCCCCTGCGGACCGAGGGCCAGGCCAGGTCCCTCTAAGGCTGGGGTGTGGTGTGGCCGCCTCCTCCCAGGCTCCTCGGTGGACAAGAGTTCGGTTCCCATCCCTGCCTCCGCGGCTCTAGAGCTCGATCCCACGCTCTAGGTGGTGAGAAATCCCAACTCAGTCATTGCTGGGGTTTCCTTTCTCTACGGCTTGAATCACATCCCCCAAAAAGGTCCTTTGCCATCCTCACCCCCGTTCCTCCACACGTGGCTTCACGGGGACAGAGCTGCTGCCGAAGTAACTGGCTCCGGAGTGGAGCGTAGACCAGTGTGACCCTGTCCTGACATCAGGATTTGGACAGATGTGCTCACAGGGAGGATGCTGGGGGAAGGCGAAGGTGTTGACCAGCCTGGGAGCGGCAGACACGGGCCCTGGACGATTCTCCCTCAGGGCCTCAAAGCACCCGGCCCTGCAGAGGCCCCACCCTCGGCTCCCAGCTCCAGGTCTGCAGGATTAGTCCGTGTTAAGGCGGCTTCTGAGGGGCTGTGATGGCGGCCCCGGGACGCACGTGGCTGGGCTCCTGTCGCCCTGAGCTGGGGAGGGGATAGGGTGAGACTCTGGGGCGTCCATCAAGGAGGGTGAGGGGGGCTTGGCAGTGTCTCCCGCCTCCGTGCTGTCCTGGGCTCGGTGTGCGGGCCCCAAAGCCTCATTTTCTGCACTACACACGCATCCTCTCTGGGTGCCTCCCCGAGCCCCCATGTACCACCCGCCACGTGCACGCAGCTGAGCATCCCCTCTGGTTGACGGTTCCTTGCCCATCCTCTCCTCTCACCCTGGTGTGGATGGTGAGCTCCGGGGGTTCAGGGGTCACCACGGAGGTGGGGTGTGGGCGTCCCCTTGGTGGCCGGGCTTAGTTTGGCGCCTGCCTCGGCGCCCGCGTCTCCCACACACGTGGCCGGACCTTGTTCGTGACACCACACAGATGTCCGTGGCCTTCCCGGCTCCGCTCCCTGTTTTGGCCAATCCGTGTGAGGCACCAGAGCCTCAGGTGATTCCAGCAGAGGCAGGTGTGTGGCGGTTACGGAGGCCACCCGGCAGCCAGATGTTCTGCCGTCACCCACAGGACGGTGGCAGCTCTGGGTTCCATCCCTGAGCCGGGCAGGTGGAGCAATGGAGCTGCGCCGTCCTCCTCTCTCGGGGCAGCGCTGCTGGGACTTGGCCACACTCCTGCCAGGGACCCCGGGCTCCCTCCATCTGACTGACCTTTGCCCTCCAGGGCCTGGAAAGCCAGGGTGGAGATGGCACCGCGGCTCTCTGCGTTCTGCTGCTGAGGGGGTTTGGGGGCACAGGTCCCCACTGACTCGGACGCCCAAATCCCAGGGAGAAATCGATCCTGTGTCCAGGACCCAGCAGGAGGAGCGGATCAGGGCTGGCCCCACAGCTCCCATCCCCCGGGCCTGCCCCTACCTCTCCCGCCCAGAAGCCCCCCACAGGCTGCAGCAAAGGCAGGGCCTGCTCCCGGCCCCTCCCAAATGTCCCCCAGCCTGCTGGCCTTTGGTATCAGGAAGGATTTGTGGGGTGGCTGCAGTGACGCCTGTGAGGGAGGTTCAGGCTTAGAGACGTGAGGGGCTGGAGGGGGCAGGCAGGGCTCGGGACCAGAGGCAGGGACATGGGATGCAGGGCTGGGCAGGACAGGTTCTGAGCGAGAGGCAGGGAGGGCGAGGGCGAGTGCAGCCTGGAAGCCCTCCCTGCGTCAGGGGTGCGGCCCGTCTGGGGACGGTGTGGACGGCAGAGAAACCGGCGGTGCTTGGGCCTGCGCTGAGCTCACTGAGGGGCCTCTGTGGGGCTCCTGCCTGGCCCGGCCACCCCCAGGGCTGGTGGCTCAGCAGAGAACGGGGCCGGCTGACTGGACGGGGCTCCATGTGGGGTGGGGTTGAGTGTGTCATAAAACAACAGGTCCCGTGACACGACTTGTCATCAGCAGCAGGTGAGCTCTGAGCAGTGTTCTGAACTCACTTGGCCCCCAGGACACTTGTGAGGGGCGTGCTATCATGGCCCACGTCACAGGTGAGGAAACTGAGGCACACAGGCTCCAAGCCCCTCAGCCGTTACTCGCTAGACTGTGGGCAGCCCCTCGGGGCTCCGGGTGGTGCTGGCCCTGGGGTCCATGTTCTGGCCCGAACCGGGGTCTGAGCCTCCCAGGCCCTGCCTGCTCCCCTGGGGCCGTGTGGACATTTGGCCCTGGTGGTCCTCCCTGAATGTTCTGCCTCTTCCCACGCTGGATGCAGATGGAATTTCACTTCCTGTGGGGCCTTGTGACAGGTCTGGCTGAGTGGACGTGACCAGCGTCTCTCAGCAGTGGTCATGTGTGGCCCTCTGAGGACCTTTGTCCTGTCTGTCCTCTGGCAGGGTCCTGGGGTGGTGACAACGTGACACTGAGCTTGCTCTGCCATTTTGTGGGCCGGTTGTTCTGTGCCTCTGGATGAGGGGCTGTTTGTCACTCGGTGGGTCCCAGCTGACTGACGCATGGCTTTCCTGGAAGCAAACATCTGGGCAGAGACCAGGTGAGGGGGCTTGACCCCCTGGTACCTCTACCTGGGGATTTGGACCATTTCTTACAGCTGGTTCTATTCCCAACCCCTTGCTCCGCTGGTTTCCCCTCATTACAAAGGCAGCTGGGCTCTGTGCTGGGACCCCCACACAGGGGTCTCTGGTCTCCGGGCACGGAGGCCGATGGGGACTTGGGGCTGGGCTGTCTTCCCGGCCCCGCCACTATCTTTACTCGAGCCACAGAGAGTATGTTCTTGTCTTAACTTGTGAGGCTGCCCCTGGCCTGGCTCCAACCCAAATGTTCCTACTGGGGACATGTGGCCTCCCTGTGCCCCCACAGAGCCTCCGTCATGTGGCTGGTGGGGAGGGGCCGGGGCCGGGGTCCCATGCCTGTCCTATCTGGCACCACAGCTCTCTCTTTCCCCTCCTGCTGTTCTATTAGGGATCCTGATGGGTTAGGAGGCTTTGGTTACAAATAGCAGAAAAAAAAATCCCTCAAACTGGCTCCAGTGCCAAAAAGGCATTTATTGGCTCGTGGGATACAAAGAGCTGGAACTGGCCCCACTGCACCCACATCCATGGGAGGCTGTGAAACCTGCCCCACCCCCAGGCGGCCTCCCTTCGTTGACATCGTCCTCAGGAAACATCCTTGGCCAAATGGCTGCAATAGACACAGGCCCTGAGCCTCCCGCTTGGCTCGCGGCCCTCACAGCACCGGACTCCCTTCCGGGAGCTCAGGAGACTCTGCCGAGCCTCTGGGGCTGATGGCGGAGTAACTGCCCGACCGCCAACGCCACGAGGAGACTTCACCCAGCAGGAGAGCCCTTCGCATCACGGCCCCGCCCTCACGGGAGGGGTGCAGGCACCTCGGGGGCGCTGGGGCCATCTCAGGGCTTGCCCGCCACACGCGGCTTGTGCTGGAGGAACCACCCCCTGTATGACGTGCGCGGTCGAAGGGGTCGAGCCACCGCCCACACCAAGCATCAGTGGAACGGGTGCTGGGGCCGCACAGGTCCCCGCTGTTGGATCATCAGCCACGGGAATGAAGGCTACGACCCGACTGAGCGCACGACGGCTCCTGGGGGGGCCTGTGGGGCAGGTGACGGCTCCCGGGGGGGCCTTTGGGGCGGGCGATGGCTCCTGGGGCTGCCTGTGGGGCGGACGACGGCTCCCGGGCATCCAGGTGCATTTTGGACCCTGCTGGGCATCGCGCAGGAGCCAGGGAGTGCGTGCCCTGGGGAGGTGGGGGGAGGTAAGAGGAGGGAGGTGGGAGACGGCCCCCCCCACTGCCGATGGATCCTGGAGACGGTGACGCTGTGCGGGGCTGC
Organism: Homo sapiens; assembly: GCF_000001405.40. Taxonomy (NCBI): domain Eukaryota; kingdom Metazoa; phylum Chordata; class Mammalia; order Primates; family Hominidae; genus Homo; species Homo sapiens. The sequence continues at coordinate 132,407,129 of NC_000012.12, read as the reverse complement.
GTGGCTGCAGCTGTGGGCCTGGGGCTGAGTGGAGGCAGGGACATGACACCGGATGGCCCTCGCAGTGGACGTGGCTTCTCTTCTGGTGCTCCTGTGGCCTGGTGACCTGCTCTGCAGGGCTGCCTCGCACAGGTGAGCAGGCCGGACACGGCCGTCACGCGGGAGGTATGGTTTGCGCGACGCCGAGGGTTTGGCCCCAGAGCTGGGCAGTGGACAACCCGTGCTGCAGTGGCCGCTGCCCCGCGTCTGTGTCATGTCTCATTCCCATTTAACAAAGAGCAGGGTCTCTGAGTGTCGGGCGTTCTCGGCGGAGCTGAAGGTGCCCGAGAAAGGGGTGGCTGCTGTTTCTTCTCGTCCCCCAGGGAGCTGCAGATGGCAAGGTGCTCCTGAGCTGCGCCTGCTGGGAATGTCGAGGGCGGCGTCCCCTCTGGGAATGTTGAGGGCGGCGTCCTGGCTGGGAAAACGTCGAGGGCGGTGTCTGCACTGGGAACGTCGACGGCGGCGTCTGTGCTGGGGATGTCGAGGGCGGCGTCCCCCAGCTCAAGGCGGCTCAGCTATGAAACCAACCCAGGAAAGCCCGGCTCATTGCTGTGGGCCATCTCTTACCCCCAGGGCTGGAGACCCCGTCTGCTGTGGTGCTTGGAGCTTGGGGGAGGGAGATTTTAGGCCCCTTGGCCCCTCTATTCGGGACGATCAGGGGGCCTGTGTTTTCTTCTCCCCAGGCAGGGGGGCCTTTGTCTCCACACGGTGGGTCATTCTGCCCACCTGCCCCATGGTCCTGTTCACGGGCCTCTCGTCTCACTCTTCTTGGGGTCTGTGATTCAGGCAGGATGTGGCTGGACTTCCCTGGGGGACAGAGCCTTGGGTCAGGCCCACAGGGCTGGCAGTGGGGGAACGGGCCGGGGTCAGGGTGGCCCGCAGGTCATCCCCTCTGGGGCGCAGGTCATTGCCGCATTCTCGGCTTTGTCTTCTGAACAGAAAAGGGCGTCACCTTCCACAGGGCTGGACGGCGGCTTCCTCAGCTCCGGTGCAGGCATCGGGGGCTCTGTGGGAGAGGTGCCAGACAAAAGGGTCCTCCAGGGGCCAGGACTGGGCAGGAGCGAGGCCCCAGCCCAGGGCCCTGCGGGTTGGGTAGGTGCTGCCTTAGACACGCCTGGAGCCCCATGTTTTCCCAGCACACCCCTGCCACGTGGGGTGGGAGCCCCAGGCCCCGAGGCTGCCTCTGCTGTCCCGAGAGCCTAAACCTGCCTGTCAGAAACAGCCCATCTGTATGTGCTCAGCCCTCACTAGGCACAGGCCGGGCCTCGGGCACCTGAGCTGCACCGTGGCAGAGAGGAGGCAGCCACTCCCCTTCCTGCCCAAACGAGGTCCAGCGCACCTGGCATTTTTGCCGTCTGCTTTAAAAAACTTATTTATTTTAAAAAATGTGCTGCAATACACGTAACATAAAATCGACCCCGGGGCCATTTCAAGTGCACAGCTCCGTGGCGTGAAGCACATTCCCTCCGTCGCGGTGCCCAGAACCTTCCCATCTTCCCAGGCAGAAACCTGGTCCCCACGAAACACGGCGCCCCATCTCCAGCCGTTGGCTTCCCTTCTGCTTTCTGTCTCTGAGAGTTTGACTGCAGCTCCACATGTGCCCGCCCCAGAAGGGAGAGGGGAGGAAGTGGAGTTTCTGGGAACCCAGGAGAGCCAGGGCTGGGGACAAAGGGCCTCCAGTGGACAGGAGCTGCGGCAGGGATACAGCCCCAAGGCATGGGGCAGGGAAGCACCCACCTCTCCATCCTGCCGGTGACCCCCACGGGCTGGACCCAAGGAGAAGTCGGAGAGCGAGGACCCCGGCTGCTGCAATCAGGGAGCAGCTCCCCAGGCCAGACCAGGGCAGCTGAGGGAGGGCCCTCGGCGGGGACAGCTGGGCCGCCTGCTTCCCAGGACCTCCCAGTACAGCCTCTGTCTCTGTGCACACACCCGGGGGACCCGGCGGTGCTCCACAGGCAGCCCCTCCTGAGAAGGCCAGGGACCCGAGTCCTCCACGGCCATCGCGGCATCATGGCCTGGCTGTTGGTGCCCCTGCAGCTGCTGCCATCTGCTCTTGGCCCTGCTGGCTCTGAACGCCCCCGCTCCCGCCTCTGCACGCCCCCCCCTGCCGGCTCTGCAAGCCCCACCTCCCGGCTCTGCACGACCCCCTTCCCAGCTCTGGACGCCCCCCCCGCCGGCTCTGCACGCCCCCTCGTTAGCACAGAGCCAGGGAAGGAGACACAGGAGCGTGTTTATCAAGCAGCATTTTACCTGCAGAGCTGCTGGGAGCAGGAGGTCCTCAGAGGGGGCTGAGGGTGGGGGGCTCCTGCCTGCAGTCTGGGCAAGGGACCCTGTAGCCTCGTGGGTCCTCAGGATTCTGGGTCCACCTTGGCCTCTGGCCTAGCCCTGCTGGGGCCTGGTGGTGAGGGTGGGGGTGGCTCCGTGGTCCTGGGCCACTGATTTGCTCCTTACTGGAGCAGAGTGGGGTTGCTAGGGCTCCAGGGCAGGGCGAGTGGTCCCGTTTGGACGCAGGAGCCTCAGAACAGCAGAAGCTCTTGGGGGACCCCGGGGCCTATGGACACAGCCTTGTACCCTGCAGAGACAGCCCCTCAGGATCCACCAGGGAGGAACCCACAGACCCTAGTGTTTCCCCAGACAGTAGACGTGGCTCAGCCTGTCCATGTCCTGACCCGCAGCCAACCCAGGTGGCTGACCCTGGCTGGGGAGATGCCCTCCCACCTATGCTGTGACTGTGGCACTGGCCACAGGCTTCTGGGTCAGATTCAGCCCCTGTGGCACCTGCAGAAGGTCAGAGGTTGGGAGGCGAGAGGTCGGGGTCTCCGTCCCCCAATGTCATTGGCCTGGCTGTGTCCCTGCATAGGCGGCCTCTCCTCCCACACCTGCAGGCTGGGGGATGGCGGTTCCTGCCGCTCTGGGTCCCCTCCGTGGGAAGAGCCTCCGCCTCACTCCGTGGTCCTCACTGGGCCCTTAGCCCTGCTTGGCGGATTTCCGCATCTTCACTGGGCCCTGACGGGCACCAAAGCACAAGACCCCCACGAGAGTGGCGGCTGCAGTTCCCGCCGTCAGCGCCCGGTCTCCAGGTGACAGCACTGGTCCTGTCGTGGGCTGGGAGCTTCCCCAGGCCCCCTCGCCTCCCCAGGCTCCCTCACTTCCCCATGCCCCCCTCGCCTCCCCAGGCCCCTCACCTCCCCAAGTTGTGCCCTCCCTCCCTGGCTCCTGGGCGAGGTCCTGGGGTTCGAATGCATCCACCCATTCTCTCAGGGAACGAGGCTCAACCCTCCATCCATCCCCACCAGGCAGCCGCTGGCAACTCAAGGGCAAGGCCGTTCTGTGGGACCCAGAGTCGTTCCGCACAGGGGTCCGTCGGGGCCCGGGACTGAGCAGGGCGGGAAGTCGGCCTGGCCCTGGTGGCATCAGACACTGTCCTGCCTCCCTGATATGGTGACACCGGTTTTAAACATGTCAGCCAACCCGATCGATTTCTAAGACGAAGTTTTCTTTTCTTGTACTTTGGAGCAAGGGCTTTTGTTCTTTGGTCTAAAACATTTTCAAGGTCCTGGGAAAGCTTTGTTTTCTGAGCCCCGAAGACCACAGCTCCGCACCAGGGCCAGGCGCCCTCAACACGAGGGTTCTGTTGCCTTTAAATGCTGTTTGTTTACCCTGATGGCTCTATGAGGCGGGCCTCCTACTTGGGTCCCTGAGATCCTGGAATCCAGCAGGGTCCCTGGCCGCCTCCTGGAACACTTGCCTCACCCCACAGGGCTCCTGGGCCCCACGGCAGCTCCAGCGGCTGCCTGGGGTCCCCCTGGGCAAACCATGCTACCCCTCCGGCTGCACCTCAGGACCTCCCGCCCCCTCTCTCCTTCCCAGAGTCCAGCAGCTGGTCCCACAGCATCACTGTGAGTGCAGGGCCGGAGCCCTCACCCCGCGCCTCCCACCACCTGCCCCTCCGCAGACTCCACACCGTGCACCCGGCCCTGCGGCTCCTGGCCTTCCTTGACCTCGCAGATGCCCTGCTCTCTGGTCTGAGGGCTGTGATTCCTCCCAGACGCCACCTCCTTCCAGGGAGAATTCAGTTTCTTGTCCATGGAGAAGCTGCTCCTGGGAAGGAGGACGCCAGGGGTCCCTTCATCTCCTCCTCGGCCGCCTGGCAGGGCCTCCTGCGCGTCCCTGCTCCCTCCTGCCTCCACGGCTGTGATGCAGACGCCTCCCACGTTTACCAAGTGTGCAGAACAGACTGGTGGTCTTTTTTTTAAAATTAACTACATTTTACTGATCCCTGGGTGAAAGATAAAACACATAAGCAAATCTCCTGTCACCTCCCTGAAATGCAAAGCCGGCCGATGCGTGCTCAGCATGGACGTCCTTTCGGCCCCCGCAGTGGCCCCGGCTCCTCACTGCCCACCCCCCACAAGTTGGGGAGGTGGAGGCAGGGGCTTGGGTTGCAGCCTGTGAGGCCACATCAGGCCTTCTCCAGCCCCCTGAGGCCACAGCTGCCCAGCCAGACAGGAAAATCTGTCTGTGACTTTGGTCCTCACCTGGGCAGCTGGGGATGGGACCCTCACTGGACATCAGCTCTCCTCAGAGGTCTGCCCCCTCCCACAGTTGGCAGAGCCCTCCATACACCTTTCATCTCCCTGGCCACATATAAGGTCCATGAGAACACAGGTTTTCTGCCTGGGAGGGAGCAGTTGTCCAGGATGGGTTATTAGATGAATGGGTGGGTGGATAAGTGGGTGGGTGGTAGGTGTATAGGTGAATGCCTAGGTGGGTTGATGGATGGGTGGATGGTGGATGAATGGGTGGGTGGGTGGGTGAATGGATGGGTGTGTAGACAGGTGGATGGGTGTGTGGATGGATAGATGGATGGATGGGTGGGTGGATGAATGGGTGAGTGGATAGGTGGGTGGGTAGGTGTATGGGTGAATGGCTAGATGGATAAATGGGTGGATGGATGGTGGATGATGGGCGTGTGGATGGATAGATGGATGGGTGGGTGGGTGGATGAATGGGTGGATGGGGGGATGGTTGGATAGGTGAATGCCTAGATGGGTTGATGGATGGGTGGAGGGTGGATGAGTGGATGTGTGTTTGGATGGGTGGGTAGGTGGGTGGATGAATGGATCGGTTGGTGGATGAATGGGTGGGTGGGTGGGTGAATGGATTGGTTGGTGGATCAATGGGTGGATGGGTGGGTTATTGGATGAATGGGTGGGTGGATAGATGGATGGATGGGTGTGTGGATGAATGGATTGGTTGGTGGATGAATGGGTGGATGGGTGGGTTATTGGATGAATGGGTGGGTGGGTGGGTTATTGGATGAATGGGTGGGTGGGTGGGTTATTGGATGAATGGGTGGGTGGGTGGATAGATGGATGGATGGGTGGGTGGGTGAATGGATTGGTTGGTGGATGAATGGGCGGATGGGTGGCTTATTGGATGGATGGGTGGGTGGGTTATTGGGTGGATAGGTGAATGCCTAGATGGGTTGATGAATGGGTGGATGGTGGATGAGTGGATGTGTGTTTGGATGGGTGGGTGGATGAATGGATCGGTTGGTGGATGAATGGGTGGGTGGGTGAATGGATTGGCTGGTGGATGAATGGGTGGATGGGTGGGTTATTGGATGGATGGGTGGGTGGGTTATTGGATGGATGGGTGGGTGGGTTATTGGATGAATGGGTGGGTGGGTGGATGGGTGGGTGGGTGGATAGGTGAATGCCTAGATAGGTTGATGGATGGGTGGATGGTGATGAGTGGATGTGTGTTTGGATGGGTGGGTGAATGTGTGAGTAGGCAGGTGTATGAGTGGATTGGGACCAGTTTGGCTTGGACAGCCCAGCCTCCTCCTGTAGGGACGGCCCCTCCTCTGGTGGTTATTCGACGTCTTCTCCACCAGTTCGTTCATTCACTTGCTTATTCATTCTTCAAGAGGTGATTGAGTGGCAGCTTCTGGATTTTCAAGATAATGCAACACCCCACCACTCAGGTTCTCCTGCAGGAGGTCCCTCCTGAGAAGGAAGGGTCTGTGTCCCCTGTGAAACTGGGGAGATTTGGGATTTCGGTGGGAGTGAAACTAGACCTTCCAGGTGATGCAGCTTCTGCTTGGGGCTCCTAGAATGCAGCTGCCATTCTGGGATGAAGCCCAAGCAGCCCATGGAGAGGCCCTGGAGAGAAAAGGAGGCCCCGGCCCCCAGCAGGGAGAGAGCCAGGGCCAGCCCTGTTTACAGCAGGGGCCCCAGCAGGGAGACAGCCAGCGCCAGCCCTGTTTACAGCGGGGGTCCCAGCAGGGAGAGAGCCAGGGACAGCCCTGTTTACAGCGGGGGCCCCAGCAGGGAGAGAGCCAGGGACAGCCCTGTTTACAGCGGGGGCCCCAGCAGGGAGAGAGCCAGGGACAGCCCTGTTTACAGCGGGGGCCCCAGCAGGGAGAGAGCCAGGGACAGCCCTGTTTACTGCGGGGGTCCCAGCAGGGAGAGAGCCAGGGCCAGCCCTGTTTACAGCGGCCCCACCCCCACCGGGGCAGAGAGGCCCCTCCCGGCCACGCCCTGCCCAGACTGCAGATCTGTGGACACAGCACAGTGGTCCTCTGGGCTCTACGCTTTGGGTTCTCTGCTACACAGCAGGCTCTGGGCTTCCCACTGCACACCCGACCCATATGTGCCGGGAGCGGGTAGCGGAAAAGATGTCAGGAGCCCGCCGGGGTCTGGGAGAGGCTCAGGGGCCTCTGTGAAGCGTGACTTTGGCAGGGATCCGTAGGTCAGGCAGGGGCTGGCTTGGCTTCCGGGAAGCACCACACGGAGGCCGCGGAACGGCTTGTGCGAGGCCCGAGGCAGGAACACCCAGAGGCCGGGATGCAGCCAGGGCCAGAGGGCCGAGAAGAGAGGGGGATGGGCTTCCTCGCACCCGCCACTGAGCGAAGACCTCCAGGGCTAATTTGCTTTTCCGCTGCCTGGCGTGTGGCACAGCTGGCACTGGGAACCCCTGCTGAGAGCAGCCGTCGCTGGATTGTTAAACTCTGCAATTCTGTCCGTGTGTCTTCATGTTCTCATTCAGGCAAAGAGGGGTTTGGGGTGGGCTCCAACCCTCCCGTCCTGCTCTTTCCTCCAGCGATTTGGATGTGCTTGTCCAGGTTGCACTGGGGCGGGATGGGGGGCGCACGTCTCCCTCCCGCTGGGCTCCCTCGCACCCGGGCGTGGGCAGGCGGCAGTCAGAATATTCAGCGGTCAGGTGGCAGCTCCTCCTGACTCCCAGGCGTCCGGGAGCCCGCGGGTCCGCAGATGGTTCTGAGTGAGCCCGGGTTCCTGGAGACTCAGGCGTTGGAGGGGCTGGAGTCCTGGGGAACGGGCTTCCCGGCCTCTCCGTGGGGTGCCTGGGCGTCACCTCAGAGGGCACTGTGTTCCAGGAGGCCCGGGTAGACGCCACATCGCCCTCCAGACCTGATGTCACTCCCACTGAAGCCCCAAATCCTGTGGGCTTCTCAGGGAGGGGTGAGACCCCATGTCTCCCTGCAGGGAGGGCCTCTTGCAAAAGAACATGAGTGGTGGGGGTGCGTGGGGGCGGGAGCCGGGTGAGGCAGAAGTTCCTTATTTGGTTCCCAGCCTGCCACTCATTGGATGAGCCTCTGGAAAGTTCCCTGGATGCTGCATCCATGTTTCCCCTGATCAGGGTGTGAAGCACCAGGAAGGCCCTGGTGCAGGAGCCAAGCTCGCCGGAGCTGGTGCTGCTGAGCACATGCACTTGGCATCTGCTGGGGGGTGCTCCTCACCCTCCTCCTCACGGGGTCCGGGGGCTGGGCCTGGGGTCTGAGCCTGCGTCGTCCCCTTAGGAGGGCAGCTGGGATGTGGAGGGACGGGATGCGCTCAGCGGGTCAGGGCGGGGCGGGTCTGGCCTGACTTGGCTCCAAGAAGTTGGCGGCAGCTAAGTGTGGGCAGGGGCTGGGCCGGCACGCCTGCTGCCCCCTGACAGACCAGCGCCATACACTGTGAGAAAGAAGCATGAAGACAGCAGAACATCTGAAACCTTCGTGCCGACTCACATCCCCTGTGTTAACGTTTAGCGCATGTTTCTGGAGCGTCTGCTGGGTCCAGGGAACCCTCCAAGCACTTCTCGTGGAGGATCCCTCCCATCCCTGTAGCCGCCTCTGAGGCAGGTCTAGACCCGTCCCCATGGAGGCACCAAGAGGCCAGCAGCCTCACCCCCGGATCACACATCAGTGAGGGCTGGAGCCGGGACCAGGTGGAGGCGGGCGGCCCCACATCTGTGCCATGGATCACAGACTGGGCAGCCTCTGGAGCATTCTACGTGGCCTGGGTGGCTGCGCTGCCGTGGCAGGTGTAGCTGTACAGCAGCAGCGCCGACCGTGGTGGCTGCCAGGGGAGGCAGAACTGCCTGGTGTTCTGAGGTGGTGCTCAAGAACTCAGGTGTTTCCCAACAGCTGTTTCTGCCTTAAGTGGCAAAGTCACAGCTGGGAAACCTCAGTGCACAACACCGGGAGGCCCTGGAGGGACACGGCTGGAGCATGGACGCAGGCCACGGGGACACCGGTGGATGACCCACGCCAGGGTCAAAGGCCACGGGAATACAGGTGAATGACCCACGCCAGGGTCAAAGGCCACGGGAATACAGGTGGATGACCCACGCCAGGGTCAAAGGCCATGGGGACACAGGTGGACGACTCACACCAGGGTCAGAGACCACAGGGACACCAGTGGATGACCCACACCAGGGTGAGAGGCCATGGGGACACTGGTGGATGACCCACGCCGGGGTCAGAGGCCACAGAGAGAGTGCAGGGAAAACAGGAGCAAGAAGAGAAAGTCCCTGGCTGTAAGTGGAGCCCCCTCCCCTGCAGCCCTCAGCCTGGAGCCCTGGCAGCCAGTCACACCTGCCCCAGGCTGAGAAAGGGGGTTCCCATGAGAAACTGAGGGGCCAGGGCAAAGGGCCAAGACTTGCGTCCAGCAGGGTGGGTGCCGCCCTTGCTTGGTGGGTCCCTCTTGCCCACCGTGTAGACAAACGCCCGGAGACACAGGTGAAAGCCCACGAGGGGCCCTGGGGAGGGCGGCTGTGAAGACAAACGCCTGGAGACGCAGGTGAAAATCACCCAGAGACGCAGGTGAAAGCCCAGGAGGGTCCCCGGGGAGGGCGGCTGTGTAGACAAAAGCCCAGAGACGCAGGTGAAAGCCCAGGAGGGGCCCCGGGGAGGGCGGCCGTGTAGACAAATGCTCAGAGATGCAGGTGAAAATCACCCAGAGACGCAGGTGAAAGCCCAGGAGGGGCCCCGGGGAGGGCAGCTGTGTAGACAATCACTCAGAGACACAGGTGAAAGCCCAGGAGGGGCCCCGGGGAGGGCGGCCGTGTAGACAAATGCCCGGAGACACAGGTGAAAGGCCAGGAGGGGCCCCGGGGAGGGTGGCCGTGTAGACAAAAGCCCGGAGACGCAAGTGAAAGCCCAGGAGGGGCCCCGGGGAGGGTGGCCGCGTAGACAAAAGCCTGGAGATGCAGGTGAAAGCCCAGGAGGGGCCCTGGGGAGGGCGGCTGTGTAGACAATCAGAGACGCAGGTGAAAGCCCAGGAGGGGGCCCGGGGAGGGTGGCCGCGTAGACAAATGCCCAGAGATGCAGGTGAAAGCCCAGGAGGGGCCCCGGGGAGGGTGGCCGCGTAGACAAAAGCCCGGAGACCCAGGTGAAAGCCCAGGAGGGGCCCCAGGGAGGGCGGCTGTGTAGACAATCACTCAGAGATGCAGGTGAAAGGCCAGGAGGGGCTCCGGGGAGGGTGGCCGAGTAGACAAACGCCCAGAGACGCAGGTGAAAGCCCAGGAGGGGCCCCGGGGAGGGCGGCTGCGTAGACAAATGCCCGGAGACGCAGGTGAAAGCCCAGGAGGGGCCCCGGGGAGGGCGGCCATGTAGACAAATGCCCGGAGACACAGGTGAAAGGCCAGGAGGGGGCCCGGGGAGGGCGGCCGAGTAGACAAATGCCCGGAGACACAGGTGAAAGGCCAGGGGGGCCAGGGGAGGGTGGCCACAGCTGCTTGTTCACTGTGGTCTCACTTCTAAAACTTAGGGACACAGGTTAATTTCATAAAAATGTAAACGACAAGAAGAAGACCAGCTTTTAAAAGCACCAAATCTGTTTCTATTCAGGAAATGAATTCGTGAATTGTTTTATTTCTGCCTTTGCCTCTTACGGAGACTTCTCCTTCACACCTTGCTGGCCAAGCGAGGTGCTTGCGGGGAAGAGGATCGAGTGGGGCAGGCAGAGGTTTTCCTCTTCTCTAGATTTGGGGGTATGGGGATGGTTGCGGTGTAGCAGGGCGAGCCGCGGACAAAACCCCTCAGACACCGGGTTAAGGAAGGATTTGGCTTTATTCGGCCGGGAGCATCGGCAGACCCGTGTCTCAAGAACTGAGCTCTCCGAAGACAGATTCCCTGGCCCTTTTTAAGGGCTTACAAATCTAAGGGGTTCCACGTGAAAGGGTCGCGGTAGGTTGAGAGCACATGTGGTTAGAGTGGGGGGATAATCTTTTAACCTCAGGCCTCTGGTCATCAGTGGCACCGGCTGATCTTGCCACTGACTTCATTCCTGTTATTTTTCAGCTTTTACTTCCTCCTTCTCTTCAGAGACAGGAGACAATAAGAAAAATGGCCTCTCTCCTCAGTAGGGCTGTCCCAAGCACATGGGAGTGGCTGCAGGAGAAGGCCTTGCTGCTGGAGGGGCTGGGTCCCTGGAGATCCAGGGTCCGCGGAGGGGTGGGGACGCAAAGACCCCCGTGAGTCTCCTGCTGCCTCACGTTCCGCGGAGCTGCTCACTCGCTTGTTTCCTGAAGATGTTTGGTCAGTGTCTTGCTGCAACCTCCCGGTCTCGGCAGTGCCGCGGGGGCCGTCGCCTGCTCTGGGGAGTGAGACGGAAGGAGAATGTCCCACAGACGAGGCAGGAGATGGGGGCCGGGGTCCTCGGGCTTCTGACAGGCTGCGGGGGATTTGCCGGGTCCTCCCAGCAGGTGGGGTGGGCACCCAGGCCGCCTCATTTGGACGTTAAGGAAACGTGGGTGACTCCAGAGCTGTGAAGGACCGGGGCCCAAGGTCCAGGTTACAGTGTGTTTCTCTCCCACACACGCTTACCCAGGGCTGGTTTCAGTGTGATGCCGAGGCAGCATGGCTGCGCACTTCAGGTCTGAGCCCCCGGCGCTTCCCTGCCTTCACGTTCAGCTGGTGGTGGAGGCACTGGGCCCTTCTCAGGCTTCCTCTGCTCGGTGGAGGGCCACGCCACCCCTGCCGTGCCACTCCTGTTTCTGTGAACATGTGCATTTTGAATTACGCATATTCAAAGTGCCTGCACGTTTTGGGGGAGCGTGCCACTGCGTCACTGGACATGGGTGCGCTGGCCCCGGGGACAGGTGGTAGGAAACCAGCCAGAGCTGGCTGCGGGATCAAGCATCAGGCAGATTAGAGAGGAGCGCATCCTGCTCATTGGTGCTCATTTTTTTCACACATGGAACCACAGAACCCTCAAAGCCAGGACGATGCGGGTCCCAGGGCGCTGGCGTCCCTGAGATGCCGTATCTGTGGAACATGCAGGAGTGGGCCGATCGGGGTCTCCCTGCACACCCAGCCTTTACTTGGATGTCTCTTGTTTTGCCTCCTGGCATCCTTGGACCCTTCCTTTGGTAACAGGGCCCTGCGTCTTCCTCCAGGAACCTCCCACCCCGCAGGCTGCATCTGGCCCGAGAGGTGCTGGCTCCACCCCTCGCTCTGTAGGGCCAACGACCTGGACTGGCCAGTGAGCAGGTTTCTTCCCCCAGCTGCGTCGGTGGGTCAGAGTGAGCAGGTGACCCACGGGGCCGGGGGGGGCACAGGCTTCCCTGGCACTGGCTGGGGCTCTCCCAGAAAGCATGAGACAAGGGCCTAAGTGTTTGTAGCTTACTGGGAGGCGATCCCAGGAAGCACCAGGGGTGTCTGTCTGTGCATGTTTGAGTTCACATGTATGTAGGTGTATGTGTGTATATGTGCATGTTTGTGTATGCATGCATGTGTACCTGCATACATGCACAGGTGCATTTGTTCACATACATGCACACATGTGTATATGTATGTTCACAATCCATGCACGTCTGTATGTCTATGTGTGACTTCATGTGTGTGCATATGTACGTGCTCACATGTATCTATGCATACACATGCAGCCCATGTACGAGCATGTGCATTTGCAAGTGTGTATGTATGTGTGCACATATGTGTACATGTATGTGTTCATGTCTGGACGTGTATAGCTCTGTATCTGTGCACGTGTGTATGCGGGGCATGTGTGTATATGTGTGTATACAAGCATGTGTGTGGCATGTGTTTACATGTGTGTGGCATGTGTTTACATGTGTCCAGATGTGTTTGCATGTACATGTGCTTGCATGTGTATTCGTGTGTGCATATATGTGTATGTGTGCATATATGTGTGTGTACATATGCATATGGGTTTGCTGGAATGTCTGTGTGTCTGTGTGTGCATGTGTGTAGAAGTGTGTTTGGAAGTGCATGTGTGCATATATGTGTGTGTATGTACATGTGCATATGGGTTTGCTGGCGTGTCTGTGTGTCTGTGTGTGTAGAACGCCGTAAGGATGGAGTTCAGGATTCACTGCAGGCTGTGCACAGCTAAGCGGCTCCCCGGTTGCAACGCACTAGTCAGAGCTGGTCAGCATCACCTCCAGTACAGGTCTCTGTGGGAGGCCAGTGACGGCCTCTGAAGACCTCGGGTCTTAATCCATGGAGCCTGTGGCTGTCCCCGGGTGACTCAGCACCCACTGTCTCAGAGTGACTCAGCACCCACTGTCTCCGGGGTGACTCGGTGTCTACTGTCCCGGGTGACTCGGCGCCCACTGTCCCCGGGGTGACTCGGCGCCCACTGTCCCCGGGTGACTCGGCGCCCAGTGTCCCCGGGGTGACTCGGCGCCCACTGTCCCCGGGTGACTCGGCGCCCACTGTCCCAGGTGACTCAGCACCCGTTCTCTCTTGGATGACTGACTCGGCCTCCCCAGGGTGACTCGGCTTTCTCCTTCACTCTCCCCCAGTGATGCAGGACAGGGGAGCCCCAAACTGGGGCTGAGCCCGGGAGGCTTCTTGGCTTCACTCAGGAATGAATTCAAGAGCCAGCTGGTGGTGGGAGAAGCAGGTTTACAGAGGTGCAGGGTTGCAGCCCCCCCATAGGCAGGGCGTCGAGGGCAGCCGCACAGCACAGTTCTGCAGCCTCATTTATACCCACGCTTAATTTCGTGCAGATGAAGGGGCAGGTTAGGCAGACATTTCCAGAAAAAGGTGGTAACTCCTGGGTCGTGGGGTTGTTGCTATGGAAAGGTGTGGTCGCCCAACGGTAAACGGACCTGGCCCTGGTGGCCTGTCTCATGCGGAGGTGCTTTCGCCTCTCCTTGTTTAGTCAGTCCTCAGTCTGGTCTGGAGGCTCGGTCCCTGCCTCTGGCTCTGAGTCCCGCCTCCCATCTCTCCAGGGTGGCTCCCTGGTGAGTCAGCGCCCGTCCACCCTGAGGATGACCGTCCCCGTCCGTTTGCATGACGCCATCTCACAGTCTCTGTGTCTCACTGTCACTGAGAACTGAGCCCCTTTCCCTTCCCCATCCGGTGTTTTGAGGGGCCTCATGTTCTGCTCTTGAGCTGGCCAGAGCCTTGCCTCTTCCCGAACACAAGTTCTGACCGATGACCCTGGGCTGGAGCCACTTCCAGGAGGGTTTGGCTGCAACCTCTGCCGCCGTCTTGCCCCATGGGGGCAGCTTGTTTGAAACTGGAACTGGGAGAGCAGAGCAGGGCTGGGGAGGTGAGCATCCTCCCAGGTACACCAGGCTCTGTGTCCAGCACTCCCTGAGCCCACCAGCGTCTGGACTTTTCACTGACCTAAATCAACATATTTCCTTTTCTACTTAAGCCAGTCTAGGTTAGCTGCTGCCATCGCAGTGAAGATGGTCCAGTCGGATACGCCGCCTGAACCTCAGCACCACACATGGTTCCTGGAGCCCAAGTCAGTGGGATGTTTGTCATTTGGGTCCCCGGCACCTTCCTACAGGTAAGAGCATCTTCAGTGAGGGTCGTAGACCAGGCTGGAGCCGGTAGGTCCCCCGGGATACCTGCTGCTGGGCGCCATCTGCCGGCTCCACGGTCGTCCGACGCTGAGGCACTTTCTGGGCCCTGTGGCCCCCACGCTCCAGGGTCCACGCGGAGGATCTGAACTCAGAAACTTGAGGACTTCACCTTGCTACAAAGGCATCACAGCCCTGACATCACGCAGCTTTGATAATCCACCAGGTGTTTAATCACAGGGACAGAGCACACCTCAAAGTGGTTTACGCACACACACAAAGAGGAAATTCGCTGACAGGAGTTGAGATGAGAGTGACAGGTTATGGGCTCCAGGGGCGGCGCAGTCCAGGCATTCCCACGATGTCCTGTGGGCTGTGCCAGAACCCTGGGAAGAGCAACGTGGTCGGAGGGTCCCGGGGGAGAGTGGGTGGCGGAGGGTCCCCGGGGAGAGCAGGGTGGCCGGAGGGTCCGGGGGGAGAGTGGGGTGGTTGGAGGGTCCCGGGGGAGAGTGGGGTGGCGGAGGGTCCCCGGGGAGAACGGGGTGGCCGGAGGGTCCCGGGGGAGAGCGGGGTGGTGGAGGGTCCCCGGGGAGAACGGGGTGGCCGGAGGGTCCCGGGGGAGAGCGGGGTGGCGGAGGGTCCCCGGGGAGAACGGGGTGGCCGGAGGGTCCCGGGGGAGAGCGGGGTGGTGGAGGGTCCCCGGGGAGAACGGGGTGGCCGGAGGGTCCCGGGGGAGAGCGGGGTGGCGGAGGGTCCCCGGGGAGAACGGGGTGGCCGGAGGGTCCCGGGGGAGAGCGGGGTGGCGGAGGGTCCCTGGGGAGAACGGGGTGGCCGGAGGGTCCCGGGGGAGAGCGGGGTGGCGGAGGGTCCCCGGGGAGAACGGGGTGGCCGGAGGGTCCCGGGGGAGAGCGGGGTGGCGGAGGGTCCCTGGGGAGAGCGGGGTGGCCGGAGGGTCCCTGGGGAGAGCGGGGTGGTTGGAGGGTCCCGGGGGAGAGTGGGGTGGCGGAGGGTCCCCAGGGAGAGCGGGGTGGCCGGAGGGTCCCGGGGGAGAGTGGGGTGGCCGGAGGGTCCCCGGGGAGAGTGGGTGGCGGAGGGTCCCGGGGGAGAGTGGGGTGGCAGAGGGTCTCCAGGGAGAACGGTGTGGCCGGATAGAGGATGCCTGGGCCCCAGAGCCTGGGAGACTTGGAGGAGTGGACTCGTCATGGTGGCCCTGGGCCCTCGGCCTCTGCTCTCGAGGGAAGGAGAGCAAACGCCTCTCTCGTGGAGGCAACAGTTCTTCCAGGTCTCTATCACCTGCAGCCACCCCCAGTGTTAGAAAGTGTGATGGCTGGGCCCGGTGAGGGGAGATGGTCCCATGAGGCGTCAAGAGCGGCGTTTCGTCTGGCCTGTTGGGCGCCTGTGTTCCAGTGGCGGTGTTTGGGGTCTGGTGAATGGATTGTGCTTATTTGCTGTCATCTCGGCTGCGTCTCGTCTGCTGGGTGCACGTGCTCAGATGGTGGAGCTTGACGGGCGCACGTGCTCGGATGGTGGAGCTTGACGGGCGCACGTGCTCGGATGGTGGAGCTTGACGGGCGCACGTGCTCGGGTGGCGGATCTTGGGGGTCTTTTGCTGTCACCTTGGCTGCAGCCACCTGCTCTCGCTGGACCCTCATCCTGGGCAGCGTCTGGCGTTCTGTTTCCACTCTGAATTTCCCTCTGTAACATTGAAATCGGTACCTCTTTCCTTTTTCTTCCCTCGAAAAGGGAGCTTCTTAGGATAATGTGTTTCACTCTGAAATAGCAAAAGGTAAGAATAGGCAAATAAATAATGATCCCAGCCATCTGAGCAAGCATTAAGGAGGATTTCTGAAAGCACATCCTGGTGTGGCTGCATCCCTGACCACGTCCGGCTGTGCTCGAGTGCGCCTGTCACACACAGCTTTGGAAGGCACCTATCACACATCTCCCATCTGCTTTTCTTCTCAGAGTGCAGGCGTGAATTTGCAGCCAGAGAAACCAGGAGCACCCGTGTTCCCATATGAGGTTCTTCATAAGCAGAGAGGGGTGACGGCTGTGTTAGGGCCTGGACAGGGGAGGGTCAGGAGTGGGGTCAGCTGAATAGGGGGCCTTGGGACCCCTTAACCAAAATTCTCTCCACACAGCCGTCCTCCTCTTTTTCAGTCTGTGGTTACTTAGAATTACTTTCACCTCAGTCAGGTGATGTGGCTCCTCCTGAAAGCAGAGGCAGCAGCCCTGGGCACGGGGAGGCTAGCCAGAGGCTGCAGGGTGGCCCTTGTTGGGTGGACAGGGCCTTGCCCACACCCGTGCCCTCGGCCGGCTGTGGATCTCCAGCCCTGCCCTTCTCTCCCTGGTGCCTCCTCCTGCTTTTGTGACAGTTTGCGGGGGCCTTGAATTGGGACACGCCTGTGAGCTGGGGCTGCGGCACCTCCTGCGTCCCCAGCTCCAGCTCAGCTCACGTGGTGCCTGGTACTCCGTGCAGTGCAGCTTACAGGGTGGTTAACCTGGCCCAGGTAAGGAGGCCCCGAGGCCACAGTCGCCACAGCGGCCACCAGGGGCCATTTGTGCCTCCCCAGAGCCCTTTTGTGCCAGGGAGCGTGGGGTCCTTGGTTTCAGAAGATGAACGCAGGCCATGTTCCAGGCCCCATCCGCACACCCGAGACAGGCAGCCCGTGATTGTCATTGACGCAGTACAAGTTCCAAGCATAATTTCAGAAGAGTGCATGGATGAGAGCTGAGGGGCAAGCCCACCTCCCGTCCCGGCCCTGCCCCGCCCACCCTGTCACCTGCCAGAGTGACACTTTCTGTCAGCCACTGCATTTCCCATCGGCCCATGGCTGTGCCCTCCTGCCTGCCACAGGCCTGAGACCCCCACTCCCAGCTAGACGGGGTTGGGGGAAAGGCCAAAACTTGGTGCAGGCACAGGAGTGCCAAGGCCTTTGTGCTAGGTGGCCCTGTGTGCAGAGGACGGGGCTGGGGTCGGCCTGGCTGGACTGAGCCCAGGTGGGGGGCGGGGGCGGGGGTGGGGGCAGGGCTCGGGGAGCTTTGGGCGAGATTGGAGCTGGGTCTGGAAGGGCGGAGGAGCCTGGGAAGTGGGGAGGAGCCTGGCGAACCGTTTCTGCAGGTGCTGGTGCTGTTCCTGCCCTGGGAGGCCCCTCTAAGGTGCTGGGAGGCCTGGGTTGTTGCTGGTGTCTGCAGCAGTTCTGAGGAGCAAGAACCTTCCCTGGGTCCCAGGACTCTCTCTCCTCTGCCTCAGCGTCCGGGTCCCCGGATCCAGCTGCATCCCTGGCGATCCCCTTCCCTCATCCTTGCCTTGAGGCCCAGGGCCCCGTGAGTACCAGACGCTGTTATCAGGGGCCTGAGCTGCAGGGAGGAGCTGCAGTCTATTAAGATTTAAAGAGATTTGATGTAACAAGACAAGCACGAGAAGGAATTTAATTTAGAGATAAAAAAGTAATCAAATCTCAACCTGTGGACAGAGGACAGTGCCTGGATGCCGATTGTTTTCATACAGCAACATGCAGCGCGCGTTAAGAGGCAATTAACGTGGCTGCTGGGTTTCAGAACCGCAGGGCGGAGCCCTCTCCGAGCCCTGAGCTGTGGCCACCTGGACACATGCAGAACTCGAAAATGATTTTCCCGCAGAAGCTGAGGGCGTGGGCTCAGCTCGGGGTGAGGGAGTGTCTCCTCATGGTCCTTTCCGTGAACTCAGATCTGCAGAAGCCTCGTTGCAGCCGTCGTGGGGCATCGACGCCGATGCCTCTGACCCGCTCGCAGTTCTGGAAAACGACTCTGTGGCTTTTTTCCAATGTTCTCTTGCATGCACCGACGCTTCCTTCCTGCCTTTGGTGTCTTCTCAGGAGCAGCTGTGGCCTGTCCTCCTGCACCCTTCCCAGTGGGGATGGGCCTGTGGGGGATGGATTTTAGGGGATGGACTTGTGGGGTCTGTAGGGTTGGGTCTGCATGGGATGGGTCTGTGGGGGATGGGCCTGTTGGGGATGGAGTTGTGGGGGATGGTTAGGGGATGGTCTGCAGGGTTGGGTCTGTAGGGTTGGATCTGTGGGGGTTTGTGCCACCCCTGCCCTGCATCTCGGCCTCTGTGTTTGTCCCCATCTAGTTCTTGTTCTGCTGGCCACACTGTGCATCTCACCTCACACAGAGGCCTCCAGCATTGTTTCTCTGCCGGGGAACCTGCAGCAGCCTCCTCTGCACTGGAAGTTGTGCAGGATTTGCAGGTCCATCCCTCAGCCTCCAGCCCTGATGCCGCCCCTGCCCCAGGGCCTTTGCACCTGCTCCTCCTTCTGCCCAGAACTCTTGCCCACAGCTGCTTCTTTATCCTCAAATGTGTTTCCTGCAGCAGCTGTCCTAGAACAGCACACACGGGGCCATTGGAATCCACAGAACCTTGCCTTCCCTCTATTCCGGAGGCCTGAGGGCTGAGGCCGAGGAGTGCTGGCTACGCTCTTGGAGGCGCTGAGCGAGAGTCCCCCCACTCCAGGCCTCTCTGCCTCTGACGCCGCCTGTGGCTCTGAGCCTGTGGTGGGACCTCCAGCCTCGGCTGCTGCCTACCATGGCCTCCCTCTCTGAGCTCACATCTCCCTCCCCTCTCTCTGAGCCCGCATCTCCCTCCCCTCTCTCTGAGCCCACATCTCCCTCTCTCTCTGAGCCCGCATCTCCCTCCCCTCTCTCTGAGCCCGCATCTCCCTCCCCTCTCTCTGAGCCCGCATCTCCATCCTCTCTTTCTGAGATCACATCTCCCTCCCCTCTCTGAGCCCCCATCTCCCTCCCGTCTCTCTGAGCCCGCATCTCCATCCTCTCTTTCTGAGCTCACATCTCCCTCCCCTCTCTCTGAGCCTGCATCTCCCTCCCCTCTCTGAGCCTGCATCTCCCTCCCCTCTCTCTGAGCCCGCATCTCCATCCTCTCTTTCTGAGCTCACATCTCGCTCCCCTCTCTGAGCCCCCATCTCCCTCCCCTCTCTCTGAGCCCGCATCTCCCTCCCCTCTCTCTGAGCTCGAATCTCCCTCCCCTCTCTCTGAGCCTGCATCTCCCTCCCCTCTCACTGAGCCCGCATCTCCCTTCCCTCTCTCTGAGCCCGCATCTCTCTCCCCTCTCTGAGCCCGCATCTCCCTCCCCTCTCTGAGCCCGCATCTCCCTCCCCTCTCTGAGCCCGCATCTCCCTCCCCTCTCTCTGAGCCCGCATCTCCCTCCCCTCTCTCTGAGCCCGCATCTCCCTCCCCTCTCTCTGAGCCCGCATCTCCCTCCCCTCTCTCTGAGCCCGCATCTCCCTCCCCTCTCTCTGAGCCCGCATCTCCCTCCCCTCTCTGAGCCCGCATCTCCCTCCCCTCTCTATGAGCCCGCATCTCCCTCCCCTCTCTGAGCCCGCATCTCCCTCCCCTCTCTCTGAGCCCGCATCTCCCTCCCCTTTCTCTCTTATGTATAGGATGCTTGTCATTGGATGTAGGATCCCTCTAAATCCGGGATGGTGTCATCTCTGGATCCCTAACCCAGTACATCTGCAATGACATCGATTTCCAAACAAGGCCCCATTGCAGGCCCTGGGGCGTGGGCGTGGGCGTGGTCAGTGGTTCTGGGGGCCTCCCTTCCGCCCACTCGCCCCACTCCTCATTCGGGGGAAGTGCAGTGGCCCGGACCGTCCCCGCCACCCACTCAAGCGACGCCTCCTCCTTTGCTACTCGTTTTCCTTTATGGAGCTCATTTCTTTCTGACATTAACACACCTCACCCACTGCCAGGTCAACTGGAGGGCAGGGACGCGGCGTATTTATCCTGAGCTGTGCCCTCGGTCCACATGCCTTCTGTCCACGGTGCCGTCTCAGGAAGCCTGTTGAGTGGGCAAGCGAGTTTCCCTGAGCTGAGAGTTTGCACATGGGCGGTGCGTGGGCCAGAGCCCTCTCCCCATCCCAGGAGGACGTGCTGGTTCCAGACCCCAGCTGTGACGGCCTCTCCACAGGGATTTTCACCCCGGATCACGGCCACCCCCTTCCCTAGGACCTGGCCTGTGCTTTTCTCCCGCTCTGAGAGGGCCTGGCGAGCCCCTTGCCCCATGAGGGGTGGGAGGTGCGAGCGTCTTGTGGCAGAATTTCTAGGCCCTATGTCCTGGCGACTAACCACGTCCTTCGAGATCATTCCGAGACATTGGTGTGTGCTGGGGTGCGGGTGGCTGAGAAGGGAGGGCCGTGGGGAACCTCTTCGTCTTCCTTGCCCTCAGAAACACAATCTCCCGTCCAGAGCGAGCAGCTCCTGGTGGCTGGGCAGTGCCTGTCTCTGGCGTTCTAGCCCAGGAGGGGGGCCCCTGTGCGGCAGGCCAGGCTCCCTGACCCAGACCCCTGTCTTCCCCACGCCCTCCCCTGCAGTGCAGGGCTCCACACAGGCGACTCTCTCTCCTCGCACTGAGGCACTGAGGCGCCGAGGCCGGAGGGAGGGTGACAGCCTAGGCCCGAAGGGAGCCAGTTGCCCGAGGAGGGAAAAGCTGCTGAGGTTTTGGGGTGACGGGCGGGGGTACAGGGCGTGAGGCCGGCTCAGAGCCCTGGGGCACAGGGGCCCCTGCTGTGGATTAATTTGCTGCAGCCCCGGGTGGGGTGACCGGTGGACATCTGCGGCATCGTGGGAACTGTGAGGAGGAAGGGAGGGCAGAGGTGGAGGAGGGACACGATCTCATCGACAGGGCGGCTGCGGCTCCGAGGCCGGGGCTCCAGGAATCCAGGCTTGCTCTGGGGTCTTTGATCTCTGCGTTCTGGGGGCGGCAGGAGCCTCGCTCACATCCCCAACACCCCCTTAGCTCCAATCCCTGCCCGTGTGCCTCTAGCCCCAATTCAGGGATTGCACTGCAGTGGCTGAAATCTTGAGTTTGCCCACCAGGAGGAACCCCCTGGCCCGGGGCCAACGGCTGACCCCTTCTTGGCCTTTGTTCTCCTTGTGGGACATTTGTGACCTCAGTGGCTGGTTCAATGCCACCTGGGCCGTCCAGGCACGCGGATGTTCCCGGAGCCCTGGGAATCACTTTGCACCTGAAGGACAGCCAGGACAGAGGGGCCCTCTCCTGAGGGCGGTGAGGCCGCCTTGCTGTGTTGGATCCATGGACTGTGATGAAATTCATCAGATGAGAAACAGACAAAGGAAAATACAGTATGAAAGGTGGAGCCGCGTTCCTCTCCTTTAAAAAGATTTTTAAAAACTGAACAGTGTGGAAATGTTCCTTTGGTCATGACCCAGCATTAAAAATGCGTAAAATCCTGCAGGCTCGCTTCCAGCCTCTCTGTGTTTTCCCTGTTTAAGGTACCTGATTGTTTCTGTAAAAATAACACATGCTCATTACAAAGAATTTAATCCATGCAGAAATGTGCCAAGAAAAGATGCCTTCGCCCAGGAAAAGCTGGCACTGGCCTCCGGTGACTGTGACTCCAGGTGAGTAACGGAGAAGCAGAAACACTCTTCGAATGTGAACACGCTGCAGGTGCTATTTTCAGTCAGAGTTATGTTTCATTCACTTGAGCTTCAGATGAGAAAACTCAAGGAGTTTTGAATTGCAAATGCGTAGTTCTCTGTCAACTTATTTCTGAGAGCACTCTCTAAGGCTGTTGTAAAAAGTTTACAAAGCGTTGCAAGCTGCGAGTCATCTTTTAAGGATATATGACACTTTTAGACATGGCTGTAAAACGTGAAGAATTCGTGTGTTGATTCTTCCGCCTGTCTCTTTTCCTCCCACGTTCTGACGGTTGTTGGTTAAATCCTTCCTTTTAGAATGTCTTGCTTTGCAACGTGGGTTTGCACTCTGTGACGATAATTCCTACGCCACTGGGTATGGGCCGTCTTTCCACCACCCGGTGCTCCCAGTAAACACAGTGGCCGCCACTTCTCTATTCCTGAAGTCGGAATCCACTCTGGATTGCTTTGCCGGCTGGAATCTGTGTTTTCAGGAAGGGCTCTTGTGCGCTGACGTTCCTTCGTGCTGGAGGGTGAGCACCTCTGCCTGTGCACCAGGTGCTGCCTTAGCTGAGTATGTCTTCTGTCTTCTGTGTACCAGGTGCTGCCTTAGCTGAGTATGTCTTCTGTCTTCTGTGTACCAGGTGCTGCCTTAGCTGAGTATGTCTTCTGTCTTCTGTGTATCGGGTGCTACCTTAGCTGAGTATGTCTTCTGTCTTCTGTGTACCAGGTGCTGCCTTAGCTGAGTATGTCTTCTGTCTTCTGTGTATCGGATGCAGCCTTAGCTCAGTATGTATTCTGTCTTCTGTGTACCAAGTGCAGCCTTAGCTGAGTATGTCTTCTGTCTTCTGTGTACCAGGTGCTGCCTTAGCTGAGTATGTCTTCTGTCTTCTGGGTAGCAGGTGCTGCCTTAGCTGAGTATGTCTTCTGTGTATCGGGTGCAGCCTTAGCTAAGTATGTCTTCTGTCTTCTGTGTACCGGGTGCTGCCTTAGCTGAGTATGTCTTCTGTCTTCTGTGTATCGGGTGCTGCCTTAGCTGAGTATGTCTTCTGTCTTCTGTGTATCGGGTGCTGCCTTAGCTGAGTATGTCTTCTGTCTTCTGCGTATCGGATGCAGCCTTAGCTGAGTATGTCTTCTGTCTCATGTGTACCAGGTGCTGCCTTAGCTGAGTATGTCTTCTGTCTTCTGTGTACCGGGTGCTGCCTTAGCTGAGTATGTCTTCTGTCTTCTGTGTATCAGGTGCTGCCTTAGCTGAGTATGTCTTCTGTCTTCTGTGTATCGGATGCAGCCCTAGCTCAGTATGTATTCTGTCTTCTGTGTACCAAGTGCAGCCTTAGCTGAGTATGTCTTCTGTCTTCTGTGTACCAGGTGCTGCCTTAGCTGAGTATGTCTTCTGTCTTCTGGGTAGCAGGTGCTGCCTTAGCTGAGTATGTCTTCTGTGTATCGGGTGCAGCCTTAGCTGAGTATGTCTTCTGTCTTCTGTGTATCAGGTGCTGCCTTAGCTGACTATGTCTTCTGTCTTCTGTGTATCAGGTGCTGCCTTAGCTGAGTATGTCTTCTGTCTTCTGTGTATCAGGTGCTGCCTTAGCTGAGTATGTCTTCTGTCTTCTGTGTATCGGATGCAGCCCTAGCTCAGTATGTATTCTGTCTTCTGTGTACCAAGTGCAGCCTTAGCTGAGTATGTCTTCTGTCTTCTGTGTACCAGGTGCTGCCTTAGCTGAGTATGTCTTCTGTCTTCTGTGTATCAGGTGCTGCCTTAGCTGAGTATGTCTTCTGTGTATCGGGTGCAGCCTTAGCTGAGTATGTCTTCTGTCTGCTGTGTATCGGGTGCAGCCTTACCTGAGTATGTCTTCTGTCTTCTGCGTATCAGGTGCAGCCTCAGCTGAATATGTCTTCTGTCTTCTGTGTATCGGGTGCTGCCTTGCCTGAGTATGTCTTCTGTCTTCTGTGTATCAGGTGCTGCCTTAGCTGAGTACGTCTTCTGTCTTCTGTGTATCGGGTGCTGCCTTAGCTGAGTATGTCTTCTGTCTCATGTGTACCAGGTGCTGCCTTAGCTGAGTATGTCTTCTGTCTTCTGTGTACCGGGTGCTGCCTTAGCTGAGTATGTCTTCTGTCTCATGTGTACCAGGTGCTGCCTTAGCTAAGTATGTCTTCTGTCTTCTGTGTACCGGGTGCTGCCTTAGCTGAGTATGTCTTCTGTCTTCTGTGTATCGGGTGCTGCCTTAGCTGAGTATGTCTTCTGTCTTCTGTGTATCGGGTGCTGCCTTAGCTGAGTATGTCTTCTGTCTTCTGCGTATCGGATGCAGCCTTAGCTGAGTATGTCTTCTGTCTCATGTGTACCAGGTGCTGCCTTAGCTGAGTATGTCTTCTGTCTTCTGTGTACCGGGTGCTGCCTTAGCTGAGTATGTCTTCTGTCTTCTGTGTATCAGGTACTGCCTTAGCTGAGTATGTCTTCTGTCTTCTGTGTACCAGGTGCTGCCTTAGCTGAGTATGTCTTCTGTCTTCTGTGTACCAGGTGCTGCCTTAGCTGAGTATGTCTTCTGTCTGCTGTGTATGGGGTGCAGGCTTAGCTGAGTATGTCTTCTGTCTTCTGTGTATCGGGTGCAGCCTTAGCTGAGTATCTCTTCTGTCTTCTGTGCACCAGGTGCTGCCTCAGCTGAGTATGTCTTCTGTCTTCTGTGTATCGGGTGCAGCCTTAGCTGAGTATCTCTTCTGTCTTCTGTGCACCAGGTGCTGCCTCAGCTGAGTATGTCTTCTTTCTTCTGTGTATCGGGTGCTGCCTTAGCTGAGTATCTCTTCTGTCTTCTGTGTATCGGGTGCTGCGTTAGCTGAGTACGTCTTCTTTCTTCTGTGTATCGGGTGCAGCCTTAGCTGAGTATGTCTTCTGTCTTCTGTGTATCAGGTGCAGCCTTAGGTGAGTATCTCTTCTGTCTTCTGTGTACCGGGTGCTGCCTTAGCTGAGTAGGTCTTCTGTCCTCTGTGTATCGGGTGCAGCCTTAGCTGAGTATGTCTTCTGTCTACTGTATATTGGGTGCTGCCTTAGCTGAGTATGTCTTCTGTCTTCTCTGTATCGGGTGCAGCCTTAGCTGAGTATGTCTTCTGTCTTCTGTGTACTGGGTGCTGCCTTAGCTGAGTATGTCTTCTGTCTTCTGTGTATCGGGTGCTGCCTTAGCTGAGTATGTCTTCTGTCTTCTGTGTACCGGGTACTGCCTTAGCTGAGTATGTCTTCTTTGTTCTGTGTACCAGGTGCTGCCTTAGCTAAGTATGTCTTCTGTCTGCTGTGTACCAGGTGCTGTCTTAGCTGAGTATGTCTTCTGTCTTCTGTGTATCGGGTGCTGCCTTAGCTGAGTATGTCTTCTGTCTTCTGTGTATCGGGTGCTGCCTTAGCTGAGTATGTCTTCTGTCTTCTGTGTAGCAGGTGCTGCCTTAGCTGAGTATGTCTTCTGTCTTCTGTGTATCGGGTGCTGCCTTAGCTGAGTATGTCTTCTGTCTTCTGTGTACCGGGTGCTGCCTCAGCTGAGTATGTCTTCTGTCTTCTGTGCACCAGGTGCAGCCGTAGCTGAGTACGTCTTCTGTCTCCTGTGTACCGGGTGCAGCCTTAGCTGAGTATGTCTTCTGTCTTCTGTACACCAGGTGCAGCCGTAGCTGAGTACGTCTTCTGTGTCCTTTGTACTGGGTGCTGCCTTAGCTGAGTATGGCTTCTGTCTGCTGTGTGCCAGGTGCAGTCTTAGTTGCGTATGTCTTCTGTCTTCTGTGTATCGGGTGCTGCCTTAGCTGACTATGTGTTCTGTCTTCTGTGTATCGGGTGGTGCCTTAGCTGAGTATCTCTTCTCTCTTCTGTGTACCGGGTGCTGCCTTAGCTGAGTATGTCTTCTGTCTTCTGTGTATCGGGTGCAGCCTTAGCTCGTATCTCTTCTGTCTTCTGTGTACCAGGTGCTGCCTTAGCTGAGTATGTCTTCTGTCTTCTGTGTACCAGGTGCTGCCTTAGCTGAGTATGTCTTCTGTCTTCTGTGTATCGGGTGCAGCCTTAGCTGAGTATCTCTTCTGTCTTCTGTGCACCAGGTGCTGCCTCAGCTGAGTATGTCTTCTGTCTTCTGTGTATTGGGTGCTGCCTTAGCTGAGTACGTCTTCTTTCTTCTGTGTATCGGGTGCTGCCTTAGCTGAGTATGTCTTCTGTCTTCTGTGTATCAGGTGCAGCCTTAGGTGAGTATGTCTTCTGTCTTCTGTGTCCCAGGTGCAGCCTTAGCTGAGTATGTCTTCTTTCTTCTGTGTATCGGGTGCTGCCTTAGCTGAGTATGTCTTCTGTCTTCTGTGTACCAGGTGCAGCCTTACCTAAGTATGTCTTCTGTCTTCTGTGTATCCGGTGCAGCCTTAGCTGAGTACGTCTTCTTTCTTCTGTGTATCGGGTGCTGCCTTAGCTGAGTATGTCTTCTGTCTTCTGTGTACCAGGTGCTACCTTAGCTGAGTATCTCTTCTGTCTTCTGTGTAGCAGGTGCTGCCTCAGCTGAGTATGTCTTCTTTCTTCTGTGTATTGGGTGCTGCCTTAGCTGGTATCTCTTCTGTCTTCTTTGCACCAGGTTCTGTCTTAGCTGAGTATGTGTTCTGTCTTGTGTGTATTGGGTGCTGCCTTAGCTGAGTATGTTTTCTGTCTCCTGTGTGCCGGGTGCAGCCTTAGCTGGGTATGTCTTCTGTGGCCCTGCAGCTGTTCCCTCCATACCCAACAGCGGTTTTCATGTGTCTTTTGGCTCCAAAGATTGATGGGAACATCTGAGGCCAGCGTGGCTCATTTTTTCTTGTTAATGTTTTCCTTTTTGTTGCATAAAGAGTTTTCTTTACCTTCAGGGTTCAGGGGCTGAACTAACATCCATTCAGGGTTGGGTGTTTTCTTTCAACATGTTCTGGAAAACAATACCCTCTTCAGATCTGGTAGTCCAATGTGTTTATTATTATTATTATTTTAGAGAAATTTGTCTTTGGATACACTAAATCTTCCACTTTCTGGCTGTTGACTTCAGGGAAACCCATTTTCCTTACATTGATTAGCTTCTCTCTCAGTCGTCTTTTTCATCTACATTTACTCTGCTTATTTCAAGCTTTTCTCCTTTGGCAATATTTGATTTTCAGTGGCAGATAATACATATAGAAATGATAATAGAATTAGAAAAATATAACTTAGTAAATGCTGGTGACACTGTGGCTCCAGGCAATAATTATTAACTAGCATTAAAACAATTCCGGGAATGACGGACGCGGAGACACATCCACAGGGCGCCCGTGCAACGCCATGAAGATGATCTTCCGGATGTGGGCGTGGAGAGGCGGCTGGAAATGCAGGAGGCAGAGCGTGGTCCTCCCTTCCAGGCTGATCTCACCGTCGCTCACAGCGGCGCAGCCAGATGTCATTGGTGTGACGCAACTCCACATACACAACGCGACCTGTGGAGAGCGGACACGCCAGACTCTTCACATGATTTCAGAAAGCCTTTAACGTAACCTGCAGTTTCCAGATAATGCCAGAGGTGGACAAGCTAAGAACACCAGGCGGAGCAACCGGACCATCGAGGCACCTGCACAACAAGCGTCCTGGGTCCCCTCAGCAATCAATCCGAACTCTGCTCGGGGGCGTCCTGGGTCCCCTCAGCATTCCGGACTCTGCTCGGGGGCGTCCTGGGTCTCCTCAGCAAGCCGGACTCTGCTCGGGGGCGTCCTGGGTCCCCTCAGCAAGCGGACTCTGCTCGGGGGCGTCCTGGGTCCCCTCAGCAAGCTGGACTCTGCTCGGGGGTGTCCTGGGTCCCCTCAGCAAGCCGGACTCTGCTCGGGGGCGCGACAGCCCAGGGCCACGGGTGGCTCTCGATGGCTTCTGCTTTCAACAGACCTGCTGCCCGGGACAATTTTTAGGTCAATTCAGGTCTGGGTGTTAACTGAGTCAAAACAGAGTGAAATGGAACGAAGGGGACCACGGACTGATCTAAGCGGGCAGCAGCGAGAAGCATGTGCCAGGTGTCCATGCAGATGTGTGCCTGCGTGTGTGTTTGCATAAGGAAGAGGCTGAAGGGTCTGCACTGTGGAAACGTGGAATTTTTTTTTTTTTTTTTAGTCGGAGTCTTACTCTGTCTCCCAGGCTAGAGTGCAGTGGCATGATCTCAGCTCACTGCAGCCTCCACCTCCCGGGTTCAAGTGATTCTTCTGCCTCAGCCTCCTGAGCAGCTGGGACTACAGGCATGTGCCATCATGTATTTTTATTTTCTATTTATTTTTTTGAGACAGAGTTTCGCTCTTGCCCCCCAGGCTGGAGGGCAATGGTGCTATCTTGGCTCACTGCAACCTCCACCTCCCGGGTTGGAGTGATTCTTCTGCCTGAGCCTCCCGCGTAGCTGGGATTACAGGTGCACAACACCACATGCAGCTAATTTTTTTTTTTTTTAAGCAGAGATGGGGTTTCACCATGTTGGCCAGGCTGGTCTCAAACTCCTAACCTCAGGTGATCCACCCGCCTGGGCCTCCCAAAGTGCAGGGATAACAGGCATGAGCCACTGCGCCCGGCCCGCCATGTATTTTTAGTAGAGACGGGGTTTCATTATGTTGACCAGGCTGGTCTCAAACTCCTGACCACAAGTGTTTTCTCATTTTGCTTATATTTTCTAATATTCTACAATGCGTATCTATTACTCTATAATAAGAAAAGGGTTGTTTTACAAATAAAAGTAGGATACGGAATTCTTAAAACATTGATTTTTAATGGTGCTATTATATTTCTCAGCACTTTTAGGTTCTTTATTAGGACCTTAATGGTGTTATTTTGGTCCTTGATTTGTTTCCTAAGATCTGTAATCTCTCTCTTCATATGAATTCATTTTATTATTTTAAGTTCTTATTTTTATTGAACTGAGGTTATTATGAAATTGTTTTGCTATGAAAAAATTATAGAAAACTTCCTTTGGTCCTAGAACTAGGTTTCCTGTGTTTCTGTCTTCTGCCTGTATTTTGCATGTGTTCTCTGTCTCTCCCCGTCTCCATCTCTGCCCCCTCTCTCCCTCTCTCTCCCCCCTCTCTGTCCCTCTCTCTCTCCCTCTCCATCTCTCCCCCGTCTCTCTCCCTCTCCATCTCTCTGTCTCTCTCTCTCTCCCTCCCTATCTCTCCCTCTCTCTGTCTCTCTCTCCTTCTGTCTCTCTGTCTGTCCCTCTCTCTCTCCCTCTCTCTCTGTCTCCTTCTCTCCCTCTCTCTCCCCCCCTCTCTGTCCCTCTCTGTCTCCCTCTCTCTCTCCCTCTCCATCTCTCCCCCCTCCATCTCTCTCTCTTCCTCCCTATCTCTCCCTCTCTCTGTCTCTCTCTTCCTCTCTGTCTCTTTCTCTCTCCCCCTTCTCTCCCTCTCTCTCTGTCCCTCTCTCTGTGTCTCCTTCTTCTTTGTCTCTGTCTCTCTCGTCTCCTTCTCTCTTTGTCTCTGTGTCTCTCTCTGTCTCTCTGTTTTTTTTCTCTCTTTCTCCCCCTCTCTCTGTCTCTCTCTTCCTCTCTGGCTCTTTCTCTCTCCCCCCTTCTCTCCCTCTCTCTCCCCCCTCTCTGTCCCTCTCTCTCTCCCTCTCCATCTCTCCCCCGTCTCTCTCCCTCTCCATCTCTCTGTCTCTCTCTCTCTCCCTCCCTATCTCTCCCTCTCTCTGTCTCTCTCTCCTTCTGTCTCTCTGTCTGTCCCTCTCTCTCTCCCTCTCTCTGTCTCCTTCTCTCCCTCTCTCTCCCCCCCTCTCTGTCCCTCTCTGTCTCCCTCTCTCTCTCCCTCTCCATCTCTCCCCCCTCCATCTCTCTCTCTTCCTCCCTATCTCTCCCTCTCTCTGTCTCTCTCTTCCTCTCTGTCTCTTTCTCTCTCCCCCTTCTCTCCCTCTCTCTCTGTCCCTCTCTCTGTGTCTCCTTCTTCTTTGTCTCTGTCTCTCTCGTCTCCTTCTCTCTTTGTCTCTGTGTCTCTCTCTGTCTCTCTGTTTTTTTTCTCTCTTTCTCCCCCTCTCTCTGTCTCTCTCTTCCTCTCTGGCTCTTTCTCTCTCCCCCCTTCTCTCCCTCTCTCTGTGTCTGTCTCTCTCTCTCTCTCTCCCTGTCTCCCTCTCTCTCTGTCTCTGTCTCTCTCTCTCTCTCTCTCTCTGTTTCTCTCTCTCTGTCTCTGTCTCTCTCTCTCTCTCCCTCTCTCTCTGTCTCTCTCTGTCTGTCTCTCTCTTCCTCTTTGTCTCTTTCTCTCTCCCCCCTTCTCTCCCTCTCTCTCTGTCTCTCTCCCTCTCTGTCTCCCTCCCTCTCTCTCTGTCTACCTGTCTCTCTGTCTACCTCTCTCTCGGTCTCTCTCTCTCTCCCTCTCTCTCTGTCTCTCTCTCTCTCTCTCTGTCTCCCTCCCTCTCTCTCTGTCTCCCTCCCTCTCGTCTCCCTCCCTCTCTCTGTCTCCCTCCCTCTCTCTCTGTCTCTCTCTTCCTCTCTGTCTCTTTCTCTCTCCCCCTTCTCTCCCTCTCTCTCTGTCTCTCTGTATCTCTCTCTGTCTCTCTCTCTCTCTCTCTCTGTCTCCCTTCCTCTCTCTCTGTCTCCCTTCCTCTCTGTCTCCCTCCCTCTCTCTCTGTCTCCCTCTCTCTCCGTCTCCCTTCCTCTCTCTCTGTCTCCCTCCCTCTCTCTCTGTCTTCCTCTCTCTCGGTCTCCCTCTCTCTCAGTCTCTCTCTCTCTGTCTCCCTCCCTCTCTCTCTGTCTACCTGTCTCTCGGTCTCCCTCTCTCTCGGTCTCTCTCTTTGTCTCTCTCCATCTCTCTTTCCTCACTCCCCCTGTAGTGTCCAGGTGATCTTGACCTTGGCATTTGGAGTGTAATTTTCCAGATACCCCCTTTGCTCTGGTGTCATGTGGGTGGCTCTGGACTCCTCCCTCCGGGTGTCTGCCACAGACTGGTCGCCTCTTCCGGCCTCAGGTGGGGACTCCTGTGGGCGTGGGGTGGTGGGGAACCACCATGTGCACCCTTTGCGTATTGGTGTAGCAGACCTTGCCTGCCACACAGCGACTCCCCTCTACCTCGCTTCTTACCAAACCTTGCTTCTGTTCAGGGCAGCCGTGTGCCCAGCTGGAAATGTCCCTTGCAGTTAGATGTGGCCACGGGACGGATTCTGGTCTATGGGGATTTAAAGGGACGTTTCTCCTCAGATGCTCTCCCTCTCCCTGCCCCCTGTCCCCCTTTCTTCCTGTTGGCACCTTGATGGCTGGGGCTGCGTCCTGCAACATGAGGAAGAGACCAGCGGCATCGTCTTGCAGAGAACTCAGCTGTGATGGCCTTGAGCCATGCAGGGTTCCCCGTGGTCTTCTTGCTGTGAGTAGAGATCCTCTGGGGACTGTGACAAAACACACAAGACGCTGGTAAGATTCAGGCTCAGCAGCTCTGGAGGGGCCTGGGGCTCTGCATTCCCGAGGGCCTCTTGAGTGATGCAGACACAGCTGGTCGGGGCCACACTCTGAGGAGCAGGTGTTCAGCCGCCATTCCATCAGGTTTCAGCTACGCGCAGCCGGGTGTGATCCTGCCCGGGGCGGCTATTTCATCAGGTTTCAGCTACACGCAGCTGGGTATGGCCCCTGCCCGGGGCGCTGGGCTCTGGGTCTCCCACAACAGTGTGAATTCCCTGCAGGTTTTATTTCTCGAAATCGGAGGGGTGTCCCTCACTCCTTGGGGAGGCCCCAGGTCTGGGGCTCTGTGCAGAGTCCTGGAGCCTTTGCCGCTGCCAGACAGAGCCAACCACAGCATCCGCATCCCCCAGGCTCTCCCCTGTCCTGGCCGTTTCCTAAGCCTCAGGCAGGCAGAGCTGGGGGGATGAAGCTCTCCAGGGTTTGCTTCTCTGAGCCTGGGAACATTAATGAGAGTGCTGGGGTTTGACTCACTCAACAGTCTTTAAAAATAATGTATTTTCGTATCACAATGACAATGAGAATCCAGAGGGCACTGCTCTGGGGTGCTGTAGTGAATAATCATGGTCGATTTGCCTAGCGAGATTCATCCACATCACTCAGTTTCTCCCAAGCATGTTTTCCTGGAGGCTGAGCCCGTGCTGTCAGGAAGGGCCCTCTCTTTGCCGTGCAGAATTCACAAGCAGGGCTGGAGATAGGAGCAGGGGCCTGGACCTGAGTCCTTCATGATGGGGTGAGGTGAGTGCACCCTATGGGCCAGGCTGGGTGGGTGGGGGGAGGGCAGGCGTTGGCCTCACCCTCAGGACAGGGCCCTCCACCAGGGAGGGAGGGAGCAGTGCCAGGGCCGCGGCTCGGCCCCCTCAGGTGAGGAGTAAATCACGTATAGCAAATCGCCTGCATTCCATCGGTTGCTCTGTCCCCCAGGCCATCCCCATGGCACCTCTGCTGTTTGTTCTGCCGGCCAGGGTCCACTGAGCACCTGCCATGCCACACCCTGGGCCAGGAGGTCCAACCTGGCGGAATGCAATGGTCAAGGTCTCTGTCCACCTGCGGCCTCCATCCTGGGCTGATGCACTGGGGAATCATTTATTGTCCCAAACTGTGACAGCTGTGGGAAGGAAAGTGTCAGAGTGTGTCAAAGGCTGTGACTCAGGCTGCGGTGCTCTTGGGGGCTTCTCTGGAGGGGACGACTGTCCTGGGTGCAGGTGTGGCTGGAGAGGAGGGAGGTGAGGCCGCCTGGGCCAGTGGCGCTGCCCGCTGAGCTGTGAGGAGGGCGGGCCTCGGTCAGTAGTGGCCACTGGGTCCCAGCCCAGGCGCTGAGGGAGGGGTTGCTTCGTCCCCCTGGCTCTCACCCACCTGTCTCCCACCCCCGTGATGTGACTCAGCTGCTCACCCTACTAGAGTCTCTTTCCCGTTCCTTTGTTCTGTGTCTGGCCGTGGGATGGGACACGGGCGGAGGCTGGGAAGGCACCTGCTGGCTCTTCCTGTCACCCTCTCCGAGCGGTGTCTAGGCTCCCCGGTGGAGAATGAGACACACTCGAGGGATGGGACAGAGCTGCCTGATGGCAGCCGAGAGCCAAGCAGCCCTAGACGAGTGAGTGAGTCCCGAGTGACCCCGGCGAGGACAGAAGAGCCACCTGCTGAGCCCAGCCTGACCCCTGACCTGCGGCTTGTGAGCTAAATACATACTCGGGTTGAAACCAGAGTTTCCGGGTGATTTGTTTCTAAGCATTATTGCTACAAAGGCAAACTGATGCAGTGAGGAAGTGTGAAAGGAGGCTGGAGGGGGTGGGGCAGACTCTGCAGGGCCTGGGCCACACGCAGTGAGAGGTCTGGGGCACTGAGCAGTTGGGGCTGGGGTGACGGGTCAGCTGTGACTTCCCTGCGCACTTGGCACTCTGCAGAGGGCTCTGAGAATCTCTTTTGCCACGAGGAAGAGCCTCAGGGGAGCTCGCTGGGCAGGGGGTGGTCTGGGCTATGCATAAGCGGGATTGACGCCAGGCTGGGCTGGCGGGGGCGGGGGGCCCCCCAGGACTCAGGCCTCAGGGGCTGGAGGGGATGCTCAGGGCTTCCTCCACCCGCAGGATAACAGCAGAGGGAGCCTCTAACCTCCCTCTTCCGCTGGCGTTGGGAAACAGCCATGGGGCTCACGGGGCCTCCTCGGAGGACCTATGCCGCCTCTCCATCACTCAGCTCCCTCAGCGCGGGGAGGAAATGACCGCTCAGTTCTATTATCTCCAAAGCTGAAGGATGATCTCAAGTTTTATCGGCGAGGAAACTCATTTGATTTTAAATGATTTTCGGCCTGGAAGTTAGTAGATTTTAGGAGGCTCTTAAATAAATTGCCTAGAAATAAAGATGAGCTGCTGGTTTATGGTGAAACTTAATCTGTCCTGACTGGAACATTTGCAGAGATTTGGCTCAAGGACGCTGGACCTGGCTGGGCAGAGCAGAGAGACGGGGGTGTCCTCGGTGTTAAAAATGGGGTTGTGCGCAAATGTGCCACATCTGTGACATGTTTATTGTTCTTTGTGCTTTCGCATGTAGAAAAATAAAGCAAACTTTTTCTGATTATGTCAGTAATTGATGTTTATTGTAGATAACTTGTAAAATAAACTGAAGCATAAAAAAGAAAATAAGTGTTGTCTCTAAAGCTGTAGCTCCATGAAAATCACACTTTACATTTCGGTTACGCATTCCACATAACTCGCCTCGATTTTACAAAACCGAGCACATACTGGGCATGAGTTTGTAACATTTTAAAAACGTAATAGATTCTGTATACATTATACTTTTTATAACATGATTTAAATGCCGGAGGGGTAGCCATTGTTTAAACACACCGCATTTATCCAGCCAGTCTCCTCCTGCTGGATGTGGAGCTCTTCCCTCGCTGTTTCAGGGTACGAGTCAACCTAGGCTGGGGGTCGCTGCAGGGAAAAGCTACTGCCAAACCTCAGTGGCTGTGATGGTTAATTTTGGGTATCAACTTGCCTGGGTTAAGGGATACCTCGAACGCTGGTGAAGCATTCTTACTGCATGTGTCTGCGTGATGCCTGAGTTGGTGGACAGAGTGGAGAAGCTCCACCCTCGCCCATCCAGTGGAGAAGCTCCACCCTCGCCCATCCAGTGGAGAAGCTCCACCCTCGCCCATCCAGTGGAGAAGCTCCACCCTCGCCCATCCAGTGGAGAAGCTCCACCCTCGCCCATCCAGTGGAGAAGCTCCACCCTAGCCCATCCAGTCGGCTGGGGGCCCAGATAGAACGAAAAGGTGGAGGAAAGGTGAATTCCCTCTCTCTCTCTCTCTCTCTCTCTCTCTCTCTCCTCCTCTCCCTGCCTCCTCCTTCCTGTCTCTCTTTCTCGCCCTCTCTTTCTCTCTCTCTCACCCTCTCTTTCTCTCTCTCTCTCCTGGAGCAGGAATGCCCTTCTTATTTTATTTTTTATTTTTAGAGACAGAGTCTTGCTCTGTCGCCCAGGCTGGAGTGTGGTGGTGCGATCTCAGCTCACTGCAAGCTCCGCCTCCCGGGTTCACGCCATTCTCCTGCCTCAGCCTCCTGAGTAGCTGGGACTACAGGCACCCGCCACCACGCCCCGCTGATTTTTGTATTTTTAGTACAGACGGGGTTTCACTGTGTTAGCCAGGGTGGTCTCAATCTCCTGACCTCATGATCTGCCTGTCTCGGCCTCCCGAAGTGCTGGGATTACAGGCGTGAGCCACCGTGCTCAGCCAGGAATGCCCTTCTTCTCCTGCCCTTGGAGACCAGAACTCCAGGTTCCCTGGCCTTTGGCCCCCAGGGCTTGGCCAGCATCCGCCACCCCTTGTTCTCACGCCTTCAGCCTTGGACTCAGAGTCACACCATTACCTTCCCCGGTTCCGAGGACTTCAGACTTGGACTGAGACATGATACCAGCTTCCTTGTTTCTCCAGCGTGCAGACAGCCTGTGGGACTTCTCAGTCTCTATAATCATGTAAAAGAAATTGAAGACGATACAAACAAATGGAAAGACATCCCATGCTCATGGGTCAGAATTAATATTGTTAAAATGGCCATACTACCCAAAGCAGTCTACAGATTCAATGCAATTCCTATCAAAATACCCATGACATTATTCACAGAAATAGAAAAAAAAATCTTAACATTAAAAAGATCTTAATAATCTTAATATTAACATTCTTAACCACAAAGGACACAGAATAGCCCAAGCAATTCCCAGCAAAAAGAACAAAGCTGGTACAAAAATTAGTTGGATGTGGTGGCACACACCTGCAATTCTAGCTGCTCAGGAAGCTGAGGCAGGAGAATCACTTGAACCTAAGAGGCAGAGGTTGCAGTGAGCTGAGATTGTGCCACTGCACTCCAGCCTGGGCCACAGAGTGAAACTCCATCTAAAAAGAAAAAAAAAAAAAGCCTGCTGGAGGAATCACATAACCAGACCTCAGAATATATGACAAAGCTGTGGTAACCAAAACAGCATGGTACTGGCGTTAAAAAAACAGATACATAGACCAATGCAACAGAGTAGATAACCTAGAAATTAATCCCTCTATCTAGCACTAACTGATTTTTAACAAAGGTGCTAAGAGCACCCATTGGGGGAAAGGACAGCCTCTTCAATAAAAGGTGCTGGAAAACCTGGATATCCATGTGCAGAAGAATGAAGCTAGACCCCCACCTCTCACCCTACACAAAAATCAACTCAAAACGGATAAAAAACATAAGTAGAAGACCCAAAAGTACGAAACAAAGGGGGAATGCCTTAGGACATTGGCCCGGAAAATATTTTATCAGTAAGATCACAAAAGCACAGGCAACACAAGCAAAAATAAACACATGGAGTTTATGTCAAACTAAAAAGCTTCTGCACAGCGAGGGAGTTTGTGTCAAACTAAAAAGCTTCTGCACAGTGAGGGAAACAATCAAGAGAGTGAAAAGCCAACCTACCAAATGGGAGAAGATATTTGCCAACTACTCATCTGACAAGGGGCTAATGTCCAGAACATACAAGAAACTCAAACAACTCAACAGCAAAAAACCAGATTAAACAGCAACAATTTGATTTAAACATTGGCGAATGATCTGAACAGATATTTCTCAAAAGAAGACATGCAAATGGTCAACAGATCTATAAAAAAATGCTCAACATCACTAACCATCAGGGAACTGCAAATCAAAACCATGAGGAGATACCATCTTATACCAGTCAGAACTGGTCTATTATCAAAACGACAAGAAGTAACAAATGCTGGCAGGGATGCAGAGAAAAGGGAATCCGCCCTGTTGGTGGGAAGGTGAACGAACACAGCTGCTGTGGAGAACAGCACGGAGGCTACTCGGGAAACAAACTGCAGACACGATCCAGAAACCACTTCTAGGTGTTTATCCAAAGGGAAGGAAGTCAGTGCATCAGAGAGACATCCTCACCCTGTGTTGACTGCGGCACCATTCACAGCAGCCACGATATGGAACCAACCTGGGTGTCCGACAGCAGATGACTGATGAAGAAAGTGTGGCACACACACCGCAGAATACTATTCAGCCATGAAAAACAATGAGTCCTGTCACTGGTGGCAACATGGATGGAACTGGAGGACATTAGGTTAAATGAAATAAGCCAGGAACAGAAAGACAAATATCACATGTTCTCACATGGGGAAGCTAAAAAATGTTGACCTCAAAGAAGTAAAAATTAGAACAGAACATACTGGATGGTGGGAAGGGGAGGGGAAAGGAGAGGGAAAGATTTGTTAAAGGAAACAAAATTACCAGTCAGTGGGGGGGAGGTGTGAGTGTCTATGGCACTACAGGATGACCAGAGTTCATATGTTATATAGTTTCAAACAGCTGGAAGGACATTTAATGTTCCTAACAGAAATAAATGATAAGTGTTTGAGACAATGGTGTTTAAAAAAAGAAACTTCAGCCAAATTAAATCTAAAAGAGTGTAATTGAGCAAAGAACAATTTGCAAATAGAGTAGGTATGGAGACTCCCGCGCAGCCACGTGGCAGAAGAAGATTTATGGACGGGAAAAGGCAAGTGATGTACAGAAAACAGAAGCGAGGGACAGAAATGGCTGGATTGGCGGCAGCTCGGCATTTGTCTTATTTGAACACGGTTTGAACAGTTGACCACCTGCGACTGGCCAAAGCTCAGTGATTGGCATGAGAGTAGGTGACGGTCTGTTTGCACCTCCATGTAGGCTACAGTTCACCATGTACGGAGAAACCTTCAGGCCGAACTTAAAATGTGTAAGGTTGCAGCTTTAGGCCAAACTTGATTCAACAATGGATATGCTAATTAATCTGATCAGTGTGGGTTATATGTATCAAAAGAGCACTATGTAACCCTTGAATATTATACAATTATTCTATGTCAAAACATTTAAAAATTGGGAAAATACAAATTACTCCAAAGAGGAAATGGAGACATAGACATCTTCTCCAAAGAAGCTCTGCAAAGCCAACAAACCCATGGAAAGATGCTCCACATCACTCATCGTTAGGGGCGTGCAGATCAAACCGCAGTGAGAAACCACCTCGCACACCTAGTCAGATGACTGCCGAAAACCAGGAAGTACAAGTGCTGGTGAAGATGCGGAGAAGCTGGAATCCTCGTGCGTTGCTGGTGGGAAGGAGAGTGGCGTAGCTACTGCGGAAGAGAGTGTGGAAGGTCCTCGAAAAATTAAAACTAGAGCTACTGTAGGATCAGCAATTCCTCTCTGGGTAGACACCCTAAATAGTTAAAGGCAACGGCCGGGTGCGGAGGCTCACGCCTGTAATCCCAGCACCGTGAGAGGCCGAGGCGGGCGGATCACCTGAGGTCAGGAGTTCGAGACTAGCCTGGCCAACATGGTGAAACCCCGTCTCTATAAAAATACAAAAAAATTAGCCGGTCATGGTGGCGGGCTCCTGTAATCCCAGCTACTCAGGAGGCTGAGGCAGGAGAATGGCTTGAACCCGGGAGGCGGAGGTTGCAGTGATCTGAGATCACACCACTGCACTCCAGCCTGGGCAACAGAGCAAGTCTCTGTCTCAAGAAAAAAAAAATTGAAGGCAAGGTCTCAAAGAGATATTTGCACGGCCATGTTCATACAACATTATTCACAACAGACAACAGGTGAACACAGCCCAGATGTCCATTGACGTGAACAGATAAACACAATGCAGTCTACCCATACAATGGGACATTATTCCGCCTTAAAAAGGAAGGAAATTCTAATGCAGGCTGCAAGGTGGATGGACCTCAAGGACGTTAGGCGAAGTGAACTGAGCCAGTGATTCCACTTACATGAGGTCCCCAGAGTCATCAGATTTAGAGAAAGTAGAACAGAGGTTGCCAGAGCCGGGGGAGGGCAGTGGGGAGTTTGCGCTTCATGGGGACAGGGTTTCCGTTTGGGAAGATGGGAAGGTTCTGGAGGTGGGTGCTGGTGATGGCTGCACAGCAACGTGAATGTGCCTCCTGCTGCTGAAGATGCAGTTTTAAGAATGGTTAAAAATGGTTAAAACTGCAAACCTTATGTCACGCATGTTTTGCCACAATTAAAAATAATTAATTGCTGCCGGGTGCGGTGGCTCACGCCTGTTATCCCGGCACTTTAGGAGGCCGAGGTGGGCAGATCACAAGGTCAAAAGATCGAGACCATCCTGGCCAAATAGTGAAACCCCGTCTCTACCAAAAATACAAAAAATTATCTGGGTGTGGTGGTGGGCGCCTGTAAACCCAGCTACTCAGGAGGCTGAGGCAGAAGAATTGCTTGAACCTGGGAGGTGGAGGCTGCAGTGAGCCAAGACTGTGCTATTGCCCTCCAGCCTGGGTGACAGAGCAAGACTCCATCTCAAAAAAAAAAAAAAAAATTAATTGCATCTAAAACTTACCTTCATAACATTTAGACTGGTCTTAGCCAAAAACCATGGCCTGGCCAAATTGACATCTAAAATTAACCATCTTATACTGAAATCGAGGGCTGAGGAGGGAGGGATAGATTCTAGGGAGGGAAATCTAGAATCGAGTTTAGTTTCCAAGAGAGGAGAGACGGGTGCTGAGCAGACAAAGCCAGCGGTGGATGGAAGAGCCGTGCCGGGTCCGTGCTCGGGGTCACTGGGGGTCGCTGGGGTCGCTGGGGGTCTCTGGGCGTTGCTGGGGTCACTGGGAGTCGCTGGGGGTCTCTGGGCGTTGCTGGGGTCACTGGGAGTCGCTGGGCATTGCTGTTTCTCCCAACGCCTGGTCGGTTTTCTCTGCTGTGACCGGGGAGAATGGAGTAAAGGGCTTGCGTGCTGACACAGCATCCCCTCCTGTCCTTGTCACCCCAGAACTCAGGCAGGAAACAGAGCAACCCCGTGACGGGAGAACAGGGAGTGGGAAGGTGGGGGGCTGTGGGGTCGGAGGTCATGGCTGCTCTGAGGAGGGCTGAGACCTCGATGAGACCTCATGGCCGTGGCCCTGACTCCTGGAGTCCACTCTGTTGAGCCACGGGACACGGTTCTAGGCATCCTGGGGTGGTGCCCGAGAGGCTCAGCTCCTCCTCCTCCCTCTGCTGGGAGCTGGTGGATGCGGCCAAGTCCAGAAACATCTCTCGACCATTGCTCAGCCTGTCCGCTCCCGCCTTTGCCCTGGGTCTGACAACTTCCCTCTGCGTTCCTAGGATCTCCCGCCAGGGGCTGTGCCGGAGGACTGGGCTTGTGGCCTCTTTCCCCTCCCTCAGTTGCACAACCTTTGGGCCTGCCGCCTACGGGGCGTCTGCTAAAAATGATCGCTTCTGTTGTGATGGAATGTGGAAGCGCGTTCCATCCAGGCGTCGCTGTTATATCTGGTGTTGAATTTCAAGTAAAATAAAAATTAAAATTCCCAGTGCTGGTTCATCTGCGCTCATGAACCTCATCCCTGCCTGCCATGCGGTGCGCTGTGCATTCACAGAATGGCCGTGCTAATGGCGTCAGAGATGTAATTATATTTATAATTGGACACATAAATCAGCTTCTTCTTTTGTGGGGCTGGATCTAAATGTGGTGTGGTGCATGAGCTGTTTACAGGTATGTGTACAAGGATACGCATGCAGGCCTGTGCTCATATATGTAGGCATGTGTGTGCGTGCACACGTGTGCATGCATTGTGTGTTGCATGAGTGTGTGTGCGTGGATATGCGTGAGTGTGCATGTGTGCACCTGTTCAGTGGGTATTTACAAGCAAACTCTTCTCTAATCACTCCTTGCTGTATTCCTGGGCAGACCAGGGTGAACAAACAGGATGTCCTGCCCTCATTCTTCTTGGTCGCAGATGGTGGAAATTGAGTGTGCTGGGCATCCAGGGAAAGTGGACGCCACCCCCCGGGGCCTGCCACCAGGAGCTTGTGCAGATTCTGGTGTTTGAGATGGAAAGAGTGCCTGGTAGCAGTGCTGGCTGGCGGGGCTTGGCCCTGGGTGCCCAGGAAGGCACCTGCCCTCATGGCACAACTACAGGCTCGCCCAGTCCCCTTCCACGGGGCGATTCCCTCCTGCTCTCGCACCTGTGAGGCTGTGTCCAGCCAAGCAGAGCAGCAGTTGCTTGAGAAGGGGCCGACACTGCTGGTTGCCTAGGCAACCCCTCCCTGGCTCACCAAGGCCAGATTTGTTCAGGCTCCGGGCAGCAGCCGTGTGCTTAGGGAAGGCGGCCCCTCCCCAGCCCCTGCGTGACGCCCCATTGGCCTCAGCCCACGGTGGAATTCAGTCAGCCTTACCATGGTTGGAGAGACCTGAACCAGCCAGGCCGCCCTGACAGCGGGACCCTGGGAGGGTCTGAGGGGCTGCAGGGAGTTGTCCTCACTCTCACAAAGGAACACGAGGAAGGGCTGGGTCCTGGGGCTCTGGGATGGTGACACAGGAGGGGGCTGTGGGGTGGGCAGCTGCCATGGAGTCCCTATGAGGAATGAGCTGCCTCTTATCCTTTCAGTTGCTTTTCAGCTGGGTTTTCTGTTACAGCTGATAGCATCCGGACGGGTGCAGGGACCGAGCATTCATCGGTGATTTTTACACTCAGCCCAGAGCCGAGACTTCTTATCTACAGGGCACATGGCCGCGTGGCACCTGGGCTAGAAACCCAGAGCTAAGGGTTATTATCTACAGGGCGCGTGGCCACGTGGCACCTGGGCCAGAAACCCAGGGCTGAGGCTTATTATCTACAGGGCACATGGCCGCGTGGCACCTGGGCTAGAAACCCAGAGCTAAGGGTTATTATCTACAGGGCGCGTGGCTCCGTGGCACCTGGGCCAGAAACCCAGAGCTGAGGCTTCTTATCTACAGGGCGCGTGGCCGCGTGGCACCTGGGCCAGAAACCCAGAGCTAAGGGTTATTATCTACAGGGCGCGTGGCTCCGTGGCACCTGGGCCAGAAACCCAGAGCTGAGGCTTCTTATCTACAGGGCGCGTGGCCGCGTGGCACCTGGGCTAGAAACCCAGAGCTAAGGGTTATTATCTACAGGGCGCGTGGCTCCGTGGCACCTGGGCCAGAAACCCAGAGCTGAGGCTTCTTATCTACAGGGCGCGTGGCCACGTGGCACCTGGGCCAGAAACCCAGGGCTGAGGCTTATTATTTACGTGGT
The DNA here is from genome assembly GCF_000001405.40 of Homo sapiens. Classification (NCBI taxonomy): domain Eukaryota; kingdom Metazoa; phylum Chordata; class Mammalia; order Primates; family Hominidae; genus Homo; species Homo sapiens. The sequence goes on along the minus strand of NC_000012.12, from coordinate 132,365,603 downwards.
GCGTGGCTGCGTGGCACCCGAGCCAGAAACTGGGAACTGAGGCTTATTATCTAAAGGGAGAATGGCCGTGTGGTGCCTGGGTCGGCTTTTCGGTCAAGGTGCCATGGGCCTCAGCAAACAAAGCCAGAGCTCTCCTTCCTCCCTCTCCAGGAGTGGCTGGCACAAGACCCATATCTCAGCCTTTGCAGGCAATGCTTTGGGCATCCACAAAGAATACGGCAAACACGGTGGAATCCCAGGCACTGCCGGAGGCTTTCTGGGCCCCTCCACAGACTCACTTGCAAATTCTTCCCTCAGTCCTAACAGCTCCTGGCATTAGGGTTTGGCTATGCCACTGCCTGTGAGTGACCCTGGACACCACCTTGTCCTCAGCCTGTGAGTGACCCTGGACACCGCCTTGTCCTCAGCCTGTGAGTGACCCTGGACACCGCCTTGTCCTCAGCCTGTGAGTGACCCTGGACACCGCCTTGTCCTCAGCCTGTGAGTGACCCTGGACACTGCCCTCGCCCCCGCCTGTGAGTGGCCCTGGACACTGCCCTCGCCCCCGCCTGTGAGTGACCCTGGACACTGCCCTCGCCCCCGCCTGTGAGTGACCCTGGACACTGCCCTCGCCCCCGCCTGTGAGTGACCCTGGACACTGCCCTCGCCCCCGCCTGTGAGTGACCCTGGACACTGCCCTCGCCCCCGCCTGTGAGTGACCCTGGACACTGCCCTCGCCCCCGCCTGTGAGTGGCCCTGGACACTGCCCTCGCCCCCGCCTGTGAGTGGCCCTGGACACTGCCCTCGTCCCCGCCTGTGAGTGACCCTGGACACTGCCCTCGCCCCCGCCTGTGAGTGACCCTGGACACTGCCCTCGTCCCTGCCTGTGAGTGATCCTGGACGCCGCCCCTGTCCCTGCCTGCTGCGGAAGAAGGTAGGAGGGCCTCACCCCTGCCAACGGTACCTTCTGAGCCTAGTTCCTCACTGGCCACTGTTTTTGGAAGTCCTCTTTGCAGAACTGGCCTCAAAGGCTCAAGGTCAAAGCACCCCCATGAGCTGCTTTGGAAAAAGAGATTTCATCTGACAACAAGGGAGGCAGCTGAGCCAGGAACTTGTGATGTCACTGGGCTTCTGGGCCAGCAGGAGGCTGAGAGGCACACATGTAGAGAAATACAAAGGTTCCCTCTTGTTTAAATTAAGCAAATTAAGAGGAAGTGGCCTGAATTCCGTCTGTGGGCACCATTTGCACAGATGTGGTGGCCACAGAAGCCGCTCACCCTGCCCCATTGCCCGAGGCAAGGATGAGCCTGGTGGTGCCAGGCGCCGCTCTGAGACGTGGGACCCTCTCCCACTCTGTGGACCTCCCGACCCCTGAATGCCTCTTGGATGAGCAGAGATGGTGGCCTCGGGCTGAGCCGGGCAGTTTCCAGGCCAGGCTGCAACGGGTGGCTCCTTCCTCTCCATCCTGGCCAAAGCCTGTCCTGACGGTGGCTCAGGTATGGCTGGAGTCTGAGTCATTGGGTCCTTTGTCACTGATCTGGCTGCTGGCCAGGAACTGGGACACTGAGGCCACAGCATGGGGACAGGGAGATCTGCCCACGTAATGCACCTCGTGGACCTGTGGGGGCTGGTCCCCAAAGCAGCACCCATCATTTGGGATTATGGTCAACTGCATCTAACAGAAGCCCAACTTTGGCAATTTAAACAAACAGGGGGACAGAGAGGCAGCGTTGGGAAGAAGCAACTCCTGAGGACGTCAGTGGGATCTCAGACTCACCCCCGCCCGACCATCTGTCGCTTGACCTCACGGCCACAAAGTGGCTGCCACCCCTCCAAGCATCACACCCACATTCCAACAGGGAGAGGGAACGGGGCAATGGCTAAGTCAGAAAGCCTGAGCCTCTCCCAGAAATCCCCAGGGACTTGACACGAGGTCATGCGTCGACACAAGGTCACACGTCACTGCAAGGGCATCTGGGGAGTGTGGTTTCTAAAGCTGTCCTGCTAAACTCCACACCAAATCGGATCTGCTAGGAAGCAAAGGGGAGGGTGGGCCCAGTGGACTGCTGATGGCTACTGCCACAGCCCGGGGAGAGAACAGAGCAGAGGGGACAGGTCAAGAGGTCAAGGGACCAAGGGAGCAAGGGGCCAAGAGGTCAAGAGGTCAAGAGGTCAAGCTGCCCAGCCCTCCATCACAAGGGCCAGGCAGGGAGGGCACGAGACACGCCCGGGTGGAGAAGGCGGCTGCACACAAGTGAAAATGGCCATTTTGAGTTCATTAAAAAAGTTATGACACGTGTTTGTTTTTTAGAGCGGTTTAGGTTACAGGAAATCGAGCAGAAAGTGCAGAGCCCCTCCCCCACCGCCAGCGTCCCCTGTAATTAACACGTTATGCTGGCGAGGCGCACCTCTTACCACAGGCGGGCCATCACACGCGTTCAGTAACTAAAGTCCACATTCGTGTCGGGGCCCCCGTGCTGCACATCCTGTGGGTTTTGACAAATGCATAATGACACGCGATCGTGTGAAGACACGTAACGACGGGCATCCATCGTGCATCACACAGCGGCGTTTCAATGCTCCCAGAGTCCTCTGTGTGGGTACCAGCTCTGCATTTATTTAATCCTCACCACCCACCTCGAGGAAGCTTGGATTATTGCAGACATTCTACAGAAAAGGAAACTGAGGCATCAATCCACTAACCTCATTCCCTGGGGAGTGGAGCTGGCATTGGACATCATGTGTGACTGGTCCTGGTGTGAATTCTCCCCAGGGAGCAGAGCCCGCATTGGACAGCACACGGGACTGGTCCCAGTCTGAGCTCTCAAAGGAGTGGGGTTCACATCCTCAGCGTTTTGTCTGTAATTATTACACTTAGTCCAGGTGTAATTACCCATAATTTGAGGAGGAAAGCGGTCATGTATTTACCTTGTAATTTGCAGTCGCACCTTAGACTGATGTGCTGCCTCTTCCTGCGGAAAGCTCCGGAACCCTTGAAGAATCTGCAGAGCGCAGACAGCACAGCGAGGTGTGAGTGTGCGGGCCGCTGGTGCGGGTGATGGAGGGCAGACAGCACAGCGAGGCGTGAGTGTGCGGGCCGCTGGTGCGGGTGATGGAGGGCAGACAGCACAGCGAGGCGTGAGTGTGCGGGCCGCTGGTGCGGGTGATGGAGGGCAGACAGCACAGCGAGGCGTGAGTGTGCGGGCCGCTGGTGCGGGTGATGGAGGGCAGACAGCACAGCGAGGCGTGAGTGTGCGGGCCGCTGGTGCGGGTGATGGAGGGCAGACAGCACAGCGAGGCGTGAGTGTGCGGGCCATTGGTGCGGGCGGAGGGCGCAGACAGCACAGCGAGGCGTGAGTGTGCGGGCCGCTGGTGCGGGTGATGGAGGGCAGACAGCACAGCGAGGCGTGAGTGTGCGGGCCGCTGGTGCGGGTGATGGAGGGCAGACAGCACAGCGAGGCGTGAGTGTGCGGGCCGCTGGTGCGGGTGATGGAGGGCAGACAGCACAGCGAGGCGTGAGTGTGCGGGCCATTGGTGCGGGCGGAGGGCGCAGACAGCACAGCGAGGCGTGAGTGTGCGGGCCGCTGGTGTGGGTGATGGAGGGCGCAGACAGCACAGCGAGGCGTGAGTGTGCGGGCCGCTGGTGTGGGTGATGGAGGGCAGACAGCACAGCGAGGCGTGAGTGTGCGGGCCGCTGGTGCGGGTGATGGAGGGCAGACAGCACAGCGAGGCGTGAGTGTGCGGGCCGCTGGTGTGGGTGATGGAGGGCAGACAGCACAGCGAGGCGTGAGTGTGCGGGCCGCTGGTGTGGGTGATGGAGGGCGCAGACAGCACAGCGAGGCGTGAGTGTGCGGGCCGCTGGTGCGGGCGGCGGAGCGTCCCCGCTGCCTGGGGTGGGTTCACTGCACAAGCTGCTCTCCTGGGCTGTGTCCTGGGGACAGCTCAGGTCTGGACTTTGGCCCAACCCACGCAGCCCCGCCCGGACCTGTTCCCACCTGGCCAAGCTCCCTGCTGGCTCCTCTCCCCTGGGCTGCCTTCACCCGCACACTGAGTGACCCGACGCCCGCTACACAGAAGGTCGTGTCGCAGTGGGGGGTGCCCAGGTCTCCCCGTGGGGCGGAGGGAAGCCTCTGTAGCTGTGGGCTTGCAAATGTGAGATGTGGGTGCCCAAAGGCCCGGCAACGGTCCAACAGGGCCGCCTTGGGGAGCACGGCCTTCAGAACGCCTCGTGGGGAGAGGTGGCGTGTGTGTAGCTGGGACTAGGAGGGAGGGTGGGGAAGGTCATGCTGGGAGCATCTCCGGCGCTTCCTCAGAATCCCAGCCGCTCAGGGCATCACAGAGGCCGCCCATCCCAAGAAACGCCGCGGAGGGGCTGTGGAGGGCGCTGTGGAAGGAGGGAGCATCGGGCCGGGAACTGCGTGGCCATTGTGGCATTCCAGCTGTGGCATCCCCGCCACCCCCCCAGCCCTGGCCCAGCCTGACCCCCAGGGCTGTGCAGCCCCTTCCAGCGCGTTCCCTGCACCTGCTCTACACCTTTCCCTCCTGAGGCCAGCGCGTCGGAGGCCGTGGCGCAGCGTGTTCCCAGTGTCAGCTGTGGCAGGACCCCCTTTCTGTGGAGGCCGTGAGGATGATTACAGGCTGCCATTCACGCAGACGTATTTTCTCACCGTTCCGGAGGCAGCAAAGCCACGATCAAGGTGTCACTGGTTCCTCGGAGGCTGTCGGGGTGGGGAGTCTGCCCCAGGCCTCCCTCCTGGGCCATCTCCATCTCCCTGCACCAACCTCTACGTCCAAATCTCCCCTTTCCATAAGCTCGGGAGGGGTGGGGCCAGGCCCTTCTGTGTGTCTGGCTCTGGGATGGGGGTGGCTCCTGCCTGAGGCCGATGAGGACATCCCAGGGAGGCCCCGAGGGCCCCTCTGCATCCCAGCCCTTCCCGCCTTTGTCCTTCAGACCACACGGGTCACAGACAGTCAGGAAATGGAGGTGGCGGTGTGTCTCCTTCATGCAGTGGGCTCCTTGGCTGAGCTGTGCAGTAGTCTGTTCATTAAGCCTGGCCGCAGCATCCTAGTAGCTTAATTATGGGCTTCATTACAAGGGAAGATCAATAGCCAGAAGGACAAAAGCTCAAAGATAATGGAAACAAATAAAGTACTTTGTCTTAGGTGACACTAAAGCTGTCTGGTCTGACAAATCCTCCTCAAGTCCGGCCTTCTGGCTCCTCCGAGGGTCCATTTGGGTTGAATGGAAAACAGCCGTACACCCAGCCCAGAGCAGGCTGTGGATGGAGCTCCGGGCAGCACTGTACTCCCTACCCCACGTGCCTCTGATGTGGGTGCAGATCATGGTGCTGGACCAGTTTCTGGGCGAGCTGGGGAGATGCCTCTGCATTACCCGTGTCCTCCGGGGACCCGGCCGCCCTTCTCCTCTGAAGACACCGTGGTTGACACACATCTCAGTCCCCAGGGGACCTGGCCGCCCTTCTCCTCTGGGGACACTGTGGTTGACGGCCCTTCTCCTCTGGGGACACCCTGGTTGACGGCCCTTCTCCTCTGGGGACACCATGGTTGACGTACATCTCAGTCCCCCAGGGGGTTTCCAGTCTAGACGGAAAGACAGACGTGAATCACGTCATCACACCATGGCATTTCTGCAAACTCAGCTGAGTGTGAAAGAAGGAACACGGTGGCCAAGAGAAAGCCAGGCCATCCTGACCCATCCTGGGGTGGGGGCTGAGGTTGGGAAGATGAGGGCAGTGACCCCGATGGAGGGGACAGCAAACCCCAAGGGGGGAGAGGGACTGGCCCGTCCGAGAAACTCGGAGAGGACCAGAGGTTAGAACGTGGTGAGACGGGGGGGAGAAGGAGGCTGTGAGCCGCAGATGTGGCAGGGGCTTCATGGATACAGGCGAGGGCAGGCCTTTATTCCCAAAGCTGCAGAGGCCGCTAGGACTGTTGGGGGTCCCTCGAGGACAGAGGGGGCTTAGGGTGAGGGCAGCTGAGTGTGAGGCTGCACAGGGCCCACGTCCACCCATGACAGTGAAGCCTGAGCACACTGGGCCGAGAACGAGCTGCTGTCCATGTCCACGAGACTCACAGAGGCGGCTGCTGTCCACGTCCACGGGACTCGCAGAGGCGGCTGCTGTCCACGTCCACGGGACTCGCAGAGGCGGCTGCTGTCCACGTCCACGGGACTCGCAGAGGCGGCTGCTGTCCACGTCCACGGGACTCGCAGAGGCGGCTGCTGTCCACGTCCACGGGACTCGCAGATGAGACTCACAGAGGCGGCTGCTGTCCACATCCACGGGACTCACAGAGACGGCTGCTGTCCACGTCCACGGGACTCACAGAGGCGGCTGCTGTCCACATCCACGGGACTCACAGAGGCGGCTGCTGTCCACATCCACGGGACTCGCAGAGACGGCTGCTGTCCACGTCCACGGGACTCGCAGAGGCGGCTGCTGTCCACATCCACGGGACTCGCAGATGAGACTCACAGAGGCGGCTGCTGTCCACGTCCACGGGACTCACAGAGGCGGCTGCTGTCCACGTCCACGGGACTCACAGAGGCGGCTGCTGTCCACGTCCACGGGACTCGCAGAGGCGGCTGCTGTCCACATCCACGGGACTCGCAGAGACGGCTGCTGTCCACGTCCACGGGACTCGCAGAGGCGGCTGCTGTCCACATCCACAGGACTCGCAGATGAGACTCACAGAGGCGGCTGCTGTCCACGTGCACGGGACTCACAGAGATGGCTGCTGTCCACGTCCACGGGACTCACAGAGACGGCTGCTGTCCACGTCCACGGGACTCACAGAGGTGGCTGCTGTCCACGTCCACGGAACTTGCAGAGGTGGCTGTGGAGGCTGAGGACAAGCTGCTGTCCACGTCCATGAGACTCTCAGAGGCGGCTGTGGAGGCCACAGGATGGATGCGGTTCTGCTGCTGGGGGCAGGGACAGAGACCCTGAGGGAACACAGTGGGTTTCAGTGCCTGACGGCCACACCTGGGCTGACCACCTGCCTCCCGTGGCTCCTACTATAGACGAAGCATCCCTGGCTCACTCAGGGGTGATGCGAAACCTGGCAGCTTCCCCCAAACATCCCCGTAGACAGCCGGGCCCTGCATGAGGCAGGCAGTGCGGGACGGAGCTCCCAGAGAGAGGGGTTGCAGGTGCGGCCAGGTTCAGTCCAGAGCCTGGAGGCCTTGGCTGCTGTGAGCGTGGAGGGGGATGAAGACTAAGATGACCATTTCTCCAGCTTCTCCATTTCTCAGGCCAGAAACTTGCCCGAGAGCCTCCTCGCCAAGTCCGCCCCACGCTGCGCAGCCTCCACTGTGCAGTCCCCTTGCTGTTGCTGCTCTGAGGGACCACGTTGAGTTCCTGACCATGGGGCCTGACCTCACAGGGCGCCAACCCAAGCGAGGCCAGTCAGTGCCCTCTGGGGCCTCTTCCCTTGGAACCAGAGACGATTTGGTTAAAATACAGATTCCCAGGCAGCCGTCATCTCTGTGGCCACGTGGGGGCTCTGCTCTGTATGGCACCAGCCCCTGCCGCCTGCACCCAGCTCTCCCGGCTGCCCGTGGACGCGTCTGGGCGGCTCCCCCCTGGTGGCTCCAGCCAGAGCCAGCATCGCCGGCAGCCTCCTCCCACTCCTCAAGTCCGATGGCTGGGTGCAGTCACACAGCCACCCCTCGCTGCACGGGAGGGTGGAAATGCTGTCTTCATTCTGGGAGCCCCGTGCCTGGGCCACATCACTGCCAGGAAGGTGAAGAGCAGGTGGGTGGGTGTGGGAGGACGGCCCTCAGACGGTGCCACAGAGGTCCCCTCACTGAGCGCAGGGCGGGGGGCTTCCTGCAGCCGCAATTCCTGCAGCAGGGCACAGAGGCAGCAGGGAGCGGATGGGGCTGGCAAAGGGAGAGAGCAGCCAGGTGGGACGCGAGCTTCCAGCTTCCACTGCCATCTCCCCAGAGTTAGATCTTGAGGGTTTATACGCGCCTCCTAATTAGGCAGGTTCAGGTGGGTTCCTACCACTCACCAACACCCTGACAGCGCATGGGGCCAGAGGGAGCCGTGACCATTGCCACGTCCTCTACTTGCGCTGAAGGCCTCGAATCCCCCGTTCATTTGGTTCCCATGGGCTCCTGCGTAGTGTTTCTTCTGCACGAGAGTTGATTCTTTCCCACACTCACCCCAGCTCACCCTGCCTCAAGAATTCCAGGAGGTCTGGGCTACCCAGATGCACGGAGCAGGGACCCAAGTCCGACGGCCGTGGGGGTTCCAGGAGTGGGCTCTGCCAGCCTGGGCCTGGCTCACGCTACATGGAAGGTTCTGCACCTGCTACCTGCCCTGCACCTGCCTGGCATTCCCAGGACCACACCTGCCATAGGTGCCCCACCTCGCAGAGCACTTTCTGCCCCCCGAGTGTCTCGGCTTTTTGCCCCCTGAGTGTCTCGGCTTTTTGCCCCGAGTGTCTCGGCTTTCTGCCTTCATGGGAAGAGGGCTTGGAAGACTCTTTTTCTTTTTCTGGTTTGTGTTTTGCAACGGCCTGAAAGCAAGCTGTTCTGTGTCGCTGGAACATATGAAAGGAAGTGTGATCCTCCACACACAGTTGCTCCCGGGCACAGACCCTGGGAATGCAAAGTTTCAGGAAGTAAACACCAACAGATCCGAGTCAGAAGCGCCAGATGGTGGGGCTGGGACGGCGGAGCCAGCTCCTCGGAGGCGGGTGCGTCCCCCGCCGAGCTGCGTGAGTCACTCTCTGCAGGGCCAGGAAGCTGCTGCCTCCCTCCTCCGACTCAGGTGCCTCCCAGGAACCCAGAAGGAGGGGAGGATGATGGCAGAGCTCACGTCAAGCCGCCAGCATCCCTTCTTCTGCACAGGGTGTGAAACGGGCACACTCAGCCGGGCAGCATCTGGAGCCCTGCCTGGGCCCAAGTGCATTCCTCGTTTCGCCAAAGTGAGTTCAGGTAGATTTTCTGTCACTTGCAACCAAAGCAAACCTGAAAAATGCAGCGTTGTCTGGAGCCCGAGTCGCTTCCTTCTCCTTTGTGAGGAACTTCAGGTTTATCCGAAGTGACTTAGACACGACCAGGCTCCAGCCTCCCGCACAGTTTGGGGCCCGGCAGAGATGAGGTTGGGCCAAGACTGTCCTTCTGCTGGGGCCGGGCAGGGGTCTTGGGTGGATTCGCACCAGGGCTGGCTCACGCATGGATGGAGGAGGGAGCTGCCCCACTGGGGGGCTGCAGAACAGATAGCACTCCCAAATCTACTCCCAAAGCGGATGTTCTGCATGTGGGGCCACCGCCCAGATTGCAACCCAATCCCCATGTCTGTCAAAGGCAGCCACACCTGTCTCAGAACCTCAGCTGGGTTGGAGAAGGCCCTGGTGGGTACAGGGGACTTGGAGCCCTGAGCAGTGGGGACTCCAGAGTCTCTGAGGTGGTAGGGGCGGGGGGCGGCACCGGCTTCCATCTGCTTTTGAATACTCAGGAGAAGAGGGGACATTCCGACAGTATCTGCCCCTGGTGAGGATACGTTAGACTTCAGTTGCTGTGCTTCCTGAAGCAACTGAAGAAGTTTACGTGAGACGGACTGAGGGCTGCCGCCTCTGTGGTTTTCCACTGGCCGCCACTTCAATGGGTGGGGACTGGTGGGCTCAGGGTGGGAGGGTCTGGAGGCCGCGACAGCACCACTGAGACCAGACCTCAGGAGTCCCTGGGCCTGGGCCTGGCTTCAAACCACGCGGGAGGCTGGAGCCTGGTCGTGTCTAAGTCACTTCGGATAAACCTGAAGTTCCTCACAAAGGAGAAGGAAGCGACTCAGGCTCCAGACAACGCTGCATTTTTCAGGTTTGCTTTGGTTGCAAGTGACAGAAAATCTATCTGAACTCACTTTGGCGAAAGGAGGAATGTGCTAGAAGGGTGTCATGCAATCAAGGGCAGGAGCCCGTGGCCCAGCTCCAGACTCGAAGGGGTCCACGAGCTCCCCAGCGCCGGGTCCTACGAGCTTTTCCCTCCCCAGGCGGGAAAGGCCGGCAGCTCTGTGGTCCCCGTGCTCATGGGATCTGTCACTGGAGTATCGCCTCATTCCCTGTCCTGGCCGGCTGGCTGGTCCGCAGGCGTGCTGATTCCACGTGGAGGCTGCCCCCCGGCGTGCGGTGGAGCAGGGGTGGGTGTTTTCCCAAAGGGTGGGGTCCCTAAGGAAGAGGGTGCGAGGGCTGGGCAAGGTCGCAGCAGCTGCAGAAGCTCAGTTCTCCACGGTACCCGCATCCCTGGCTCTGGCACCCCATGTTCAGGGAACCAGCCAAGATCCCCCCATTGTTCTCCAGTGAGAGACCCCACCTTGGCTTGGAGACACCGCTGCCTCCCTCATATGACGCTGGCTGAGCTGAAGGGTCTGTGTGCCTTGGCCTGGACAGTAAGAGCTCCTGTCCCCTGGGCACACCAGAGCCCATGGTGCCAGGGCCTCCCTGCGAGCTCCGGCCGGGGAAGGGACGGCCCCACGGGTCTCCGCCAGGTGCACCCTTCCACCCCATGCAGGTGGGCCTGGCGGACGAGGCACCCGCCAGAGGGGCCTCTGCGGAAGGAGGGAGAGACCAGAGACCAGGCTCCCCAGGCTCTGGGGCCTTGAGCAAGCTGTGCCGCCATCTCACCACCCTGCACCTGCACTCAGGGGCTGTGAATCCCACGGGCTCTGCTCCAGCCCCGAGAGCTGAGTTTCCTGTTACTTGCTACAAAAAGCCCTGAGCAAGCTGCCAAGTATTGAGTCGGAGGACGACATCGCCGGCACGTGGGGGAAACGCTAGCTGCTGGGGCGGACGCCGCTGCTAATCTCAGCAACTTCATACAAAATGTTCGCCCTCGGCATCAAGAGGCCACGTCGTCATCCAGCACAGCCACGTGGCTGGTCGGCGGGGGCAGGGCGCGGTCCCTGGTGGCCCAGGGGTCTCTGAGTGACCAGCCTCCTCCTCTGTCGTGTGTCCCCTTCTGACCCTCTGAATCCTCGTCACTCAGCCAGAGGCTGGGAGCAGGGCGTGAAGACAGGTGGAAAGAATTCTGGAGCGCCAGGCCTTCAGGGACGCCCACGCCTGTCAGGGCCCAGCCCCGTGGGAATACAGTCCCGCTGCACACCCACGTGGAACTGCAGAGGCAAGGCCTCCCGGCTGCCTGGCCATTCCTTCACTGCTGGCTTCGTGTTCACTGCTGTGCTGATGGCGGAGCTGGAAGCCTCCTCGCGGGACACCGTCTGCCCCTCTGCAACCTGGAGACAGCTGGGCCCCGACCACCCCTGCCCAGCCCTTGTCACGCCATATTCTGACCCCCGCAACTCTCTGTGGACTGACGGAGGCAGTGGCGGTGCCAGGAAAGTCCCGCCACACTCTTCACGAGACATTTGAGGCAGACACAGGGGAAGCCGTTCCTACCCCCGTGCTAATGGACCAATCACGTCTCAGTGCAACGGCGAGGTGCCATGCGTGCAGCTGCCCCGGACACGGGAGGGAGGCTTAGCAAAAAGTCATTTCAGGGCCAGGGCCACTTCCTGATCAAAATTCGGGATTACTGCTGTAATCACTGCTGGTGGAACGGGGCCACGGACCCTGCCCATGACCGCCTCCCTTGGGGGAAGCCAGACAGAAAAGCCAATTTTCTGTAATCCTTCCTGTCTCTCCAGATGATGTTGAGCTGTGGAGGAGATTAATCAGAACAACACAGGTGGGTCTGCGCCAGCCCCCAGCGCCCAGCCCGTCATGCCTTCTTGCAGGTGTGCATTCACTGATTGACTCCTTTTCTGCCCCCGACTCTTCCCTCCTTCCAAAAAGCACTGGGACCTTCAGTGAGGGGATGGTGGCAGGAGGAGGGGGTTTGAGCCCGTCCACTGAGAAGCGGTTTCTTCCAGGGTGGGGGAAATGTGGTGCCTGCCCATCCCCGCCACTTGCAGCATCTCCTGCCAGAAGCCTGCAGTGAGCGAGCGCTCAGGGCCTCGAAGGAAGGGACGGTGGGGGAGGGGCCTGGCAGGCGTGCACACAGGCTTGGCGGGGTTGGGGCAGAGGCTGGGCCTGGGCTCTGGGTCGGGAGTGGCAGCCGAGGGCTGGGATCCCCGAGCTGTGCAGGAAGGGCCCCCGGCAGGGGGTGGACGCGGTTGCCTCGGCTGCTTCTGGGGATTGGCGGTCTCTGTAGGGCTGTCCGTCTTTTAGTGCCGGCTTCACCTATACACCTGCCATAGTCTCTGCCTTCCTGAGCTGTGCAGGCGTCACTCACGGCCAGCTGGGCAGTGGGTGCCCTGTTGAGGCCTCCTGCGTTGCCCGCACGGGCGAGCTCAGAGCTGTGGTTGGTGTGGATACCGGGCGCCTCTTTTCCAAATGCAGGAGAAAAGCAGAAGGATGCAAACAGAGATGTGGAGAAAAAATAAACACGAGAACAAACCCGGGACAAGGGTGGGACAGGGGCCTCCCTCAGAGCCTCCTGAGCCACCGTCGCCTCGGGGGGTGTCGGGGTTTGGGGCCCCCTGGCAGGCCAGGTTCCTTGAGGTGGAGGCCCTGTGTCCACTGAGTCACGCCCGGCCTGGGACGCCACTGTGTGCAGTGGATGTTCATCTGAGTGGAAGGCGCATGGTCCGTGGGGTTCCGAGAAGAGGGAGGGCTTGCAGCTGGGGAGCACGTGCGCATTCCATGGGAAGGCCCAGCCCCTAGATGAATTCCCGGAAACCCAGAGAAGGCACCAAGATTCCATTGCTCCCTACTTGCCCAGAGTTGCAGAAACGCAACACAGCTTGCAGCTTGTGGCAGCTGCAAGGTCCTGTGTGACCAGAACACGGGGCTGTTATTCCGTGAAAGCAAAGCCCCATGCCTGGCTGTATGCCCGGGCTGGAGGGCAGTGGCTGTTCACCAGTGCCATCACGGCTCCCAGCAGCCTCGACCTCCCGGGCTCAAGCCATCCTCCCACCTCAGCCTCTTCCCAAGTAGCTGGGGCCACAGGTGTGCGCCACCATGCCCCGCTTTTTTTTTCTGTTTTCTTTTTAGGAGCATGAGCCAAGCTCTTCGGCCTGAGTCTCTGCCGTGGTCCTTCGCTTCCACACTGCTGCAGCCAGCCCCTTCCCGGGGTTTTCATAGAGGCCGCCCTTCCCCCGGTGTCTTTCTGTCATCAGCCTTAATTAGGTTATTCGGAGGTCAGCACAGGGCCCTCTGCCATAGTGACCTATGTGCCCCATCACAGGGAGCTGCAGGCTCACAAGAGGGGTCTCCATGCTTGTCTATGGCGGTGGCAGCTCTGCGAATGCCCCACGAGGGCGTTCTGGATGAGGGGGGGCTCTGGCCTCTGGCAAAGCAGTGCAGCGTCCAGGACACCAGCAGCCGCGGCCGTGCAGGGGGTGTGGGGGTGACCGGTGGTGCCAAGTCTGGAGCACAGGAGACACAGACACGACCACCACTCACATCGCCTTCGCTCAGCCCACCGAGCTCCGCCTCGGCCTCCTTGTGACTTGGAGGGAAAGAACCACCTTCAGATTTTTCTGCCTATTTTGCAGATGAGAAAACCTGATACCTGTGGGAAGTCCCACGCTGGCAACAGGGGGATCCCAGGCCTGCACTTTTGAAACAACAAGAAAAGCCGTCCCTGGGGGGTCGCGACCATGGTTAGTTGACAGCTGGGTGAGCCTGGGCTGAGGGAGGGGGATTAGGCAGAGCTCCCTGCAGAGCTGCAGGAACGGGGATGGGAGCACCTGGCCTGCTGCACCCAACCCTGCATCTCAGCTCAGAGCCCGGCCCAGAGCCCAGGGACTTGCTCAGCCAGGCCAGAGGTCCAGGAGCCCTTGGGTCCTTCATGAGTTCCTGGGGCAGGGGCTGGGTAGCCCCGTGGCCTTGGTCCTCATGCCGGCCTCTAGGGCTGTGCCAGGATGTCTAAAGAGGCCACCAGGCTCTCCCAGCTTTAACTCTTAGTGTCCATCCCTCCTGTCCCCAGAGGGCCACGGCTGTGCTCAGCTCAGAATCTCAAAGGACAGATGCCTGGTGAGATGGGGACACAGATAGGGGGACAGGGGCCATTCCGTTGCCTAAGAATCCAACCTAAGGGACGAGGCCAGGCTGGGTGGGTGGGGAAGTGCAGGGCCCAGCCCCCGAGGGTCCACTTTCTGGTGATTCCAAGGAGGCACCTCGGTTGGCAAGCAGCCTGTGTCTAGCTGCTGCCTGTGTGCTCACCGAGGACAGTGTGCTCACCCTGCTTCCTGGAGAGGGAAATGGAAGCTGAGAGCATAAAGTGACCTTTCAGCCCCAGAGGAGACAGGCTGGGCTGGGGCATTTCCAGACAGGTCAGCCAGGGAAGGGCATGGGTGTGCCCAGGCTATTTTGATGACAAAAGCAGAACCCAACCCAAGGTGGCAAAAAGGGTGAAGGGAGCTGATGCAGCTGATGACAAGCAGCAGAACCCAACTCAAGGTGGCAGAAAGAGCGAAGGGAGGTGACGCAGCTGGATTCAGGTTCGCAGCTGGATTCAGGTGATGCAGCTGGATTCAGGCGCAGCTGAGCACAGAGGCAGAGGGCATCCCGGGGACCCTGGCTCTGCCTCCAGCTCTCACTCTGCTTCCCTCCCCAAGCCCTGCAGTCCCAACCAGGCTCCCCGTTGCTGGTAAAGATGATCCCAGCAGCTGCTCACCACATCCCACCAGACGTGCCTACCCCACGGAAAAGAGGCACCAGTTGTCGGTCGTCTACAAACAAAGTCTAAGAATCGAGTCTCATTGGCCTGGCTGGGGCCACATGCCTAACCCTGACCCAATCCTTGGGCTGAGGGCTCGGAATATGTTAACAGGACAGACAAGTCATGGGCCATTTCTGGAGCTGGGAGTTGGGTCAACCTCATCCCAACCAATAGATTAAGAGAGGGCAAGGCCAGGCACAGTGGTTCATGCCTGTAATCCTGGCACTTTGGGAGGCCAAGGCGGGTGGATCACCTGAGGTCAGGAGTTTCAGACCAGCCTGACCAACATGGAGAAACCCCATCTCTACTAAAAATACAAAAAATTAGCCAGGTGTGGTGATGCGTGCCTGTAATCCCAGCTACTCGGGAGGCTGAGGCAGGAGAATCACTTGAACCCAGGAGGCAGAGGTTGCGGTGAGCCAAGATCGCACCATTGCACTCTGGCGTGGGCAACAAGAGCGAAACTCTGTCTCAAAAAGAAAAAAAAAGGGCAGCTTTTCAATGACATTTTGGAGGACAGTTACACAAGGAGGGAAAAATTGGAGGACAGTGACATGCCAGCCAGAGAACCATGGCATGAGCATCCTTCCTCAGCTAGACATGGAGCCAAAGCTAGCCGCACAGCACGAGCAAGTTTCACCAACTTCTTCAGGACTATGCCAGAAAGGCATTCTCAACATAATCCGCCTAATCCCCCACCCCCAGCTCTGACCCAATTTTACTAACTTGTGTGGACTGGATGTATTGAGAGAGCTCCCAGAGGGGTCAGAGGTACCAAAGAATCTGATGAGACAGAGTCTCTGTGTGTATATGCAGTGATGGTGGTGATAGTAGCAGGGAAGTTGGTAGTGATGGAGGTGGAGACCATGATGATAGTGATGATGATGGTGGTGATGGTGATGATGGTGATAGTGATGGTGATGATGGTGATGATGGCAATGGTGATGATGGTGATAGTGATGGTGATGATGGTGATGATGATGGTGATGATGATGGTGATGATAGTGATGGTGATGATGATGATGGTGATGGTGATGATGGTGATGGTGTCAGTGATGGTGATAATGGTGACTGATGATGGTGATGGTGATGGTGATGATGGTGATGGTGATGATGGTGACGATGATGGTGATGGTGATGATGCTGATGGTGATGCTGATGGTGATGATAGTGATGGTGATGATGATGGTGATGATAATGGTGATGGTGATGATGGTGATGATGATGGTGATGGTGACAATGAGGATAATGGTGATATGATAATGGTGATGATGGTGGTGGTGATGGTGATGATGATGGTGATGGTGATGATAGTGATGGTGATGGTGATAATGGTGATGTGATGATGGTGATGGTGATGGTGGTGATAATGGTGTGATAATGATGGTGATAATAGTGATGGTGATGGTGATAATGATAATGATGATGATGATAATTATGGTGATGGTGGTGTTGGTGGTGGAGTAGGTAGTGGTGGAGATTATGGTAATGATGGCAAAACTTTGTCCTGAAACAGGAGATCTGAAGAGAGGTCAGGGATCTCTGTAAAAGTGATTCCAAAAGTGAAAGTCCACAAGCCAGGGATGTAAAATAAATGGCTGATACGGGCTGGATGGGAATTGTGGGAAATTGGATTTTGTGCATTCTTCTAAAAGCAGCAGCACTTACTGAGGTCCACCACTTTCTGTGGTGAGGAAACAGGAGCTCTACGCAGCCACATTTTCTAATACTTCTACAGACACCAGAAATCCTGCAAAATATTCTGCTTTGCAAATATTGGCCAATAACTCAGAAACTTAAAGCAGTGTTGGCGTGCCACAGAAGACGTATTCACTGGAAACACTGAAAGCCTCTTTTTAGAGTGCAGGTGAAGTGAAGAAGAGACAGAAATCAAGGGCCTTGGGAGCAAGACCCTTGCCCTCTGCCCGCTGCATTCCAGGAAGGTGGGCCAGGGTCCCTCCCAGGCCTCCATCCCCCAGGGGACTCCAAGTTCCTCCAAATCTGTCTTCCCTCCACTTCTGAGGCCTGGGGAGTCCTGGGTCCCAGGGGTACCTCCTTAGAGAAAGCAAGTGGGGGCTGACTGAAGGGGGGATCCCAGGGCTGTCCCGGGGCCTGGCTCCATGGGAACCGTAGCAGCCCTGTTGTGTAACGTGTTTGACATTCAAATTAGAATGGTGTTTGGGAAAACTCACTTCCGCGGAGGCCTGTAATTGGAACCTGTGGGAACATTTACACTTATGGAGAATTAACAAAAACTTTATTGCTGCAGTTAAGAGGAAACCTTGGGAATTTCCTCATGAGGGGCTCTGAGAGGCCCCTCCCAGCTCCTCAAAGGGCCGATGAAGGAGACAGAGCTCTGACCAGGAGGAAAGGCCTTTTCTCTGGACCTTGGCCACCGGGGCAGAAAAGGATTCTGGGACAGAGGAGAAAATCAGAGAGAAAGAGATGGAGGGAAAGAGGTGGTGGAGACTGGGTTCTGGGTCGGGGCGGCCTCCTTGCTCTGGCTGATGGTAACTGTGGCTGAGCTGCTCGTGGCTCGTGGCTGTAACTGTGGCTGGTGCGGCCTGAGCTGCTCGTGGCTGGTCCGTGCCTTGCCTTCAACACGCATTTCCTCTTCAGTCCTTCTCGTGGCCCGGGTGGAACAGCATGGTCACCTTGCAGACACAGACAGGATGGGACGGCCCAGAGAGCTGAAGGGACTTGTCCGAGGCTGCATGCTCTTCACCGGTTATCCCAGGTTCACTTGCATTTCCCCACATTCACTGTGGGAGCCCCGACCTCCCAGGACCTGTGTGCGTGACCTTGGTTGGACCTGGGGCTGTGGCAGCCGTGAGGGGTTAAGATGAGGCCACACTGGAGTGGGATGGGCCGAACCCCACAGACTGTGCCCTGATGAAAAGGGGAGATACAGGCACAGAAACAGGCACACAGGGAGGAGGCCACGGGAGATGAAGCCAGAGACCGGGAGACACACCTAGAGTCAGGAAAGGTGGAGAACACCAGCCGCCCTGGAGAAAGGCGGAGACGGACTGCAGCTCCCACCTCAGAATGAAGCAGCTGCGTGGGCCCTGGCCTCCAGAGCCATAAGAGGGGACGTGTTTGCAGGTGGAGGCGCATGGCCAGCAAGGCTTGTTAGGCCGCCTGGCACGTGGACTCCGCGGCGGGCCCTGAACTGAACACCGGTGACCAGTTCCAGCCTCCGCCTCCCTGGCCCCGGCTCCTCTGTGTCGGGATGGGGACTCATGGCTCTCCCAGGTGTCTGTCATGAAATGAACTCAGCAGCGGGGCTCGGGTGGGGCTCACGCTGTGTGGGCATTGCTATGGGGTCAGCGCCCTGCACGCTCCCTGCATGACTCTGCCAGGGTCAGGTGGCTGTTGGTGTTTGACAGGTGAAGCGAGGTTGGGCTGAGGCACGGGAAGGCGGGGTAACTTGCTTGAGGTCACGGAGCCAGACCTGAGCTCAGGCGTGTCCCCAGTGTGGGTGTCCAGGACACAGAAGCCTGTAAGTGTCCCCCCCCAACCTTGAAGGGCAGCCAGGGGCCACCCCGACACCACCACAGCATCAGAATGCAAGGAATCCAAGGTGTACCAGGCGGAGGCTGGGGGTGCGGACGGCTGTGCCCAGGTCACAGGTGCGACCAAATGGACTTCTGCTGCCTGGAACAGCGACCACCAGGGTGCACGCGGGGCTCGGAACGGCACTTGAGTATCTTCGTGTCTTCTCTGACCCCATGATCACCTCGGAAATCTGTGGTGATCTGCCAGCCCACCAGCAGAGAGTGGGATCATCTCAATGGACGCCCAGACACAGAAGAGCCAGGCAGGGGCAGCAGAGCCACCAACAAACCCACAGCCAGCCACCGATTCACGGGTGAGCCCAGCCAAGTCCAGGGGGACCCACAGGGCCCACAGATTCACGGGTGAACATGGCCAAGTCCAGGGAGACCCAGAGCCGGCCACGGATTCACAGGCCCAAGCAAGTCCTCAGAACCCACAGCCAACCCACAGATTCGTGAGCAAAAGTGAATATTTCCTGCTCTTCTCTGAGGATTTGTGTGGTTGTCACACAGTGTAACTGTGGCAATAGAAACGGATTCCTAATTCCACAGATCCAGGCGGTTGTTTCGCATTCTTACGGATGACATAGAAGGCGCCACAGCATCCCCACAGGCCACGCAACACGGTGGTTCAGAAGGGCTGCGGGACTCAGACCCACAGCGACAGCCTCCTCTGAGGGCGGCCCTGACCTCCCAGAGTCGGCCGGCTCAGAGGACAGCTGCCTGCCAGTCCTGCGGCTCCAGAGGTGACAGTTTCCAGAATGCAGATGGCATGTCTTAGAAAGCCATTTCCTTCAGTAAAGTTAGAATAATTATACATGGTACTGAAATTATATAACTGTTATTACAGCTTGTTTAAAAATTATCTGGATTTAATTGATCAATTAGATTAAATTATGCAGTAGTGACAGTTGGCAAATGCCCAGGCCACAGCCTGCAGGATTTGAAAAGCCCACAGCCCTGGCCCCAGAGCCTTGAAGCCCGTGCAGAGATTTATTTTCTTTGTGAGGTTGTTACAGGTGATTCTCAGTGGTTCGTTTAAAGCCGAGAGCAGGTGAAGGCCCCTGAGACGGAGTCTCATGGAGCCCTGGAGGAGCCTCGTGCAGTCAGGTTCCTCATGGGGGCTGCACACAAGGAAACTGCAGCCGTCCATGGGCTGAGTCGGCTCTGAGTGTGGTCGCGGGGTGGGTGTCCTGGGCTCCTGCCCCCAGGCGACCTCTGCTCTCTTCCATTTTCCCCACCTGGGTCGTGCACCCACCCATAGAGCACCGGAGAGTCCCAGGGGGACGGTGCGGGGTCAGCATCCCCGGGTTCTCATTTGCAGATGGGAAGACTTTACCTATGATGGTCCCAGAGGGCCCGGCTTGGCTGAGGCACCCGCTGCCCTGTCAGTCACCTCCACGGGGCCTCAGCACATGGAGCCCACGTTGGCGGGTCCCAGCGACCGCTGACCACAGCATCACAGACATGCATGTGAATGGGCCGGGAGTCCTTGAGGGTGTACAGTGTCTGTGTCTGCTGCGTGGCCGTGAGCAGCCAGGTCAGGAGAAGGACACGGGGAGTCGTCCTTGGAGGGAGGAGCGCCGGGCAGAGGGGTTGGCGCGGGAGGGCTCTGGGTGGGAGCTGCCTGGAGGGCGGGAAGGCTGCGTGGCCTCTGTGAACACTAAGCCTTTGACTCGGGGGGAGGGGGCGCTGCAGGGTCAGGAGCGGAGGGCAGTGTAGTGACCTCAGTGTGGCGGCAGCTGCTGTGCCGGGGACCGACTGAGACCCGGGAGAGGCGAGAGGGCGGTGAGCTGCGGCCCTTGTCTGGGACCGACTGAGACCTGGGGAGGGCGGTGGGTGCTGCGGCCATTGTCTCAGCCGTCGTCCGGCTGAGAGACGAGGGTGCCTGGGGTCAAGGCTGGGCCGCAGAGGTGGCCAGAATTGGGCAGATTCTGCACTTAACCTGGGGGTGGAACCCACGGTGTTTGCTGACAGATTGGAAGTCAAGGGTCACCTTTGCCACCAGGCACAGCGGGGACAGAGTCACCGTTCACGGCGCAGGGATGGAGGGTCAGGCAGGTTGGGGCAGGCAGGTGCTGAGCTCCGGACGCTGAGTGTGGGGGCTTTGACCTCCTGCAAAGAGACCCCGAGGGTAAAGGCCGGGTTGTCGCCTGCCGCCCTCCGATAGCAGTGGGCCTCTCCCTCTCCACCTCCAGTCCACTGGCCTACACAGCCCATGAGGCCCAGACACTTCCTATTCTTGGGGTGGAACAAGATGCCTGCCAGGGGCCCGCGGCTGTACCTGGGGCTGCTGAGAAGAGGCCCTTGGTTTTTCAGGTGGGGAACTCTAGGGGGTAAGAGGCAAATCTGGAGCTGCTGGTAGAAACCCTTGGGGGGCCCTGTCCGGGAATAAAGTCAGCCCTGGGGCGGCAGGATGGAGGGGAGGTGGGAGGGAGCGGGGAAGGGGGTGCAGAGATGCAGACACATCCGCTTACTTGCTAAAACGTATTCGTAATCCCCAGATCAGTACCGGGGTCTTTCCTGGTCATTCACAGGCGTGCACAGAGCTTCTGGAAGCCGCGTCACCCACGTGCGTGCCTGGCCGGGAAGGAGTGAGGCCGCACCCGCCTTCTTGTTTCCGCTCTCGGAGTAAACGTGCGTTCTTTTTAGAGTCCTGTCATTCACATTTTCATGCTCTTTGTCGGTGATGTTGCAGCTTAAAGTAGCCTCAGGAACAGAGCTGAGGTCCTCTCGAGTGACCCTGAGTGCAGGAGCTGTGACATGCGATGGAGACGCTTCGCTCAGGCCTGTGTAGGTGCTGTTGGCCGTGAGTTCAACGTTAATGAATCAACTCTATACACTAAATACAGTGTCTTTAAGCAGAAACAGACCAAAGTGACAGACTGATGGGTGGTGAAAATGTGGTGACCAGAGGCTCAAAGGAACCTGATCTTGTTCCCTAAGGACCAGAGGCTCAGCATCTGCCCGCGCGGTGGTGACGCTGCAGACCGTGGCCACCGAGAATGGGGAGAGTCAGCCATATGCACCCATGGAGGGATCACGATGACTTCATTTAACTCCTGGATCCAGCTGTGCCCGAGGCCCTGGACTTACTACGCAAGTCCTGGTTCTAGAAATCAACTTCTTTCCTCCTTTGTTTAGGCTGGTTTGTGCTGGATCTCTGCTGCTGCTGACAAAATCTACCCTAACACAAAATCCCGTCGGGCCCGAACACCAGGGTGATTTCTTTGTTCTAAGAAGTGGCCTTCTAGGTTGTTACAGAGGGACCTTCACTGGGCTTCCCAAGAACTTTTTCAGCCGGACGCCTTGGCCAGCAGCAGTGGTCCGCACAGACAGGCTTGCTTTGTGCTGTTCAGTAGCTGTGAACAGCAGGAGTGGGGAGGGGCAGAGGAACAGAGATCCTGTCCCGCCTCCTGCAGGACAGCACCCCCCGCCCCGCCCTGAGGACCCCAGAGGATGCACAGGACATTCAGACTCTGCTTCCTCTCCCTCCTCGCCCGCTCTCCAGCTCTGGCTTCTCAGCCAAACTCCCCAAAGATGCGTCGCAGAGCGGAAAGATTTATGATGGTCATTTGTACGCACGAGGCGCTCACAGACGCCGCACTCCTGTGCCGCTTTTGGTTTTATTTAGTGTGAAGGAGCAAGCTGTTCCAGCTCACATCGGGGAGCCTCATAAATCATGCGTGTTGGAGCACCTTCCAGGGGCGGCCTGTTCTCTCCAGTGGCTGCCCGTCAGCACTGGCATGGCATGGAGCAGAACATCCCTGCTCAGCTCAGATCCTGGGCACAGAAAAGCTGTACTCAGCAAGGGCTTAGAACAGCAAACGAGGGAGCACTCACGTTTCCAAAGTTCCTCTCTCTGTCCATCCCTTGTGAGGCCTCTGCCCTGGGGGTTTTTGCGACCTGCTAACACTTCACCCAATTTTTACACAACTCAGTCTCGCATTTCACCATCCAGTTCAGATGTGGTTTCCCCAGAGGGAGCAGCTCCCCACCACCCTCCTGAGGTGGGCAAAAGATACACACACACTCACACATACACACATACACGCACACTCACCATAGCACTCACATACACATGCACACACAGACACGAACATGCTTGTGCACATGCACGTACTCATGCATGTGTGCACAGATGCATCTGCACTCACGCTTGTACACACATGTGCACACATGCACACACGCACACATTTTGCATGCACACACTTGTAAACATGCAGATTCACGTGCACACATGCTTGTACACACATGCATGCACTTGTACACACATGCATACACGTAAAGACACGTATACACACATGCTCACACTTATGCACACATCTGCACATGCACATGTGCACACGTGCTTATACACACATGCATGCACTTGTATATACAAGCTCACACACGTGTGTACACATACATTCACACACTTGCACACCCATGCACACACTTCACAATGCACACGTGCATTTTCACATATGCACATGTGTGTATACACACGCCCACAGACACATACACACATGCACACACTTTGCACACACTTATACATGCATACATGAGCACACAGACACACGTGCACACTCAGTGCACATACTTGTACACACACATGCACACACACAGATACATGTGCACACACAGGGTCCCCGTACCCCAGTCTCCTTCACAGCACTCCAGCGTCTCCTGTGCTTTCTCTCCTGAGGGCGGGGCCTTGCTGAGGGGGAAGCAGTTGAGTGGCAGGAGATAATTTCACAGCAAGTTCAGCTTCCTGTTCCCAGGGCCTAGGGGGGAGGTGGCCACAGACCTCTTCCTCGGAGGAGCCACTGGGAAGGACAGGCAGGAACCCGAGCTGAGAGCAGGTGGGCAGGGGAGACGGTGACCCCCAGGCCTCTCTCCTCTCAAGGGGCTGAGGGTGGAGCAGGGACGGAGGGATGCAGTGACTCCTGTGGCCACCAGGGAATCACCTGCAGAGGGCAGGACTCTCCTGAGGGGACACTGCCGGCCTCGCTGCCCTTCCCAGCTGGAATCCTCTGGGCTGGGAGGGGAGGACGGAGCCGCATCTGCAAACCGAGGCCTGGGATTGAGCCAGGGCGAAGGGGAAGGTGAGGTGGCAGCTGGGTGTGCGCAGAGGTAGGCTCAGTGAGCAGCTCCCTCCAAGCCTCCACCGCGAGGGAGGTCACGGAGAAGGGGAAGGCAGGCTGGGTTTGGGAAGGCGGGTGGCCCGGTGCATCAGAGGACACCTGCTTCCTGCACTGTCTTTGTTCCATGAATTCATTTTTAGGGCAACAAAAGTCATGGCTCTTTTGTACATGCAAAGAAAATCATTTCTGGTGTTTTCCCATTCCCCACCCCGTGGGATTTGATTGGACCAAAGTGGTGCACGGAGCAGGACAGCGAGAGACAACGCCGTGTACGTGGCCCCCTTTGTCATACCTGCCCCGGGCATAGCCAAATCCTGGCCCCGGGCGCCCACTGCAGTGAGGCCTTTCTGCTCTGCGGTGAGGTCGCTGCATCCCAGGCTTGCAGTGGGGGACGGGCCTCTCTGCACTCCCTGGCCTATGCCTGGCCACAGAGGCGGCCGGTCAATAGTCCCCAGGGGAAAGCAGCGGGTTTCTCGGGGCGTGGCCAGGACTGTGGGCCTGTGTGTCTTCTGCATTCAGACAGGTCGCCTCACGGGTCCAATGCCGGGGTCTCAGCCACCCACAGGACAGAAAACCGGGCAGGTGTTTCCTGGACTTTGCGACCAGCTACAGGGAGGGGCATGGGAGGCGTCAAGCGGGAGGAGGAGGCTGCCTGCCACGTGTGCTGTGCGTGGGTGCCCTGGAGAGGCTGCGGGAGGCCCTGTCTGGCCCGCACAGCTGTCGTGGTGCCAGGCACGCGCCTGGGGCTGCTCTGTGTAACAGTCTCATCTGCACACACTTGGCCCGGGAGGCGCCTGCGCCCAGACACCAGCCGACCACACGGAACTGACAGCCCTGGTGACTGTGCCGGGACTCTCGGTCCCACCCGAGCTCCTGGGAACCCCTCAGGTCACCCCCAGCCCCAGCCCAGCGGAAGCCTCCAGCAGGTCCTCCCCCACCCTCCCCCAATGTTTTACCCCCACCCTCCTCCAGTCCCTGCCTGGGTCCCCCAACCCCAAGTCAGATGTCGGCGCTCCACTCTGCCTCCGTCAGCCTCCCACATGCTCGTCAGCTGCCTGTGGCTGGTCCTCCCTCCTCGGGGAGACCCCCAAGTGCTCAGAGCCCATGTCTACACACTGCACAGCTCTGAGCAGCTCATCCACATGCTGGAGCACACACGGTCCACAGCAGGCAAAGGCTGAGATGCCAGGAATCAGGCACGGGAAGGAGGGTTCGTCTCGGAGCTCCAGCATGTTCCAGGGATCAGGGGCCAGGGTGAGCATGCGGGGTGGATATTAAGGGTGTGGGTAATGGAGGAACAGAACGCAGCATCGGGCTGACTCTGGAAGTGGGCTCGCTACGCAGAGCTGCTGTGCTGAATGCCGCAGCCGGGGGCCAGGATTGGTGCGAGCTGTTTGTCTGGCTGTGTGGAACACAGGCCCCACGGTGGCCCAGTGAGAGGGCTGGAAATGGCGCACCTGCCTTGGTGTAACTGGAGGGAAGAATCCAGAGGCCCAGGGAGGCTGCAGTGTCAGGCCGGACCTGTCGTTAGACCTGCCGGCCACCCCAGAAGGGGCCCGGGGACAAGGCTGTCACCACGGCTGGGAGAAACACATTGGTGGGGGCCTCACACCTGGGAGGGCTCCGTGACGGCTCCTTCTGCAGGGCAGACCTTCTGGTGGGAAACGCGGTCACTGCCTCGGGAAGCAGGAGCACCACGGGATGAACGGATCCCGGGAGGCAGAGCCGTAGGCGGAACTCACCCACTGCCAAGGGAGGGCGGGAGGTGTGTCCACGTGGACGGCCAGGCCGAGTGGCAGTCAGGGTAGCCTCATGCGTGCACGGTCGTCCCCCTCATCATGGCGGGTGGGGGCTATTTCCAAGACCCCCAGTGAATGTCCAAAGCCCCAGGTGGTTCCGAGTCTCATACGCGATGCATTTTCCTGTAGAGTGACCCCGCGCGGGCTGGCAGTGTGCGCAGCATGGAGACGCTGGACGCAGGGAGGGTGCCCGGCCCAGGCAGGACAGAACCCGGCGGTGCGAGGGTTCATCACGCTGCTCAGAACAGCACGATTTAAAACCTGTGAGTGACTTCCTCCTGGACTTTTGTATTCTTGGCTGCAGTTGACTGTGAGTGACAGAAACTGGAGTGAAGCTGAAGGTGAGGGGACATGGTGGACCCGCGGCATCGGCGACCCACCACCGCACTCCTTCCAAGGACCGAGGGGAGGCCTCCCAAATCTTTACCTAATCGACATAAACAGGAAGGTTTTAGGTGAACAAAAGTCTAGCGCAGTCATCAAACCAGTCTCGGCCCCTCCAGCAGGTCTCAGGTTCTCAGATGCGAGCGGTTTACAGACCAAACCCCCTCAGGAAGGGCCCTGGGCCCCCCAAAAGTGTGGGCTCCTCTTCCCCGCCCTGCCCAACGGGACCTGTGGGGCTTCTGCCTCAGTGACCGGGTCCGAACTAGACCTTTCGGGGACTCCTGGACACGGGCTCTGAAGGCTCTGAACTGACGTTGGTTCTGGGAGCCCCAAAGCATCACTGCGGCCCTCCAGTTAGAAAGGGGCTTATGGAGGGCAGGTGGCCGTGCCATTTTAGCTCAGGTTTGACACCACAGGCCCAGTGGGTCCCGGGATGCACCCCAGGGCCATTTCCCCGCTCCAGGTGTGCAACTGGAGCAGACACACTAGAGCTGGCAGACTCCACGTCCGCTCCCTGCCCTGCGACGTGAGGGCTGGGTGGAGGGAGATGCTGGTGGGAGACATCAGAGCTCATTCTACCTTTTGAAAAAAGCCATAAATCAAAAGCAAGACCACATGGCCGAGGGGCCGCAGAGCTTGGTGTCCTCACCAGGCCCTTGGAAGATGCAGGGGTGGTGACCCACCCCCAGCCCCATTCGGCTCAGCCTCTGGCCTGCGCAGAAGACAGATGTGTCCTGGGGAAGCAGTGGGCGCCGGAGGCTGGCCCAGGTGGGGCCTCCAACTGCAGCTGCTGTGCCAGGTGTGGCTTCGCTGCGAGCGGATCCACTCACCGTGGTGCCGGCTGTGCAGCCGTTGATCCGGCTGATACCTTTCTCCAGCCCTGCCGGCGAGGCCCACCGGAGGCAGCCGGCCTTCAGCTGGGAAGGATGCGCCATGCCCTCCCGGCCCCACCTCGCCGCAGCCTCTGCCCCGGTCTCTGCGCGGCCTTCTCCCTCTGTGTGTCCATGCCCAAACTTCTCTCTTGCTACAAGGACACCAGCGGTCGCATCAGAGCCCACTTTAACCTGCTGTGACAGGGAGGGACGTCCAAGGAGCTGACGGGGAGAGCAAGACTTGCCGCAGAAGGGACCTAAACTTCGGCCACGCGGCGCTCCTGGGCCCCGGCCATGCATCTTGTCAGGAGGCGGACCTGGTGAAGGAGGAAGCATCCTGCCTGTGAGGCAATGCTGCCCAGGCGACACGTCCCTCCTAAGCAGAACATGATGTTCACTCAGGACGCCGCATGGGGACAGCCGGACACACACAGCTGCATCGATGCGGACCCAGCTCAACCCAGCTTAAGGGAGAGGAGGATTTTGTTCGTGCCACTTCTGGGAAGTCGGAGGCAACAGCAACCCTCCTCCTTGGAGCCAGAAATGAAACCTGTCACCCGCCGGCCCCTCACCCCTGTTCTCTCCAGATCCGAGGTCTCCTCTGGGGAGGGCCGGCTCTGTCTCTGTGCCCTCAGCCTGCTTCTCCACGTGACAGGCACGGCAGCGGCTGTGAGGTCGTGGTCTAGCGTGTCTCGCTCAGGGACAGCACACGCGTGGGCGGCCTCGTGGGGTCTGCTGGTGCACATGTTCCTGTGGACCAAGCCCTGCACCCAGGATGACAGTTGTGGGGCTATGGTGTGTGGGCCGTGGACCTGCTGGGAGGCTCTGCCTGTGGACGGGAAGTTCTAGCCCAAGAGAACTGTGAAGGCCGCCACAGTCGGCACCACCCAGAGAGGCGTCTGTGTGGCCTGTGGTGAATTTTATGTGTAGACTTGGCTGGGCCGCAGGGTCCAGACATTTGGCCAGACGTTTCTCTGGATGCTTCCATGAGGGTGTTTTCTGCGAGGGTGTTTTTGGATGAGACTGACATTTAAATCGTGGACTGTGAGCCGCACCGATTTCCCTCCCTGACTTGGGGGCCTCCTTGGCAGTTGGCCTTTGGACCTGAACGGCAGCACGGGCTCTTCCCAGGTCTCCAGCCTGAGGGTCTTCCCTGTAGATCTGGGGTTTTTCAGGCTCTGTCATCCCGTGGGCCATTCCTGAGAATGAGCTGCCTTCACATCTGCACATGTCCAGTGACTGTTCCTCAGGAGAACCCTGACACGCAAACCGTGAGCCATTCTCCTGCTCACACAGGGACGGGCGGCCGCAGCTGCTCAGCCGAGGCCGATGCTTCCCACTTTCCCCATGCCCAGGATGCCACGTCACCTGCAGGTCGCCACGTCACCTGCAGGTCGCCATGTCACCCGCACGCCACCACATCACCCACAGGTCGTCACGTCACCCGCATGCCGCCACGTCACCCACAGGTCGCCACGTCACCCACACGTCGCCACGTCACCCGCACGCCTGGCTGTGGAGGGGGAGTGAAGCCTGTGCTTCCTGCCCATGCCCTCAACGCGAAGCAGGTCCCTCCCTCTTCTCTCCTAACTCCTTCCCACTGGCCAGAAGGCACAATGTCACTTTTAGCTCTGAGCTTCAGATCTGGGTGGAGGGTGGTAGAACAGCAAGACCCTGGGTTTGGTCCTGGCCACCACAGAGCTGCCTCGCCACTCGCCGGACCACACACTGGGGCTGTTCATGGAAAGCCGCATCTCCCACTGTCCAAGCCCACATGCTGAGCCGTGCAACATGGAACGCAGGTGTCAACCTGGGAGTGGCCTGCACTCAGAAACGGAGCAGGCGTGGGGGAAATCATGGGCGGAATTGGGAAGGAAGGAAGCGCTGAGGAGTGCTGGGCGTGAGCCGTGCCCACATCAGGGCTGGCGGGGAAGGCACAGAAGGCACAGCCAGAGGGGTGGGGAAATCTGGGAAGGGGCAGGACACGAAAGCCAGGAGAAGGTTCCCTGGGACGGAGAGCTCCACAGAGCCACGGCCGGGGCGCAGGCGCAAGCCGGGGTGGATTCCCACCAGTGTGCAGAGCCGTTGTTCCTGACTCTGGACTCAGTGGTTGCACTGTCGGCTTGAAACCAGCTATGATGGGAGCATTTACACCGAGGAAGCAGTGCTCACCACACGTGCGTTCCATTGAGGAGCTGAAGGCATTTACAGCACACAGGAGGGCCATGTGGGGAAATGCCTTGGCATGCAGCAGCCGTACTCCTGAGAGCTGCGTTGGCAGGAAGGCTACAGTGCCCAGTGGGGGCAAATCAAGAACAGGAAATGTGGGAGCATGATGCAGCTCCCGCTTGGCCGTCTCTCCCAGGGCTGGAGCTTGGAACCTGGCAGCCATGCTGTGAGGAAGCTCAGGCCATGTGGAGGGGAGGGTGCTGGATTCCGACAGCTCAGCCACTGCCAGGAGCGGGCCTCTGCCAAGGCCAGCCACAACCCTCAGACGCGTGAGTGCCAAGCCATCCGATGAGCACAGCTTCCTCCAGCCCCCACTGCCAGTCGGGGTCCCGGGCCCCAGGAGCAGAGCCGACCCCACCTCCAGTCGGGGTCCCGGGCCCCAGGCGCAGAGCCGAGTCCTCCCTGTCGCGTCCAGCCCACGGACAGATCCCTGTGCTAGGCGGCTGCTTGCTGTTGTTTTCAGCCACTGGTTGGCCGTGGTTTGAATATGCTGGTGGATGAATTGTTCACCAACTTGTGCTGAAGGGGCAAGTTATCCACATTATGGGCCAGAAGGAAACAGGAAAAATGAACCCTTTGTAGGATAAAAAAAAAAAAATCTATTTTATGATGGTTCATTGGCAGCAGAGGCAGCTTAGAGACGAGCTTAAAAGCTGGACTCTGCAGCCAGACTGCCCGGGCAGAGCCCCAGCCCCATCTCCTGTAACTGCGCGGCCTCAGGCCAGTTATGGAAACTCCAGCTGCCTCTGCTTCCCCATCTATACCACGGGCATGGCACGGATGCCCCCTCGCAAAGGGCTGCTCTGAAGCTGCAGAGAATGCATTTTTGAAAAGTGTCTGGAGCAGTATCTGGCGCAGAAATATCCTCTACAGATTTGATAAAAATTAAGGCAAAACCTGAAACCCTCCTAGGTGAGGGTTTTGTTCCACAGAAGAGACCGGCAAGGAACAGGCATTTGACCCTGTTGACAAGTACTGCCAGGGAACCGGGATCGCACCACAGTCGTCACAAAGCTGGGTTAGGACCCAAGGGGTAAACGCAATTTCAGCACTGAGGACACTCAAATTATATAACCCCTTTACAGCGTTTTCGGGAGAAAAAAATAGCAGAAAATGCACCCAAAGTCCTCCATTTTTATTATAACTCCCTTCTATCCCCATTCCATCTTCCTCTCTCCCTTTTTCTCTTTTTCCCTCCTTCACTCCCTCTCTCCCTCTCTCACACACACACAGGCATGCACACATGTACATAGTCATACACAGAGGCATGCATGCACACACATGTACATACTCAGGCAAACACATGCACACACATGCGTGTCCATGTGCAGGCACACACAGAGGTACACGTACATAGGCACACAGGCACACACGCACACACACATGCACACACATGCATGCACACGTGTACATACTTAGGCACACAAAGACATGCACACACATGCATGCACACACGGGTACATGCTTAGGCGCACATGTGCAGGCAGAGACAGGCTCATGCACACACACAAGCACAATGCACATGCATGCATGCACACACGTGTACATACTGAGGCACACAAAGGTGCACATGCACACATACTCAGGCACACATGCACACATGCACATATATGTACATGTGCAGCTGCAGACATACAGAAGCTCATGTGCACACACACATGCACACACACACAAGCACACACAGGCACACACACAGGCACACACACGTTCTCGCCCTGGCACCACTTCTCCCTTCTCTTCACTGGTTGGGACTCACCTCTTTGCCTGGAGAAACGGGTGGTGCCTCGGCCAGTGGGTTTGAGTCCCCTGCATCTCTTCATCTTCGGCACACTGAACCCACATCACCTCCCTGAGGCCTGCTGTGCCCATCTGCAGGGTTAATGGGCTGTGGGCCGCTAGCTGTCACATAGGGGGCATGCAAGGGTGGCATCCAGGGGCAATGAATAAACTGCCACAAACATGTCTGCTGTCTCTTTAAAGCCACTTACAGTCGGATCTGCTGTCTGAACCCAAGAAGGGAAGATAGGACTTGGAAAAGCAGGCTCAGACCAACGACCTCCTCACTGGTGGTTCAGAGCTTAAGTCCCGGCCGTGCTACAAGGACTGATCTTGCCAAGGCCATATAAGCAAAGTGGAATGAAAATTAAAGTTAATTCTGAAGCCAAGGTCCTTTTAGGAAAAAAAAGTAAATTAGCCTGATTTAATCATTCCACATTTTAAACATATATCAACATCACATTCTACCCCATATAACATATACAATATTTGTGAATTAAAAACAAAATAATTTTTAAAAAATACAGAAAAGCAGGAGGGGAGGGGATCAGTGTGTTATTAGGTCCAATCTAAGGAACTCTCTGCTGTCCCAGGAGTTAGCGTGTTCAGTGAGAAAATCACAGATCTTGAAATCCAACAGACCAGTGTTCAAATCATGACTCAGTCATTAAAAAAAAAATCCGGGGTGTCAGTGACCCCCACTTTGTCTCCTGGGCCTAAGCTGGAGCTGCCAATGGATGTTTGTCGAAGTCACTCTCAGTGAGGACTTGGTCCCAGCAACCGCTGCCCATACTTGGGTCTCCTGGGGAAGGTCCCACCCTCATTCCTGAACTCCACGCCCAGAGGATCTTGGCCCAGGAGAGGGAAGCAGAGACCCAGACCCAACCTCGTCAAAACCAAAATGCGCCCCACCCAGTCCTGTTTTGCTTTAGTCATGTCTTCTGTGACATGGTTACACTGAAGTCTGATTGGACAACGTGTCATTCGTTGCTACCCCGGGGAACCTGGCATTTGGGGGCGTGGGGCGAGTTTGGCATAAAATCCCGATTTGCTGGAAGGCTGCCGTGCGGACTGAGAGAGAGCACTACTCACCGAAACACCCCTGTTCTCCCGTCTTCCAGGTACGCGGTAGGATCTCCCTTCCCACCCCACTGCGTGAAGGGGCCCGTGTGACGGTCTCTGTCCAGCAGGTGACTGCTGGAAGCAGCGGGAGTCACTTCGGAGTGGGGTGTTGACAGCGTGAAGCCCCTGAGCGCTCCTCCCCGCCCAGCCATCCAGCATTCGCGCCGGGGGCTCCGAGCGACTCCAGTCAACAGAGCTCCGCGGGGACCCAGGTGGACACGCAATCCCATGATAAATTACCCTGTGTCGTTTATGCCGTTGAGGTTTGGGGTTTGCTTGTGATTACGGCATAACCCTGCCTCCTCGGGGGACACACTTAGATGCTAAAACATGGCACGCCACGTTCCCGGGGTGATGCCTGAGTGAGAAAATGCCTTTCTCTCCATGATGCGGCCAGAAAGCACTTCAGTGACCTTGAGTTCCAATCTGTGCTTCGAGGAAAGGGCCATATCCAACTGGGGGTGAATGCTGTTCAGATCTGTGCAAAATAATCGAGGCTACACCTCCCACAGGGCTTGAGCTCATGGACATTGAAGAACCAGCATTTCCCTTCACTGGGCTCATTTTAAATCCCACGCTGCGTCCTCCATGGCCCCCACCCACGCAAGAGCCTGCCTCTCCAGAGTTCTGCAGTGACAACCACGTGACTCCCTCCCCAGTGATGCTGCCGTGGTGCGATCTTGGCTCACTGGGGGGTGATGCTACTGGTGAGGGTTTCTCCCAGTGCCGAGGGTCGGCACCCCAGACCGCAGCTACGTTCAGGGACTCCGCAGGGGCTGGTTCTCTGAGGGAGGCCCTGGAAGGCCAGGGCTTATCAAAGACAGGGTGGGGCTGGCACTGTGGTGCTAAGATGAGGGGCAGCTGTGGGTGTGTGCGCCTTCTCAGACAGGTTCATCTCTGCACCCCGTGGGTACATGCTCCTTCTCAGTTGGGTTCATCTCTGCACCCCGTGGGTACATGCGCCTTCTCAGGGGTTCATCTCTGCACCCCGTGGGTACATGTGCCTTCTCAGACGGGTTCATCTCTGCACCCCGTGGGTACATGCACCTTCTCAGACAGGGGTTCATCTCTGCACCCTGTGGGTACATGCGCCTTCCCAGAGGTTCATCTCTGCACCCCCGTGGGTACATGCGTCTTCTCAGACAGGGGTTCATCTCTGCACCCTGTGGGTACATGCGCCTTCCCAGAGGTTCATCTCTGCACCCCCGTGGGTACATGCGTCTTCTCAGACAGGGGTTCATCTCTGCACCCTGTGGGTACATGCGCCTTCCCAGAGGTTCATCTCTGCACCCCCGTGGGTACATGCGGCTTCTCAAGACAGGGGTTCATCGCTGCACCCCATGGGTACATGCGCCTTCTCAGACAGGGGTTCATCTCTGCACCCCGTGGGAACATACGCCTTCTTAGCGGTTCATCTCGGCACCCCTGGGGGCTGCCTCACATGTTACAGCTCACTGAGCATTCAGCATATATATATTTTTGTGTTTTGTTTGTTGAGACAGGGTCTCACTCTGTTACCCAGGCTGGAGTGCAGTGGTGCAATCTCGGCTCACTGCAGCCTTGACTTCCCCAGGCTCAGGTGATTCTCCCACCTCAACCTCCCACGTAGCTGAGACTACAGCTGTGCACCACCACACCCGGCTAATTTTTTGTATTTTTTTTCATAGAGATGAGGTTTTACCATATTGCCCGGGCTAGTCTTGGACTCCTGGGCTCGAGCAATCCACCGGCCTCAGCCTCCCCAATTGCTGGGATTGCTGGGGGAGGTCACCGCACCCGGCCTCCCATATGTCCTAAAAATCCAGCAAATGCTAGTGCGCCAGACTATCAGATGCATTCTCTTCCATGTAAAGTTCCCCAGTATTTTCCCATGTCCAATGTGCTTGTATTTCCAATGAAATGTACCCAGATCTTGACGGTAGTTAGGCCACATCTTTTCCTGCTAGATTTTAGAATGCAGTAAAATGTATTTACATGAATGAAATGTTTTCTCCTACAAAACCACTTTAACATCATTTTCATTAAACATGTAATGAAAAGTGCTTGATGTTTTCTCTGGAGTGATCATGACTAATAAAGTCAATTCTGGAGCCCAATTGTCTGGGCTTGAATCCCAGATCCACGCTTTGCCATTCACGCGACCTTGAGCAAGCCAGTTGCCCTTTGTGTGCCTCAGTTTCCTCACATGGAACGTTAGATGACGCCAGTGTGTATTACACCTTAACGTGGCTGCTGCTCGTATTGACCAGGTGATAGGCATAGAAGACCATGTCTGGTGAAACCTTTGCACTGCGTGTGTGCCAGCTACCTGCATCATTATTCCAGCAGCTGTCCTCGTAACGTCGGGAAACATTTTACAACCTGCATTTTATAAGCAGAAGAATACGGCATTTTCAGGAGGGACACGGGAATGGCTATTGATCAAAAACAGACCAGGGTTTATCACACTGGCTGCATAGTAATCACCTCCCGGATGATTAAAAACAGCCTCCCAGGCTCTGTCTCAGAACAGGTGATACGTATCTACGGTAAACGCCCCGCAGACAGCTGCCTCCGTCCCAGTGCCGGGTCCTGCCTGGTTCTGATCCTCTGGATTTCCTGGGATAAACATCCTGAGGAAGAAAAGAATGGCTCAACAAAGAAAGGAGAAATGGGTGTTCGGCTCGCCCAGCCTCAGCCAAGGGGCAGAAAACCTCCAAGCTGGATAGGCTGTCATGCCCGATGCCAAGAAACGGATATTTGAAGAATAGAGTACTAAGCTCAGAGCCAGAACCCCCCAGATCCCCCTACACACATGTGCATACACAGACACACACACACAGGCACATGCACACACAGATATACATACAAACACACACATAGACACATGAACACATGAACAAATGCAGATATGAACACACAGACATGCACACATTTGAACATGCACAGACCACACACATGAACAGACATACATACACAGAAACATGCACACACAGAGACACATGGAGAGAAACATGCATACATGTGAACATGCACAGACATGAACACACATGAACACAGAGACATATATACATAGAAACATGCACATATGAACACACAAACACAGACATGCACACACAGACACACAGACACTCGTACACAGATACACAGACAAATGCACACATGGACACACAAACACAGACACATAGATGCACACAGATATAGAGACACATGCACACATGAACAAACAGAGATGAACACAGAGATATGCACACATGTGAACACACACACAGACATACATAGACACATACACAAATACACACAGGCACAGACAGACACATGCACACGCATGAACACACACAGAGACAATGCACACAGACACAGGCACATGCACACACAGATACATGCACACACGGGCACACAGACATGCACACAGAAACACGTGGACACATGCACATGCATGCGTGCTGACAACACAGACATGCACATATGCAGATACACAGGCACACAGAGGCAAATGCATGCACACTCATGCACACACACGGACACACACACAGCCAAGAGCTGTGAAGCCCCTTGCCTTACTCATCTCTGTATGGAGAGCCAAGCACAGCCATGCTCTTAATAAATGCTCCGTCATTTATTCACTCATCCCGCAAATGTTTACTGAACACCAGCTATGTGTCCAATCTCTGGGAACACAGGGGTGAACCCTGCCTTTGGGTGAAACTCCTGCCTCTTGGGTGCTTGCATTCTGCCAGTGGAAGTTGGGCCCCTGTGCTGCGCGGCTTGGCTGACATCTCCCCTGGCTTCCAGGGTCTCCTCCACAAAACGCCAGTGTGGGGCCAGATCAGAGCCTGGGCTGGGGGTGGGGGCAGCCGGGGTTTGCGGCCTCGGGTCTTACCTGCGAGCCTGGCTCAGGGACGGGGCCTTCTCCCTCCTGGTGGCTCCAGGGCCCCCTGCTGTTCCCGGAGGTCCGGCTGCATCCCAAGCCCCAACCCCCCCATACCCGTCCCGGGACTCAGCTTCCCCAGTCCTCAGCCCTGGACGGGGGAGAGGGAGGGAGGCCGGGAGCTCGGCTTGGGGAGGGGTGGGCAGGAGACTACCAGAGTGGCCCTGACCCGGGTCCTGCCCCGGCCGCCCCCTCCCCCATTCACTCCCGGCGACACCGCCCTGGCCAGGCATTCCCGGAGGCCCCGCTGCCCTCGGGTCAAGCTTGGGGTCGATTCGGACCGTGCTGGCCGTTGGGGGCCCCGGGCGTCTGGCGGGTCCTGGGGAGGGAGGGTCCGCGCCTGCCCCGCCCCCGCTCCCCGCGCCCGCGCGCCCTTGGCCCAGGCTACCCCGCGCGCCCCGCCCCCCGTCCCCCGCCCCCCGGACCTGCTGTCCTGGGGTCCCCGGGGGGGCGCGGTGGGGGGGGCGGGGCAGGCGCGCGGGGCGGTCCCGGGGGGCGGCCTTGAGGGGTGGGGGAGGCGGGGCGGGGCGGTCCTGGGGCCGCGGTTGCAGATGAGGTGAGGTGAGGCCGCGTCACTCTGCACCGGCGCGGTGGCTGCGGGGCGGGCAGGACAGGAGCCGGCACAGACACCGAGCGCCGCCCGCCCGCGCCTTCCCCGCCGCCCCCCGGCGCCCCCGGCCCCCCTCACCGCTCCCCGGGGCGGGGCCGCGCCCTCTGAGCGGGGGATGCCGGCCGCGCCCCGCGACCCCAGCCCCGGGCAGCCCTCTGCGCTCTGGGGGACCCCCGGCGGCCGTGGCCCGGCGCGCTGAGCTGGTGCTGAAGGGACAGCTCCGGCCGAGCCCCGCAGCCCCCGCAGCCCCGGGCGGCTCATGGTCCCCGAAGCCGAAGCTGAAGCCCAGGCCCGGGCGGGGATGCTGGGGATGCCCCGCGGGTGAGGCCCCCGCTGCAGCCGTGTTCATGGCGGTGGCCAGGAAGATCCGAACTTTGCTGACGGTGAACATCCTGGTGTTCGTGGGCATCGTCCTGTTCTCCGTGTACTGCCGCCTGCAGGGCCGCTCCCAGGAGCTCGTGCGCATCGTGAGCGGCGACCGCCGGGTGCGCAGCCGACACGCCAAGGTGGGCACGCTGGGGGACCGTGAGGCCATCCTGCAGCGCCTGGACCACCTGGAGGAGGTGGTCTACAACCAGCTCAACGGTGAGCGGGGGCGCCGGGGCGGAGTGGGGGCAGCCCTGCCCGGGACAGTGGCCACCCCGGGCGCGATGGGTCAGGCCGGCCTCGGGTGCGCGCCCCTCTGCGCCCCTGTGGGAGGGAATATACAGGAGAGAGGAGAGGGAAGGGCCGCGGAAGCCCCTTCAGCAGCGGGCAGCAACCTGGGTTCCCCCCGCACCGGGCACCCACCCCTCCAGTGGAGACTTGAGGAATCCCCCTGCCCCCACAATGACGCAAACTTGCTCTCCGAGGGAACTTCTGCAGAGGATCTTTGGAGCTGCTCTAGAAGCAGGCAGTGCCTAGGTCCAGGAGTGTGGGGTGGGGGGCTGGCTTGGCGCTCCAGGAGTGGGGGCCGTCAGGTTTAGGCTGCGCCGACCCCTCCACTCTTGAAGGTGGGGAAAGAGGAGGGTGGGGACGCCACACTTGGGAGGCTGCTGGTGCAGTGTCCTTTGCCCCTGAGGTTCGAAGGCACCCCAAATGCTTCGACCACTGGGCTAGGCGGCCCCCTGTCCTGGGGGTGCCCGAGGCCGCGTTAGAAAGTTGTTATGGGAGAAGCTTGAAGCTGAGACCTGAGACTCCTGGGAGGATGGAGTTGAGGATCATGCAGGGCTTGGCAGGACTCATTACCCAGGGGGGCCCAAGTTGTGGCACCTGGGAGCCCCAGAATCCATGAAAGCCTCCAGCTCCCGGTGGGTCTGTTTCATCACGAGCGGACGTAGGTCAGCCCGAGGAGCAGCACCGGCATCACCACAGGTCAGGGCCAGCGGCCACAGCTGCTGAGAGCAAGCACTTTTCCAGCTGCTCCACCTTCCCGGAGGAGCAGCCGCCCCCAAGGCCACTCTGCACCGGGGCGCCAGGAAGGAGAAAGTTTGCATGTGCCTACATCACTAGCTGGTGTGGCTTTCCGTTCCGTGCCGATGATTCAGGCTTCTGCCTTGGCAGCCCCAGCAAACCTCCTCCAGAAAGCATCCGTAACAGGCTCGAGTGGGAGGTGACGGGAGCTGGGGTTACGCGGGCAGGCGGGGGCTCCGGATGTGCCTGCTGTGTGTGGGGGCAAAGGCGGGGGGTGGTCTTGCGTTTCCTTCAGGAGCCACACCCTCTCTTGAGGGTGGGCTGCAGACAGGCCGTGGGGTGGGAGGGGGAGGTGAATCCCCATGAGGAGGGGTTGTCCCAGCTTTGTCTGACTCAGAGCACCCTGACTTCCTGAGCGCCTTCCCATCACCCACAGAATCCCTGACTTTCCCGCAGAGCTGTGCTTGGTGAGCTCTGTGGCTTCTCTGATCTTTCTGATTCAGCTGGAGCCACGAGGGGAGAAAAGTAGTTCAAGCAGCCGCCCAGCCGCCCGGCAGAGCAATTCATCTCCCGGAAGGCGGTGTGCCCGGCAATAGCACATGGCTCTATTGAAGTGTGCTCGCCATGGTGTTATGGTCTGTTTTATGGGGAGAGCCAGAGGATTACATAAAAACATTGGCAGCACACTGAGGTTGTGTAACACCACGAGGGCAGCTCGGCCCTGTGAGTCGTTTTCCCTGCCTCACCCTTCAAGGTGAGAATCGGCTGGGATTCTTGGTGGTGGAAAAAGCCAGGACCCATGATCCGCTTTGCTGACATTGGCGGGAGATAAGGAAGCATTCCGGGAAAGTGTGTCTCCCCCCACCGCCCACCGCCCCCACTGCCTTCTCCCATCCCGCTTCCTCCTGTCCTCTGTCCCCTCCCTTCTTCCTCTTCGCTTCCCTCCCCCTTCCTCCTTTCTTTCTTTTAAAATTGTTTCTCCTTCTTTCCTTCATCCTAGCTGTCCTCCCTTGTCAGCCTTTCTCCGAACGGCCCCTGCCATCTGTCTGCCTCTGTCTTTGCCCTCAACCTTTTGATGAGGCCGAGTTTCGTCCCCCTCTGTGATGAGGCTGTGCTGCGTTCCTCTCTGTGACCAGCAGGCCAGGCACAGTGTCTAAACCCAAGAGTCAGTCAATCTTTGCCCCAGGAAATGATGGGAGACACCAAAATTACTCTCACCCCCGGTGGGGCCCTACGGGGAGGGCGGTGCCGTAGAGGCCTGATGTCTGTCGCCATGAGGCCCTTTGAAACAGCATTACCCGCTCTGATGTTGGCACAGGCTCTCAGTGCTAAAAGGTGTGTAAGAAGCTCCCTGGAGGAGGCGGCCAGCTCTTAGATCACAGCCTGTTCCAGAATGTGACATCCCAGGATGCAAAATTGATTCCTGGGAGCTCCCACTCGATACTAATCCATCCGAGTTCAGAAAGGAGAGGGGGAAATCCGAAACAAAATGGATTGATCCCTTTTCCCTGCCTTGATTGCTTCCTGGAATTCCTCTGCTGGCTGGGAGGGGCCTGGTGGAAGGAAGTCCACGTCTTCATGGGAGCTGGAGGAGCGGGAGGGCCACTGGGGTGGGGAGGGGCCCAGAATCCAAAGTTCTTCCCACACCCTGCCTCCGCTGGTCCAGTGGCCTTTCTTTGGGATATCCATTGACCTTGGCAAAGAACTCCTAAGGAATGTGTGCAGATTCAAATTCATAAGGCCCCAGAGGGATGTTCATTAAGGAAGCTCTGTGTAGTCACTCCTATGTGTACATCAAGGTTTGCTTCTAAGTTCAGCGCTCAAGGCAAGGAAAAAATGTTTATACACAAAAACCACCCTTCTGAATATCTTCAGTTGCACATAAAAGACAGCATCCATGGTTTTGTGCGCAGCAGACACAGTAAGTCTCATAAACGCTAAATTTCAGAGCCTCTAAACTCAAGGAAAAGAAGGGGAAGAACTGTCTCCATTCAGTTGTCTGGGCATTCAAACCCTTCTGCCTTTAAGAAAATTTTCAAGCCCCTTGAGATGGGAAGGGGAGAGAGAGACAAAGAGCCCCCACTTTCTCTAGGCGCTTGCAGGGCCTACCCCTGTGTCCATGCGAGGCCTGGGCAGCGCTAAGGCATGCCAGGCTGTTTGTTGCTGTGGGCGTGGAGCGAGTGAAGGTCACCGCCAGGGAGCACGGTCGCCCGCGTCGCAGCGGCTGGACTCACTCTGCTGGGAGAGGAGAATCACCCCTGCCTGGCGCGGTCCTGGCCCTCCTGCCCCTCAGGAAGAAAGGCTCTGAATGGAGGATGGAGCCAGGGATGGCGATGGGAAGTTTTCCTTTTGTTGGTTGGTTGTGAGGGAGGTTGTTTCTAAAATTCAGAGCACATGTGTGAATTCCCTCTCACTGACCTGCCCTAGCCCAGGTCCCAGGTCTGAGAGGTCTGGGCCTGAGCAGCAGGAAAGCTGAGAGCCTGGAGCGGGGTGGGCCACGGGGCCCAGAGAGGTCCAGCGAGGTGGCGCTGGTTTCAGAGGGACCTAGGTTTCTGTAGTTACTAAAAGTTTACATTAAAAAAGCAGAAGGCCCCACTGTGGCCAGCCAGTTGCTGGTCAGAGAAGGTTGGAGTGTGGTGCACGCTCATTGCACGCTCATCCTGCCCACGGCCCCCCCTCTGGGGACATGGACTCAGGCTTCCTCCAGCCTCAGGAATTCCCACGTGCCTCATGCATCCCCCCATGACTGTGTGACACCTCGCTCGTGTCCACTGAGGGCGAGGCTGTGTCTGTCTGGTCCTGGCTCTGATGCCCAAGGCCTCTGGCGGTACTGTGAACATAGCACTCCACGAATATCTGTCCAGTGAGCAAGCGAGAGGGTTTTTCTCCAAACAATTCATTGTTTTGTTTAAATGAACTTAAGAGACACTTGTGTGTCTCCAGCGCACCCGTGAGTAGAAGGTGACTGAGTGCCGTGGGAACAGCCTGGAGACTCCAGCAGGCGTCACCCCACCAAGGCCTGCCCTGTCCCCCAGGGAGGCCTGAGCCGGGGCCACATGAGCACGACGCCGGAAGAACTTGGGAGAGCAAGGTCTGAAGTGGGGTGGCATCTCATAAAGCTGTGCCCGTGCATGGCCCACAGCCATGTCTGCAAGCTGGGCCCACCGGGACGCAGCCCCTGCTTTGGGAAGCCCCAGTGTGTGTTCAGAGCAGCAGCTGAGGGGACGTTCCTGTGGGGCTGGAGGGCTTGGGGAAGGGGTGGTCAGGTTGCCAAGGGGCGTATCTCCCCAGGCTGCCTTCGCCACAGTGGGGTCCCAGACCTTTAATCCGGACGCAAAACACTGCCAGGAGTCCGGGCACCATGAGTGACCACCAGTGAAGACCTGGCTGAACCAGAATGGAGAGGCTGGGGGGTGAGAAAGGGGCGGTGGGGGGAGAATGCCAGGCCACCCAACACTTGCCTTGCACCCGGCTGCAGAGGGCGGCGGTCTAGATGGGAGGGTGTCTCCCTGACAAGAGCCGGGGCCATGGCATCTGCTTCAGCAGCAGGCAGACTGCACAGCTGAGAGCGTGAACTTGGGGAGCCAGTCCAAAGACCCCCCGCTGCCACAAGTGACAGGCAGTCGGCCCACACTGCCTTAGTCCCATCCATAGCCGCTGGTCCGGGGTCTCGGACGCGGCCCCGGCAGGTCAGCCGTACGAGGACAGCGTCTCTTGCACGCGCGGCACAAAGCACGTGCCCCGTCAGTCCCGCGTGATGAGTGAGGGCCAGGTAGGAGCTCACAGACAGCGCCGTCGGAGCGCGCGGGGTCGTGCGGAAGGCGCGGCTGGAGGCGCACAGGCTCGGCCCGGGCAATGCCTGGCTGCCGCCACGCGTGCGTCTCGGAATGTCCTGCGGCCCCCACTCTGCCGGCTCCGGCACACTCTCCCTCGAGAGCTCCGGAGGGTGTCAGGTGTGGGTTTCTAAAAAGGGCTTTCCAAGCGTCTGCTCTGCTCTGCGTAAGCGTTTCCATTTTGGAAACGCTTTGAGAAATTCTCCTTGCTAGGAAGTGCGGTTTCCAGCAGAAAGCTTTTCCTATTCATTTGTGAGTTTTATTTCCCAAATGGCTCCTGCTGGTTCAGGCGGCCTTTCCAGCTTGAGTTCATCGTCTCTACCCTCCCCTGAATTCCCTCCGTGTATTACAACGTCCCACGTTGCTGATCCAAACAGCCGGAGTGGCCGTGGCCGGGAAGACAGCTGCAGCGCCCTGGAGGCTTCAGTCCCGGCCCCGGCAGGTCTCGCTTCCACAGTGGCAGCAGCGTTGACCGTCTTTCCACCCGGATCATTAACTTCCGGGCCCCCGCCCCGGCCGAGGTTCACAGCTTCCCCATGATTGTGGATTTACTACAAAAACTGAAAAAATAGTTACTACCCACGGCCAGAGCCCCCACTCTGACTCCGACGATGAGGCTGGTTCGTGGCTACTGGACGGGGATTGCCTCTCCGGTTTTCTGACGTCCGCTGGGGCTCCCGGCACTCGGAGGAGCCTGGCATTTCCTGGCTGAGATGAACGACATTTTGGTTGTGCGTTCTCTTCCTTGCCTGCACTCACACACAGCTGTCCTCCCCATCGCTGCCCCCAGATTCGCTGGGGATTTTGACCCCATCTGACCACTCAGAGCCACTCAGCCCGTTCCCTTAACCCGGAGGGTGGCCTCTGTGCAGACCTGCCCCTTTGAGTCTTGGGGGAGATGAGTTCCTAAACACTTGTCAGCCACTTCCCTTGGGGCGGAGCAGACCTGCGTAGAGCAGGCCCGGTCGGCAGCCTTCTGTCTGCAAACGCAGCAGCCCGAGCTTCTAGGAACGACCCAGGCAGGCGGTGATCCCCAGCGTCGGCGTGTGCTGGGCTGAGTGTTTGCATTTACAATTCAGCACAGCAACCTGCATATTTCAGAGTCTTGGAACTATTTTCTGAAAGGACAGTTTATCCTTCATTGGCTGGAAACTTGACAAAAATAAGTCTGTAAATTTCCATGTCAGATCTCCCACTGAGGACAAACGGGCAGGATGGGATCCATGTCTTGAGACCCGTGTGGTCAGCAGCCCATTTTCTCTTGAGCAAG
This sequence comes from Homo sapiens, assembly GCF_000001405.40. Classification (NCBI taxonomy): domain Eukaryota; kingdom Metazoa; phylum Chordata; class Mammalia; order Primates; family Hominidae; genus Homo; species Homo sapiens. The sequence continues at coordinate 132,323,055 of NC_000012.12, read as the reverse complement.
CACAGATGCCTGTGAAGGGACAAGGAGGTGGAGAAGCCGGGAGGCGCTGGAGGAGGGGGCAAGGCTGACGCACGGCTCTCGAGCCCGAGGAAGTGCCCCTGTGGCCTGGGCTTTCCCGTACGGGACGGCCAGGAGAGCGATGGCCGCCCCGCCACTCAGCAAGCGGACTGGTGTCAGCCTAAGTCTGACAGTCCCCCCTCTAGCTGCCATTCACAGGAAGGAGAAACTCATTTTCCAGTCGTTTAAAAGGTGCCAAGGGTTGTATCATCTCGTAGCACGGAAGCAGCTCGGCCCTGGGCTCTGCGCCCGGTCCCCTGGGCTCACCAGGCCCTCCCAGGAAGCCGCCCAGGCCTGCTCCCACCTCCATCCTCGCAGAGCCTGCAAACCCCCCTCCCATGCCTGGGGACGCCATGGTGCTTCCTACGTTCTGGAAGTAGGAGGGGGCAAACTGTGAAGGGGTGACAGGAGCTGGGGTTGGGCAGACGCCCCCATTCCCTGTGCAAACACTCACCCCTCCCGGAGCCTTCTGTGGGGCAACTGAGTCACGGACGGGGATGCTGGGTGCTTGCTGTGCTCGAACTGGCATTTGCGGGCCCAGCCCCTATGAGCTGAGGGCCTGTCTCAGTGAGCAACGGCACCACCTCATGTGCCGCATGTCCGTTCCTTCCTGGCGAATTCGTGAGCACCTGCTGCATTCCTGAACTGCGCTGAGGACGCGGGCCTGAGCAGAGATGTCCCCACCTCAGGGGCTGACATCCCAGGGAGGAAGACGGGGAGTGAGTAAGTTGCATGGTCCAGATGGTCTCAGACAAACCTACGAGGAGGCCTGAGTGACGTGGACGAATGGGTATCTGGGTGGCGGGGATGGTTACGGGTTGAACGGGGCCCGCCCGGAAGCTCACGTCCACCTGGAACCTCGGAATGTGGCTTATTTAGAAACAGGGTCTTTGCAGAAGTAATTAGATAAGATGCCCTCAGCCAGGACTGGGGATTAGTGGGCCCTAAATCCAATGACTGTGGCCCTTCTAAGACGAGGAGAGACAGTGGGGGTTTGGAGGGGAGGACGCCCCTTGGGGGCCGAGGCGGGGGCTGGGGTGGTGCAGGGGGCCGAGGCGGGGGCTGGGGAGAGGCAGGATGTGTCTTACCCACTGCCTTCAGAGGGAGTGTGGCCCTGCGCGCCTGACATCCAACTCCCGGCCTCCTGTATGAGGGGACAGGTGTGTGAGGGGACAGGTGTGTGGGCTCCTGTGTGAGGGGACAGGTGTGTGAGGGGACAGGTGTGTGGGGTGGAGCCTCCCCACTCGGTGCCACTGCAGTGACCTGGGACACACACAGGTGGGTGGGGAGGGAGCCACTCTCTGAATTGTGAATGAGGAGAAGGAGCTGCCAGGAGAGAATCCGGGGGAAGTGCTGGGTGTCGGTGGCAGGTGCAGAGGCCACAGTGGGCCCTGGGGTTGGGGTGGTCAGGGCGAAGTGAGTGAGGGAGATGGTGAGGTGCTAGGGCAGGGGGCTGCCAGGACAGCCTGTTGGCCCCGGAAGGGTGCTGGCTGCACTCCCAGGCTCCGGACCATGCCAGAAGGTTCTTGACGAGGGATGTGACACTGTGGGTGCCTGTTTTGTGGGGGCACTGAGGTCCCATCTCTGGTGGTGCCCGTCTCACTAGCTGCTTGAAGCACATTTTCAGTTTCACTCGGATCTGCCAGGACCCAGATGAGACGGGCGACTCATTAGCAGACGGGAAACCAAGGTCTCCGGAGCAGCTGGTGTACCATGGCCTTGATTCTGGACCCACAGGGGCCTCGACTCCGGACCGACAGGGGCCTCGACTCCAGACCCACAGGGGCCTCGACTCTGGACCAACAGGGGCCTCGACTCCGGACCCACAGGCACCCTCAGTCAGGGCTGACACAGGTGGGGCAGTTCTTCCTGGCGGGGCCGCCCCCTGGGTGGGTTGTGGATGTTGAGCAGCGTTTGGCTCCACCCACTGCCAGGCACCCTCCTCCCCGCTGGGACGCCAGGAGGCCCCTGGAGCGAGAGTCCACCCTGGGCACCTGCCTCACTGACTGTGGCGTCGACCGCCTGGGTTCAAACCCAGCTCCTCCCTCCTCAGCTGCACGACTGTGGGCCGGTCACACGACCCCTGCACCTTGGTTTCCCTATCTGTAAAGGGGGGATGCCCGGAGCAACAGCCTCGGGGGGCCCTGTGGGCACTGAAGGAGGCACGCGGCACAGCAGAAGGACCCCCCCGCTGGCGCCGCCCACCTCCCCTCGCCTCTGAGATGAGGGTGGGCTGATGATTCTCCAACCCCGAGGGCACCTGGTGGGGGCGGAGGCCTTGAGCTGGCCCAGGGACATGGAGTTGGAGAGAATCAGATCATGCCGAGGGAGCTTCCCTCCACCTCCTCCACCGTGTCCCACGGATCCAGGCACACGGGCTTTGCTAACAGACACACCTGGCCATACTCTCAATGCAGCATCCCATTTCCATTCTGTTTACTGATATTTACTAGTAAAACGATACATGTTTTCTATTGTTGGTGCCAATCCATCACTTATTTAAGAAACGAATTAATTTAACTTAAAAGATGAGTCGATTTAAAAGAAACTGTTAAGTAATATGAACTCAAGCTTCTGTAGAGACGACAGATTCCCCAGGAATCCAGAAAGATCCGAGGTGGGGGCGTCTGTGCCTCGTGGCCCTCGAGGGCTCTGGGCCGTGTCTGCCGCACCCGCGTCCTCGAGGCGGAATCGGAACCCGGGAAGTGAGGTCCCGGCTCTGCACGCAGCACCCTCCCCGGGCGTTCTGTGCCTCTCAGTGTGAGTTTAAACAACAACAAATAAAAATAAAACAAGCGCGTGTGTGGATGTGCTGTGGGGAGGCTCCTGGGCTTGGCGGCCGGCCCTGGCACATTGTACCCACACGGACTTGGGGATGTCGCTGCAGGAGCAGCTTGAGGCTCGCCAGCCCTGTTAGCAGCTGAGATCTTTGATTTTCAGCTACAGAAAACTCAAGTCTGACAGAGTGAACGCTAACGGGACCCAGTGGCCCAGTGGTTCTGGCAGAGGGGATAGCGTGACCCAGCGGTGGGGGCCGCTGGCCGCCCCCTTTTCCTTAGGAGCGCCTGCCTCGTGTGCCCGCCTGCATGGCGGGGTCAGTGAGTGCCTCCGAACCTCCGGAGGCTGAGGGTGGAGAAGACACAGGTTCTACAGGAAATCCGGCTTCTCCCTAGAAGGACGCGGGAGGCTGGGCACCCAGGCCCGAGGAATGTCTTCTGTCTACGTGGGGCTGCGGGAGGAGCACCCGAGGCGACCTGAGGTGACCTGTGGCCGCGTGTTGTGCCGGGTACAGCTGTGTGTGTGGCGGAGTGGGGTGTTGACCTGCCCCAGACGGAAAGGCCTGTTGAAAAGCAAACTCAGCTAGTGTGTGCGTCAGGGCTCTCCCGAGGAAAGGAGCCGGCGGATAGAGAGAGACCCAAGAGGAGATGTAGGGTGAGGATTGGCTCCCGTGACTGTGCAGACCAAGAGGCCCCATCATCTGCCGTCTGCAAGCTGCAGGCCCGGGAAGCTGGGTGGGGTCCTTTGGCCTGAGTGCAGAGACCTAAGAGCCAGGGTCACGCTGAGGAAAACGGCATAACTTCTACTCCAAAGGCCCGAGACCTGGCAGCTCCACCCGATGTCCACAGGCAGGAGCAGAGGGAGGTCTCAGCTCACACAGGACATGAAGCTGCCCTCCTCTGCCTTTCTGTTCCAGCCGGGCCTCCGAGAAGGGGCTGATCCCTGTCTGCACTGGGGAGGACAGACCTTTCTTCCTCAGCCCCCTGATTCAGACTCAAATCTCGCACAGACGCACCTGGAAGCAATACTTCCAGCCACCTGGGCATCCAAGGCCCTCTCTATGGATGCAGAATTCACCATCACAACTAGCTTCAACCATGGGGAGCACACCTCACATGAAGGCACGCACGCTGCAGGCTTGGTGGCTCGGTGGCGGCCACGGACACCCAGGTCTGTCTCTGCTCCTCCCTCCCAGAGAGTCGCTGCCGAAGTCCAAAGGACCCGTGCAGCTGCCCGGTGTGCATGAGCAGGGCCCTGAAAGGCGGGAGGCCCCGCAGGGATGTCTGGGGACACGCAGGCTTCCTGCCTCTCCGTTAGGACTGTCATCTCTGAGCACCTAGCCAGCCACTGGCAGAGGGCGGGAGGAGTGCCCTGTGGGACTGGCCTGGTCATAACTGGCCCGGGCTGGGGCAGGAGCAGGGCTGGACCTGCTCCCACGATGTGTAGGGTTGAGTGGACCCGGCCACAGCTGGGATTGCCAGGCAGACGAGAGGAGGGCAGGCGGCCCACGGCGTGCACTGTGCATCAACGCTGGCCACACACGGGGCTGCAGGCCCAGCTGGGAGGTCAGTCGGGGTGCACATCCCAGGATCCACCAGGAGGTTTAGGGCGGCCCTGAACCTGCAAATCACCAGCTCTGCGTGATCCTACGGCTGCAGCTGCGACACTGCACCAGGGTTCAAGCGTGGATGCTGCCTGTGAGGCCCTGAGGCCCTGTGCTGATGGGATGGCGGATTCATGTCCCTGGTGGCCTGAGGCCCCTGTGTTGGAGGCTGGACTGAAAGCTGGGTCACGAAGGGCAGGTGCTCTTAGGGCCCCAGCTCTGGCCCTGAAGAGAGGCATCCATGTGGGTTCCCCGAGCACCCACCTTGTCTCTCGTTCTGGGTCAGGCCTGCCCAGTGCCCGCCCAGCCCCATGCATCATCCAGCGTTCTTGGTCAGCGTCCTGCCGCCCACGCTTGCCTGGCCAGAGGGGCTGTGCTCAGGCCCTTGGCTGTCAGCATTTTATTTTTATTTTTTTAATTTTTTCGAGGCAGGGTTTCACCCCCACCACCCAGGGTCAAGTGGTTCTCCTGCCTCAGCCTCCCGAGTAGCTGGGATTACAGGTGCTCACCACCATGCCCGGCTAATTTTTGTATTTTTTGATAGAGACAGGGTTTCACCATGTTGCCCAGGCTGGTCTCGAACTCCTGAGCTCAAGTGATCCACCTTCCTCAGCCTCTCAAAGTGCTGGGATTGCAGGCATGAGCCAGTGTGCCCATCAGTGTTTTATTTTTAAGTAAATAAACCAAGTGCAATTGTTCTTTGAAACGCCATCCTCGACCCTGTGGAGCGCCAGGGAAATAATGAAATCTAGAGGTGCCAGGTCGACCGTGGATCTTCCTGAGGCTCCCAGCAGCCCCTGTGCAGCCCCACCGATACCCCTCCTCCTTCTTTCCCTGCCCTGGTTGGAAGGGACAAGGCTGGGCCCCGGGGCTGGAGGGGCCCGAAGGTGGGGCCAGCTGGGGAGGGCTGGGCGCAGCCTCTACTGAGCGAGGGGGGTCTGGCCACCGTGTTTTTGAGCTTTTAGGAAGATTTTTAAAAACACAAAATCTCAACACAGGCTTACCAAAATTATGTTGTATTTACACGTTTATGGATAACAAATTAATGCTTTTAACAGACTCACTGGAGTGTGATCCAATTGTGCTGTTCGCAGGTGATCCTGGAATTCATAAAAACCGCAGGTCTCCTTGGTGAGGTGGCCCTGGAGAGGAGCTGACCCCACGCTAGGGAGCCAGTGTGGACGGAAGAGTGGCAAGTCCAAGGCCTGGGCCTGGGCACACACTGTGAGGACGCGAGTGGAAGGAGCAGGAGAGAGGGTGTGGCCTGGGGGGGCAGTGCAAGGCTCCTGTCCCCGAAGCTGGGCAAGCTGACCCCACCAGCTGCTTCTGTGGGGTGTGGGACAGGGGCTGTGCTCCATGGGGTATGGGATTCAGGCCCTGCTCTGTGGAGTCTAGGATGGGGATGTGCCGTGGGGTGTAAGATGCAGGCTGTGCTCTGTGGGGTGTAGGATGGGGCCGTGCTCTGTGGGGTGTAGGATGAGGCTGTGCTCTGTGGGGTGTAGGGTGCAGGCTGTGCTCTGTGGGGTGTAGGATGGGACCGTGCTCCATAGGGTGCAGGCTGTGCTCTGTGGGGTGTAGAATAGGACCATGCTCCGTGGGGTGTAGGGTGCAGGCTGTGCTCTGTGGGTGTAGAATAGGACCATGCTCCGTGGGGTGTAGGGTGCAGGCTGTGCTCTGTGGGGTGTAGGATGCAGGCTGTGCTCTGTGGGGTGTAGAATGGGGGCCAGGCCATGCAGCATTCCTGGCCTCCAACCACTAGATGCTGGTAGCTGCCCCACCCCTCCCCAGGTGTGACAGCCAAACCTGCCCAGGTCTCACCAAATGTCCCTATGGGTCCGAGTACCCCATGTGAGCGCCAGTGCTCGTGATGGGAAGGAGGCTGGGTGGCTGCAGAGGGAGTGGGCTGGGGTGGGCGTCCCTGTCGGATCTGAAAGGGTGGCTGAGGGACTACACAGAGCACGGGGGAATTTGCTGAAGCGGAGGAAAGAGAGCAGGGACACACCCTGGCAGGAGGAGGGATGAGGACCCGGGAGGTCCTGGCAGCACCTCGCACCTCAGACGGCCATTCCCTGAGCACAGGTGGTTAGGGTGGGAAGCTCGGGTGCTCCTGATTCTCCGTTTCCCAGGGAGGAAGGAAGCAAGGTCATCTGAGGTTGAGAACTGCAAATTCCTTTTCTTTCTTTTTCCTTTTTTAGTGAAGCTATAGCACTAAATAGATTTTTAAAGGAAGTATATGCTCGGTTATAGGGGATCTCTGTTTCCTCCCAGAATAGGGGCATAAAAATGCATCGTGAAATGGGGACGTGGGGTCGGGCTGGGGAAGAACCCACAGGCTGTATGGTAGAGAATCATGGCACCCCCCTTTGCAGGTCGGGGCCCGGGGCAGGCACTGACTGTGATCCAGCTTCATGCCTCTGCTGGAGAGCCGAGCCTGGACTGGGACGCTGGGGTCTGTGGGGTCGCCTCCCAGCCCGCGGCCAGCTCCTGCCTCTGCCTGCCTCTTCTTTCAGTGAGAGAGGAGGCGAAAGGCTGATGAGGAAACATGACGGAACCCAAGACCTGCAGGCGTGAGGGGGTGGGCGGCCGTTTCGGGGGCTGCCTGCCTGCCGTGCCCTCTCCAGGACCCCGCGTCCCCACCACCCTCCACTCTCGAACATTCTGGAGACTGTTCTCAGGGCCAGAGGCTGTCCGCTTTCTCATGCTCCAAGTCCCCATTGGCATCTCGGAATGGGCCCAGCACAGGGGTTTATTGCAGCCCCAGCATAGAGGGGTCTTCCCCTGAGGCCGTGTCACTCACACCCTGTGTGACGCGGTGGGGAGTATGAGTGGGTGGCTCAGCCCTCTCTGCTCTGTGTGGAAGGCCGTCTCTGGACCCTGTGTTCCCGCAAGGACACCAGGGCTGAGTGTGGATGCGCAGCCTGGTAATGGCAGAACTGGGATCCGAACTGGTGGCCTTCACAGAGACTGGCCCAGAAGACGCGACCTTCTCAGATCAGCAGCCGCGGCGCAACCTCGCCCACATCCCACGGCAGAAAGGGGCTATTTTTACTTTCCACAGAATAGTTCAGTCGCATCAGCTCTGCGTGCAGCTCCGGCGTGAAACCCAGCAAGCCCTGATTTTATTTCTAAGTCAGAAAAGAACAGACGGGGTCTGAATTCTGCAAGGGGCTATTTTCACACTATTTTGAGAAAATGGTGGAAAATGCCTGTTAATATTCTGAGGCTCGAGCACTTTGCAGTGGACACGGGGGAGGCCGCCCTGATTATATTCTGAGGCTCCAGCACTTTGCAGTGGACACGGGGGAGGCCGCCCTGATTATATTCTGAGGCTCGAGCACTTTGCAGTGGACACAGGGGAGGCCGCCCTGATTATATTCTGAGGCTCCAGCACTTTGCAGTGGACACGGGGGAGGCCACCCTGATTATCTTAGTTGCTCGGTGCAGAGCCTTGTGGTTAAAATGTGGCTAGAGCGCTGGGCCGCCTGGACTCAGAGCCCGGCCCCACCACCTCCCCCTGGGCCACCTCCGTCAGGCCGCCCAGTCTCCCGCTCCTCAGCTTCCTCATCTGTAAATTGGGGTGAGAACAGCACTCACCTCTGTTGTGAGGACGCTGGACAAGGGGAGCCTGCAAAGCTCTGGGAGCAGCGCCCGGCACCCGGTCGCGCTTGATAAGTGATGGCGCTGCTTCGGCAGATGTTACTGTGGTTTCTCATTTCCGCCACCCGAGGTCCACCCGACCTTCCAGCCCGACTCCACTGCACGGAAGCTAGTTCCGCTCTGCCCAAGATGCATGAATGCCAGGATTCCACGGGAAATTGGAGGGGGCATCGGGGAGAGGGTTTGATCCGATTCACACTTCATTCACCGAATGACTGCCATACTGTGCAGAGCCCAGCAGGGTGTGCCCAGTGCCCTGAGCAGCTGCCCCCTGGGAGTTCACAGTCAGGCAGGGGGGCAGCAGCCTGCACTCTCTGCTCTCTAAGGTGCAGGAGAGGGGATTGCTTTGAAGGGGAAGGTCAGGACAGCTTCATGGAAGAGGAATCTTTGAGCTGCACATTGGGAGTTGGATGGATCTGAGTCCTAATCCCAATGGGGTGACCTCGGGCAAGTCACTACTCCTCTCTGAGCCTTGGTTTCCTCATCTGTGAAATGTGAAAAATGATTATCCCTCCATGACAGGATCATGGAGAAGATTAGACAAGATGGTGCATATGAAGCGCTTGGCAGAGTGCCTCCCACATGGTAGGTCCCAGAAAAGTTAGCAAAGATGGAGACAGAAAGAGAGTTCAAGTGGGGCAGGATTTGGACAGACAGATAACATGATGCCTGATGTATAGTATGTGCTTAGTAAGTATTGATTGACTGGTAGGATGGATGGAGGGATGGGTCGGTGGGTGGATGGATAAATGGATGGGTGGGTGGGTGGATGGATAAATGGATGATGGTGGGTAGGTGGATGGAAGGGTGGGTGGGTGGATGTGTGGGTGGATGGATGGATTAGGTGGATGGATGGGTGGGTGGGTGAGTGGATGGATGTATGGGTGGGTGGGTGGATGGATGGGTGGATGTGTGGATGGGTGGGTGAGTGGATGGATGTATGGGTGGGTGGGTGGATGTATGGGTGGGTGGGTGATGGGTGGGTGGGTGGATGGATGGGTGGATGGATGGGTGGGTGGATGGGTGAGTGGGTGGATGGGCAGGTGGTTGGGTGTATGTACGTATGTATGTATGTATGTACGGATGGATGGGTGGGTGGGTGGATGGGTAGATATGTGGATGGATGGGTGGGTGGCTGGGTGGGTGGATGGGTGGATGGGTGGGTGGATGGGTGGATGTATGGATGGATGGCTGGGTGGATGGGTGGATGGATGAATGGATGAGTAGGCAGGTGGATGGATGAGTGGGTGGATGGGTAGGTGGGTGAATGGATGGATGGGTGGGTGGGTGGATGGGTGGATATGTGGATGGATGGATAAGTGGGTAGGTGGATGGATGGGTGGGTGAGTGGATGTCTGGGTGGATGGGTGGATGGCTGGGTACTTGGGTGGATGTATGGATGGGTGGGTAGATGGGTGGGTGGATGGGTGGGTGGGTAAGTGGATGGGTGGGTGGGTGAATGGATGGATGGCTGGATGGATTAGGTGGGTGGATGGGTGGGTGAGTGGATGGATGGATGGATGGATGGGTAGGTGGGTAGAAGGGTGGATACATGGGTGCGTGGATGGGTGAGTGAGTGAGTGGATGGGTGGATTAGTGGGTGGGTGGAGAGATGGATGGGTGAGTGGATGGGTGGATGGATTGGTGTGTGAATGGATGGGTGGATGGGTAGGTGGGTGGAGAGATGAATGGGTGGGTGGATGGATGGATGGATGGGTGAGTTGGTGGATGGGCAGGTGGGTGGGTGGATGGATGGATGTACAGATGTATGGAGGGATGGGTGGGTGGGTGGATGGATGGGTGGGTGAGTGGGTAGGTAGGTGGAGAGATGAATGGGTGGGTGGATGGGTGGATGGATGGGTGAGTGGGTGGATGGGTGGGTGAGTGGGTGGATGGATGGGTGGGTAGATGAGTGGAGGGTGAATAAATATAGTAGGAGACTCTATAGAGTGAGGACAGACAAGCATTGAGAAAGGGAAGACAGGATCTGGAATGCTGGACTACGAGAGAAGACGAGGAAGGCAGGTTGGGTCCCAGTGCATCCATGTGGAGTTGAGCAGCCCAGACTGACACAAGTTTTGGGCTGACAACCTCATCTTTGGCTTGGGCCCCGGCAGAAGGGGATCCACCCTGGGGGCAGAGACGTGGAGCCTCTGCTGCCCCTTGACAACAGGGGTTCAGGGCAGGCTCTCCTTCAGCAAGCGGCTGAGGGAAAGCCAGGTCCCCTGGACTCCACTGGGGGCTTCAGCAAGGGCAGGGCCAGTTTCCCCTCCCATCCTCCGTGTGTGGGTTCCTGAGGTCTCCTCCTGTCTTTGACCCTCAAGGCTGGGCTGCGTCCAAAGGACAGGCATTTCCAGGAGATTCCAGAGTCAGGATTTGAGCAGAGAGCTGACCCCAGTGGACCCAGGTGTGTGCACCATCAGAGGACAGCGTGGGCATGGGGAGGGGTGGGGGCCCAACCACTCTGGTCCTCTCAGCAGCTTCTCTCAGAGGTGGCCACCAAGGTGATGGGACACCCTTGCTCCCAGCCGCCCTTAAACCCAAACCTGGGTCAGGTTGGCATTTATTGCTGCATGGAGCAGCCGTGGGTTGTTCCAGAGCCCTGCATGCTTTCCAAAGGGAAGCAGAGGGCCAGGAAATCCTTCTCCCCAGATACTTCCAGTCATTCCCTATCTCCCTTGCTTTGGCCCCATAAATATTCATATTCGTTGAACACAAGTATTATGTATGAAGATTTATCAAACGCTGTATTAGTCTCAGTGAGAATATATTTTACAGGTATTGCCATGTCCTGCAAAATATTCATGACTTCATGGTATCAGAAGGGCAGTCAGTCTTTTCACTATTGACAATATGTTATTAGTTTGGGTCCCCAGGTAATCTTAAAAGACCAGTCTGTAATGAAATTAGCTGTTGTATTTGGAGAGAGTGGATAAAATTGAAGCTGGGAGAGAGAGACATTATCTACAAAGGCAAACCAGGGTCTCTCTTTTTTATCTTCACTTTGTAATCATCAAAATTAATAGCCAGGCACGTTAAATTGGTTTACATTTTTATAGTGGAAATAAAGAGAGGGGCAAGGGAGCTGGTGGGACACTCTGCCTGCTGTAGCTTCCACACTCCCCTCCACCCTCCACACTCCCTGAAGTGGACAGCCAAGGTCGCACGCACACGAAGGACGCAGGGCCTGGATTGCCGGAAGGTGATGGTGCTGCTGGTTCCCTCACTACAAACAGGGTGGAGTCCTGCTTGCTGGACAAAGGTCACGGTGGAGGCTGCTGGTGTCCTGGGATCTGAGGGTGGAGGGAGGGCCCGCTGTCCCACGGCAGCTGCCCTGGCCTGGAGTCCACATCTGCTCTCTCTGCCGGCACTTGCTCACAGTGTCTCTTTCCCTTGTGTGCCTTGTTACGTTTGACTGTGTGCTGGTCATTGTTGTTGAACATTGAGTTGCAGGCATAACCCGAGGCCTAGGCTGGAGGCACTCCCCTCTGGAGAGGGTTGTTTGCTCCTCTAGGCTCCTGGGGGCTGCCTGTGCTACCCCTGCCCCTGCTGCCCCTGCCCGTGCTGCTCCTCTAACGCCGAGTTCAGGCCTTGATGGTTGCTTGGACCACGCCGAGGCTGCACATCCTGAAGGCAGGTCCCCCAGTGCTTCACCCTCACCCCTGTTTACGGAGGGAGAGTTTTCTATTTGGCACCTCTGATTTCTTCCCCCTTTCTCCCTCTTTGAAATGTCAAAGTCACAGTATTCAGAACACCCTCTTAGGGAAAAAGCAAATTGCAGGCCCACTCATTTCTCTGATTCCCATTTTCCCTTCACTTCTGGCCTAGCAATTTCTTGCCATCTTGTCAGGTATTTATTGCTTTTTAGAAGTTGATGTTGTTGTTTAAATCCAGTATTCTTAGTGCTTTTCAGCGGGAGGCAGGTTGGTCTGGCTCACAGAGGCCGCAATTATGGGAAACTTTAGCTGCGGCCGAGTCCCTGTCTTGGGCTGCCAGCGCCACATGCCCAGGGAGAGCGGGTGCCCTGAACCGTGTGCCCAGGGAGAGTGGGTGCCCTGAAGGATGGCTGTGGACAGGCGGAGGCTCCAAAACAGGACAGCCGGGTTTGGGCTGTTTGGGGATCACCTCCCTCAGGCCACAGCCACACCTAGTTCCTCTTTGCGTGGGAGGACAGCGTGGCTCCCACCTTCCCAGCGCGCGCTCCCTCTGCCCCTTCCTCCCCGATTATCTTGTGCCCGGCCGCCTCTCAATTTGTGCTGTTTCCTCTCTCAGAATATTGGCTTCAGTCACTGTAACAGATGGAAATCAGTGACTCAAAGAGAAGCTGGGAGCTTGAAAGCCCACTTCCTTCCAAGTTGAAAAATCACAGCCGCCCACATATCCCAGGTATCGTGTGCTGGGAAAGCAGGCGGCCAAGTGTGAAATGACTCTTCAGGGGGCAGGGACACAGAGGAAGCCGGCAGAAATGCCTGCTTTCCCGGAGGGCTCTCAGCCTCCAGGAGATGGCCGGCCCCGTCCTTCTGGGTGGGGCTGTTGGGTGGGAGGCAGCCTGACCTCACGTGGGTGCGCTCTCACTCCTGGCACTCAGCCCCGGCTCCTCTGGGTGAGGGAACTCAGAGTCCCTGACAGTCCTGGCCTTTGCATGCCTCAGTTCCTTTACTTCTGCGTGTTACCGACCCCAACTGAAATGCCGAACCGCGGTGTGGCCGGTGAGACCTGGAGGGCTGGTGGCACCCTCACAAGCCCAGCCCCACGTGAATCCCAGCTCCTCCCCTCCTGCTGGAGGCATTCGGTCTCATGGTCACACATTGGCTGCTCCAGCCCCGAGCATTGAGTCCTGGTTCCAGGCACGAAAAACAGTACAGGGCTGTGGATAAAAGGTGAAAACCTCAGATTCCAGCAGTCTCCTTTTTTAGACATATTTCTCAGAAATTCCACCCAGCAAGTTCCACTCGAGTCTTGCTGACTGGGTGTTGGTCGGGCGCCACCCTCAGCGGCGAGGTCACCCGGGGAGGCCGGGGTTTCACCTGCGCCCGCTGCCATCAAGCAAACTGTCGTTCTGCTGCTGAAGAACAGGGGACGGGTGGTGGCCCGGGCGTCTGCTGGGCCCTTGCCCTCTAACTGCCCTCCTGGCATGGTCTCTTTCTCTGCCCTCCTGTGCGATTCTTGGTGCTGCTGTAGCACTGACCACAGACCGGGTGGCTGTACACAATGGAGACTTACGCTCTCTCTGTTCTGGAGGCCGGAAGTCCAAAGTCACGGTGCCGGCAGGGGCAGCTCCCCTGGGGGCCTAGGTCTGCTGCAGGCCTGTCCTGCTCAGGGGACACTGGGCAGTCGTGGCATCGTCTCTGCCTCTGACATCATGTGGCCTCTCTTTTCTGCCTGTGACTATCCGAGCCCTCTCATTTTCTAATCAGGATGCTTCTTACTGGATTTACACCCCGCTGCCCCGAGTCCAGGATGACCTCATCTTGAAATCCTTACCTTAATTATACCTGGAAAGACCTTACTCCCACATCCACAGGTTCAGAGTGGAGATAGCTTTTGGGGCCCTCATTCAACCCACCATCCTGCTGCATTCATCTAAACTGGGGCACGACCCCTCGACCTCCAGGGCGGCTGCGTGAGGTCCACGGGCAGCTAGAGGGGTGGGGCCAGTCAGCCGTGGGTGTCCCGGGGCCATCATCCACTCCAGCCCATCTCTGCCCCGCATGGCAGATCCAGGCTGTCAGATTGCTGGATCCTCCCGAGGAAGTGGAAACTCCAGGGTTTCAGGTGAAATCTACGGGGGTTTCAATGTTGGCAAAAACTCAGGATTCTGAGAGTGTCGCGTGGGACAGACACGCCTGCAGCCCGGTGGATGTGGGCTGAATGGGTGGGGCCGGGTTCTGCCCACCGCCCTGCAGGGCCATAAATAGGGGCTCTAGGAACCTCCCTGGTTGGGGGCAGAGGGGCGGGGTTGTCAGCGTCCTCCCGGGCACCAGCTGACCCCTGCTCCACAGCCGCCTCCTGCCTTCTCAGGCACGGAAGTCACAGTGCGGCCATCCCGAGCCCCGTGGGTGAGGCGTGAGTGCGGCCATCCCGAGCCCTGTGGGTAAGGCGTGAGTGCGGCCATCCCGAGCCCCGTGGGTGAGGTGTGAGGACGGCCGGTGCACACGTGGCTCAGAAGGGCCCAGGAGTCTCAGCCTGGTAGGTCTGCATGGCCACGGTGAGCCTCACTGTCTATGCAATGGGGACAGCATGGTGCTGACATCGTGGGCAGTGTGAGGATTACAGGATGGGCACCCCGAGGTGCCAGGTGGGTCCCGGGCCCCTCTCTTTGTCTCAGCCCTGGCCTGGGAAAGCCCTGGCGGTCGAGGGTCCCTCCCACCCCACCTTACCTCCCCGGCCCACCCTGCGTTCGTGGGGCTGCCCCACATCCCGCAAGGCCTCCCCCTGCCTTTAGCAGTGTCTGGGAACCCGGTAGGTGCAGGCACCACCTGGGGGCTGCTGGAACGAGACCAGCAAACAGAATGGGCGGCAGCACCCAGCAAGGGCAGCGCTGGGGCCCGGGGCAGGGTGTTTCGGGGTCTGCTTGCTGCACCAGCTTAGCCTCCTGTATTATTTTCCTGGGGCTGCTGTCACAGCTCACCACAGACGGGGCAGCCTAAAATGACACACATTTCTTCTTTCACAGCTCTGGCATCCAGACGCCCAGAGTGGATTTCACTGAGCTACAGCTGAGCTATGGGCAGGGCTGTGCAGCCTCCAGAGGCCGCAGGGAGGGTCTGTCCTTCCCTCCCAGCTCCTGGGGCTCCAGGCGCCGTTGGCCACGCTGCTGCACCCTCTGCCTCCGTCACACGCAGCTGTTTCCTCTTCTGTCTGTGTCGAATCTCCCTCCATGTGTCTTTTTCTTGTTTGTGTGTTTTTTTGTTTTTTTTTTTTTGAGACAGGGTCTCACTCTGTTGCCCAGGCTGGAGTGCAGTGGCGTGATCATAGCTCACTGCAGCCACAGCCTCCTAAGGTCAAGTGATTCTCCTGGCTCAGCCTCCCAGTGTGCGGGGATTACAGGTGTGAGCCACTGCGCCCAGCCCACTTCTCTCTCATAAGACACTTGTTTTTTGTGGTTGTTGTTGTTTGTTTGTTTTGAGACGGAGTCTCACTCTGTCGCCCAGGCTGGAGTGCATTGGTGTGATCTCAGCTCACTGCAACCTCTGCCTCCTAGGTGCAGGTGATTCTCCTGCCTCAGCCTCCCGAGTAGCTGAGACTACAGGCGCCCGCCACCACACCCAACTATTTTTTTTTTTTTTTTAGTAGAGATGAGGTTTCATCATGTTGGTCAGGCTGGTCTTGAACTCCTGACCTGGTGATCCACCCGCCTTGGCCTCCCACAGTGCTGAGATTACAGGCGTGAGCCACTGTGTCCGGCCCGCTTCTCTCTTATAAGACACTGGTGATTGTATTCAGGGTGCACCTGGGTGATCAAGGGCACTCTCCGTCTCAGGGTCTCTAACTTAATCTCGTCTGTAAAGTCCCTTTGACCATGGAAATTGACAGACTCATGGGTTCCAGACATCAGAACCTGATGCCTTTGGAATCGGTTATTTATCCCACCACAGCTGTCCTGCCTAATGAACAGATCTAGATAGACCCAGTGCGTATTTGTTAACTTAATGCCATTTCTTCCAAAATGTGAATCCACTGCTGACATGTAGAGATATAAATCTGTACACTGGCACTTCCTGTTGGAATTTTAGAAGATCTGGCATCTCTGGACCCGAGTCCCTGGGTGGCAGTAATCCGTGGGTCTGAGCCGCAGTCCCCACCACTCCCCATTGCCCCAGACACACATGCCAAGTGACAATCTGTTCATCCTTCAACTTCCCTGACTGCTCTCCTCAGGGTCCATCGAGAGGAGGTGGCTGGGAAGCGGGCACAGGTCCCCTCACAGCCCAGATCACCCCCACCTGGCCATCTACTCACAGAGTCAGCCCCCATGGAAATCAGATTCCCCGCCACGCTCCCAGACAGCCGTCTCCTCCCCTGTGATTGTCTTCCAGATTATCTCCCGTAATTAGAACAGTGCGCTCCCTCGGGTCATGGGAAAGGAACTTCAAATGACGATTCCGTAAAAGCAGAATGACCACGGGCACGCGGCGGGTGTGCGCGGAAGTGAGCCATCTTTTCCATTACCGCAGTGATGATGAATGGCGGGGAGGGAGCCTTGTGTTCAGCCCTGAATCTCGAAAGGAAGCTGCTTTTCCTCGCGCAAGTCACATCACTGCCTCCAAAACCAAGCGGTGTCCCTGGCTCTGAGCAGGGGGGAAGGCGTGGAGAACGTCCTGGGGAAAGTGGGTGCCCCATGGCACTCCGTCAGCAATGCCGGGGCAGGTGGGGGTACCCAGAAAGGCCTGGAGACGCACCTGTGTCCTCCAAGCCACTATGTCCGAACTGACTTCGCCTTAAGAACTTGTTGCCCACAGTCTAGACCCCCGCTCTGCCCGCCCACCTGGACCTCGGCCCCCAGACCCCAGGAGAACCACCCCCAACAGGCCTCTCTGCATGGCTCCGGGGCGCCCCTGAGTGGGTCGCCTCCTGGCCAGGGCCCTGGAGCCAGGCTGACTCCTCGCCATCCCGGACAGCAGCTCCCATTGCTCTGCGCTTGAGAGTCACCTGGGGATGGTTTAGACCGTCCGGCGTCCAGGCCACGCCCCGGCAGTTATGTCAGCTCCGTGGGGAGGCCCGGGCAGGTGCCGGCGCCCTCACACTCCGCAGGCGGTTCCGGTGCGGACAGCCGCTTCCAACGCTGCCTGTGTAAGGGTCCCCTGCAGGCCCCCCACGGGGGCTCTGACCCGGCAGGTTTGGGGAGGGTCTCAAGAACGTGTGGTCCCCACAGGCTCCCAGGTGAGGTGGCCGCTGCTGTCCTGAGGGCGGGAGCCACTGTCTTGAGTCTGGGCCCCGCCATGAGCCCCCCTGTCCTGAGGGTGGGCCCCGCCGTGAGCCCCCCGGCCCAGGTGCCACTGTGAGAGCCACTGTCCTAAAGGCTGTGCTGCCAGCCCTGACTCAGCTCCTTTGGACCCAAGCCCCACCCAGGGCTCCCTGGTCCCCATCACCCAGTGCTGTGAGGAGCCAGTAGGGAAACCCCAGGCCTGGCACTCACATCTGCACTCGGGCCGCGCTCTCCACCCGAGGGCCTCACTGGCTTCCCTCTCAGGGCCCACTGAGACCAAACATTCCCCAAACTGAGCTCCAGGAGGCCACCCAGGCAAGGCTGTGCCCAGGCGAGGATGTACCCAGGTGAGGGTGTGTCCAGGCGAGGCTGTGCCCGGGCGAGGGCGTGTCCGGGTGAGGGTGTGCCCGGGTGAGGGTGTGCCCGGGTGAGGTTGTGCCCGGGTGAGGGCGTGTCTGGGTGAGGGTGTGCCCCGGTGAGGGTGTGCCCGGGTGAGGGTGTGCCCGGGTGAGGCTGTGCCCGGGTGAGGGTGTGCCCCGGTGAGGGTGTGCCCGGGTGAGGGTGTGCCCAGGTCAGGCTGTGTCTGGGCGATTCTGTGCCCGGGTGAGGGTGTGCCCGGGTGAGGGTGTGCCCCGGTGAGGATGTGCCCGGGTGAGGGTGTGCCCGGGTGAGGGTGTGCCCGGGTGAGGGCGTGTCTGGGTGAGGGCGTGTCTGGGTGAGGGTGTGCCCCGGTGAGGGCGTGTCCGGGCGAGGGTGTGCCCCGGTGAGGGTGTGTCTGGGCGATTCTGTGCCCGGGTGAGGGTGTGTCCGGGCGAGGGTGTGCCCGGGCAAGGGTGTGTCTGGGTGAGCGTGTGCCCGGGCGAGGCTGTGCCCAGGCGAGGGTGTGCCCGGGCGAGGCTGTGCCCGGGTGAGGGCGTGTCTGGGTGAGGCTGTGCCCGGGTGAGGGTGTGCCCAGGTGAGGGTGTGTCTGGGCGATTCTGTGCCCGGGTGAGGGTGTGTCTGGGTGA
Source organism: Homo sapiens (assembly GCF_000001405.40). Classification (NCBI taxonomy): domain Eukaryota; kingdom Metazoa; phylum Chordata; class Mammalia; order Primates; family Hominidae; genus Homo; species Homo sapiens. The sequence continues at coordinate 132,305,024 of NC_000012.12, read as the reverse complement.
GGGTGTGCCCCGGTGAGGATGTGCCCGGGTGAGGGTGTGCCCGGGTGAGGGTGTGCCCGGGTGAGGGCGTGTCTGGGTGAGGGCGTGTCTGGGTGAGGGTGTGCCCCGGTGAGGGCGTGTCCGGGCGAGGGTGTGCCCCGGTGAGGGTGTGTCTGGGCGATTCTGTGCCCGGGTGAGGGTGTGCCCGGGCGAGGGTGTGCCCGGGCGAGGGTGTGCCCAGGTGAGGGTGTGTCTGGGCGAGGGTGTGCCCGGGTGAGGGTGTGCCCGGGCGAGGCTGTGTCTGGGTGAGGGTGTGCCCCGGTGAGGCTGTGCCCAGGTGAGGGTGTGTCTGGGCGAGGGTGTGCCCGGGCGAGGCTGTGCCCGGGTGAGGGTGTGTCCGGGCGAGGGTGTGCCCCGGTGAGGCTGTGCCCGGGTGAGGCTGTGCCCGGGTGAGGGCGTGTCCGGGCGAGGGTGTGCCCCGGTGAGGGTGTGTCTGGGCGATTCTGTGCCCGGGTGAGGGTGTGTCCGGGCGAGGGTGTGCCCGGGCAAGGGTGTGTCTGGGTGAGCGTGTGCCCGGGCGAGGCTGTGCCCGGGCGAGGGTGTGCCCGGGCGAGGCTGTGCCCGGGTGAGGGCGTGTCTGGGTGAGGGTGTGCCCCGGTGAGGGTGTGCCCGGGTGAGGCTGTGCCCGGGTGAGGGTGTGCCCAGGCGAGGGTGTGTCTGGGCGATTCTGTGCCCGGGTGAGGGTGTGTCCGGGCGAGGGTGTGCCCGGGCGAGGGTGTGCCCGGGTGAGGGTGTGTCTGGGTGAGGGTGTGCCCCGGTGAGGATGTGCCCAGGTGAGGGCGTGTCTGGGTGAGGGCGTGTCTGGGTGAGGGTGTGCCCCGGTGAGGGCGTGTCCGGGCGAGGGTGTGCCCCGGAGAGGGTGTGCCCGGGTGAGGCTGTGTCTGGGTGAGGGTGTGCCCCGGTGAGGCTGTGCCCAGGTGAGGGTGTGCCCGGGTGAGGGTGTGTCCGGGCGAGGGTGTGCCCCGGAGAGGGTGTGCCCAGGTGAGGCTGTGTCTGGGTGAGGGTGTGCCCCGGTGAGGCTGTGCCCAGGTGAGGGTGTGCCCGGGCGAGGGTGTGTCTGGGCGAGGCTGTGTCTGGGTGAGGGTGTGCCCCGGTGAGGCTGTGCCCAGGCGAGGGTGTGTCTGGGCGAGGGTGTGTCCGGGTGAGGGTGTGCCCCGGTGAGGGTGTGCCCGGGTGAGGGTGTGTCTGGGTGAGGGTGTGCCCGGGTGAGGGTGTGCCCCGGTGAGGGTGTGCCCGGGTGAGGGTGTGTCTGGGTGAGGGTGTGCCCGGGTGAGGGTGTGCCCCGGTGAGGGTGTGCCCGGGTGAGGCTGTGCCCGGGTGAGGGTGTGCCCAGGCGAGGGTGTGTCTGGGCGATTCTGTGCCCGGGTGAGGGTGTGTCCGGGCGAGGGTGTGCCCGGGCGAGGGTGTGCCCGGGCGAGGCTGTGTCTGGGTGAGGGTGTGCCCGGGTGAGGCTGTGCCCGGGTGAGGGTGTGCCCAGGCGAGGGTGTGTCTGGGCGATTCTGTGCCCGGGTGAGGGTGTGTCCGGGCGAGGGTGTGCCCGGGCGAGGGTGTGCCCGGGCGAGGCTGTGCCCGGGTGAGGGTGTGCCCGGGCGAGGCTGTGCCCCGGAGAGGGTGCTGCTTCTCATCTCTCCTCTGCTTCCGTTTTTGGTGGTGGATTCTGGGCAGCTGCCTCTCGTGTTAAATGAAGATGCCCTGGTGGCCCTGTGCTGCTCAAGGTGCCCGGGGTGGGGGCCTCTCTCCTGGTGACGAATCCACTCAGGGCGCCTGCCCAGCCTTGGGCAGTCACTGCATCCCGGCGGTGGAGGGTCTGACGGGGACTACCGGGTGAAGGCCACAGGGGTGACAGCCACAGTGTGCATGGGGACGGCTAGTCCTGAAATACACAGGGAGGCTTTCCCGAGAGAGAGACAGACAGAGGGTGGGAAACCGCGTCTTCCATGTCCACACACCGTCTCACCCCAGGGCTGATCGGAGCATCAGACTCTGCACAGGCCCCTGGGTTCCACCCTCGCCCCCCTTAGACGGTCACCGGAGTGGTCCCTCTGCATAGAAAACCTGACCACTGTGCCCACCCTCCTCTCTCCCTCTCAGCTCAAAGCTCCTCTGCGCTCCCACTTCCTACAAGGCTCAAAGCAAGATCCCAGCGGCACAGAAAGCTCCCACCCCGTCCCGTCCCCTTTCTGCTGCCACAGCCCTGACCTGCATGCGCAGCCACTCACAGGACACCTTCCTGCCCTCCTGGCCTTTCTCTTCCCTCCGACTCCTCTTCCTGGGGATCCTGCCCCTGCCTCTGACCCACACCTGCGTGGAAGCGGCTGCCCTGGGCTGGCACCTGTTCACCTGTGGGCATGATGGGGCATGAGCTCTGGGGGGCAGGCAGGTGTGTGCTGCGTTCACCAGGGCCACCTGGACCTGCCCCACCCAGGCAGCTCTTGGAATTTAGCAGACGCTCCGTGAGTTTTGATAATGGATGGGTGAATAAATGGCACGGCTACAAATTGACATTTTATGTTTGCAGCCATCAAAGTTATGTTTATGAAGAATTTTTAGTGACGTGGGGAAATACTCAAGACGTAGTGATAAAAACAGAATGCAGGCGGCAGACACCAGATACATGGATCGAACTGCGCTGAGGCATTACGTGATCTTACAGAATAATATGGAGTGTGAAAATACTGATACTAGTTTTCCCTGCAGCAAGAGACCCCAGGTGATCCTGTGTGTGTGTGTGTGTGTGTGTGTGTGTGTGTGTGTGTAGAATTTTCTACCAAAAGCATTTATGACTTTTCCAATCAGAAGTGATGCACTTTCTAATTAAAGTAGTGGAAGCATATATTGCTGGCAGTGAAACAAAACTAATCTAAACCTTCTGGAAAATGACTTGGCACCAAGATTCATGAAATTTCTCTATCTTTGACACAGTGGTTCAATTTCTGAAATAAGCAATCCTAAATATGTAATTAATAAATAAGTGATAAACACGTGAGCCCCTCGGGGTTGTCAGGCAGGTGTTTCTGTGGACAAGCGTCTGATGGATGTTACCTAGTGGTTGGAAGGTCATTGCTACGACTGCAATTGAATTCTACCTCTGACGGCACAGAAGGCATCTGTGGCCATAACTTTATGTGGAGGCAAAAAGCAAAATGCAGACCCCTCCATCTTGAAGGTGGCACACAAATGTTCCGTGCCCCCCTGGAGCCGCATCCAAATCACCTGCCCTGTCCAGGGTCATGAAGGTTGTGCAGGGCATGGGGGAGGCTGCATTTGCCAGGGAGGGCTTGGCCTCCCTCTCTGGCCAGCGAGTGGGGCCCCAGGTCCCTCCTCCAAGGGCTGGTTCAACCTGAATGTGTCCACATGGCATGTTCCTTTTCCGCGGCCACCAGGCAGTCCTCCTGCTGTGCCGGCGGTGAATGTTCGCACAGCCATCCCTACCTCCGGGTGGAATTGGGAGGGGCAGGGGCCGACGATGGGGCAGCCCCATGGACAGGGACCCTTTATGTGCCCCGGAGGGGAAGTGTCCAGCTGGCACCTTGGTCTGGCTCAGAAACCCCTGTGTGGTTCTCGTATGGACCATTCCCACGTGCCCACCACAGCAGCACTTCTGTCTGTGAAACAGGGCGCGGAGTGGAAGCACAGCCGTGGTCCCCAAGGCCAGGCAGGCACTGTCACCTGCTTCTTTGGGAGAGGATGCCCTTCCTCTCCTGAAAGTGGAGCGACCATGGTTTAGTGGCTATTTAACGCCTTTGCCTGCCACCATACAGGGGTGGTGCCTTTCTTGGTCCCTTTGGACACCCTCTTTGAGAGCTTTGCAGTTCGGAGCACTGTGACGGAGTGTGGCTGGGGCTCACTGCCTCCTGGCCATGGGCCCAAACTTCAGCCTCAGGAGTCTCATCAGTTACATGGGGGTGACAAAAGCAGCTGGCTCGGAGGGAACCCTGGGGATTAAAGGAAGCAAAGCTTGTGCAACGCCTGCACGAGGAACGGTCAGTGCTGTGCTGTGAATGCGTCGCCCGCTGCCCCCACATGGGAAGCTTCACCCCCACCATGGCATTGAGAGAGGTCTGCAGGGGCTCTGCCCTCTCCAAGGGGTTAATGCCCTTAATGTGGGAGTGGGTTAGTTATGGGAGTGAGTTATCTCAGGAGTGGGTTGGTTATCTCAGGGGTGGGTTAGGTGTGGTGGGGGTGGGTTAGGTGTGGTGGGAGTGGGTTAGTTATCATGGGAGTGAGTTATCTCAGGAGTGGCTTGGTTATCTCAGGGATGGGTTAGGTGTGGTGGCAGTGGGTTAGTTATGGGAGTGAGTTATCTCAGGAGTGGCTTGGTCATCTCAGGGGTGGGTTAGGTGTGGTGGGAGTGGGTTAGTTATCATGGGAGTGGGTTATCTCAGCAGTGGCTTGGTTATCTCAGGGGTGCGTTAGGTGTGGTGGGAGTGGGTGAGTTATGGGAGTGAGTTATCTCAGGAGTGGCTTGGTCATCTCAGGGATGGGTTAGATGTGGTGGGAGTGGGTTAGTTATGGGAGTGGGTTATCTCAGCAGTGGCTTGGTTATCTCAGGGGTGCGTTAGGTGTGGTGGGAGTGGGTGAGTTATGGGAGTGAGTTATCTCAGGAGTGGCTTGGTCATCTCAGGGATGGGTTAGATGTGGTGGGAGTGGGTTAGTTATGGGAGTGAGTTATCTCAGGAGTGGCTTGGTCATCTCAGGGGTGGGTTAGGTGTGGTGGGAGTGGGTTAGTTATCATGGGAGTGGGTTATCTCAGCAGTGGCTTGGTTATCTCAGGGATGAGTTAGGTGTGGTGGGAGCAGGTTAGTTATGGGAGTGAGTTATCTCAGGAGTGGCTTGGTTATCTCAGGGATGGGTTAGGTGTGGTGGGAGTGGGTTAGTTATCATGGGAGTGAGTTATCTCAGGAGTGGGCTGGTCATCTCAGGGATGGGTTAGGTGTGGTGGGAGTGGGTTAGTTATCATGGGAGTGAGTTATCTCAGGAGTGGGTTGGTCATCTGAGGGGTGGGTTAGGTGTGGTGGGAGTGGGTTAGTTATCATGGGAGTGGGTTATCTCAGCAGTGGCTTGGTTATCTCAGGGATGGGTTAGGTGTGGTGGGAGTGGGTTAGTTATGGGAGTGAGTTATCTCAGGAGTGGGTTGGTCATCTCAGGGGTGGGTTAGGTGTGGTGGGAGTGGGTTAGTTATGGGAGTGAGTTATCTCAGGAGTGGGTTGGTCATCTCAGGGATGGGTTAGGTGTGGTGGGAGTGGGTTAGTTATCATGGGAGTGGGTTATCTCAGCAGTGGCTTGGTCATCTCAGGGATGGGTTAGGTGTGGTGGGAGTGTGTTAGTTATGGGAGTGAGTTATCTCAGGAATGGGTTGGTCATCTCAGGGATGGGTTAGGTGTGGTGGGAGTGGGTTAGTTATCATGGGAGTGGGTTATCTCAGCAGTGGCTTAGTTATCTCAGGGATGGGTTAGATGTGGTGGGAGTGGGTGAGTTATGGGAGTGAGTTATCTCAGGAGTGGCTTGGTCATCTCAGGGGTGGGTTAGGTGTGGTGGGAGTGGGTTAGTTATGGGAGTGAGTTATCTCAGGAATGGGTTGGTCATCTCAGGGATGGGTTAGGTGTGGTGGGAGTGGGTTAGTTATCATGGGAGTGGGTTATCTCAGCAGTGGCTTGGTTATCTCAGGGATGGGTTAGATGTGGTGGGAGTGGGTGAGTTATGGGAGTGAGTTATCTCAGGAGTGGCTTGGTCATCTCAGGTATGGTTAGGTGTGGTGGGAGTGGGTTAGTTATGGGAGTGAGTCATCTCAGGAGTGGGTTGGTTATCTCAGGGGTGGGTTAGGTGTGTTGGGGGTGGGTTAGGTGTGGTGGGAGTGGGTTAGTTATCATGGGAGTGGGTTATCTCAGCAGTGGCTTGGTTATCTCGGGTGGGTTAGGTGTGGTGGGAGTGGGTGAGGTATGGGAGTGAGTTATCTCAGGAGTGGCTTGGTCATCTCAGGGATGGGTTAGGTGTGGTCCGAGTGGGTTAGTTATGGGAGTGATTTATCTCAGGAGTGGGTTGTTTATCTCTGGGATGGGTTAGGTGTGGTGGCAGTGGGTTAGTTATGAGAGTGGGTTATCTCAGGAGTGGCTTGGTCATCTCAGGGATGGTTTAGGTGTGGTGAGAGTGGGTTAGTTATGGGTGTGAGTTATCTCAGGAGTGGGTTGGTTATCTCAGGGATGGGTTAGGTGTGTTGGGGGTGGGTTAGGTGTGGTGGGAGTGGGTTAGTTATCATGGGAGTGGGTTATCTCAGCAGTGGCTTGGTTATCTCAGGGGTGGGTTAGGTGTGGTGGGAGTGGGTTAGTTATGGGAGTGAGTTATCTCAGGAGTGGCTTGGTTATCTCAGGGATGGGTTAGGTGTGGTGGGAGCAGGTTAGTTATCATGGGAGTGGGTTATCTCAGCAGTGGCTTGGTTATCTCAGGGATGAGTTAGGTGTGGTGGGAGTGGGTTAGTTATGGGAGTGAGTTATCTCAGGAGTGGTTTGGTTATCTCGGGTGGGTTAGGTATGGTGGGAGCAGGTTAGTTATAGGAGTGGATTATCTCAGGAGTGGCTTGGTTATCAGGAGTGGATTAGGTATGGTGGGAGCAGGTTAGTTATCATGGGAGTGGGTTATCTCAGCCGTGGCTTGTTTATCTCATGGGTGGGTTAAGTGTGGTGGGAATGGGTTAGTTATCATGGGACTGGGTTATCTCAGGAGTGACTTGGTTGTCTCTGAGGTGCAATGGTCATCATGGGAATGGGTTAGTTAACTTGGGAGTGGGTTTCCTTGGGAACGAGTTAGTTATCAGAATAATGGGTTGGTTATCATGAGAGTGGGTTAGTTATCTCAGGAGTGGGCTAGGTATCTTGGGAATGACTTGGTTATCTCAGGAGTTAGTTGGTTATTGTGGGAGTGAGTTGGTTATCATGGGAGTGAATTGGTTATCTCAGGAGTGAGTTGGTAATTTTGGGAGTTGATTTTCTCAGGAGTGAGTGAGTTTTCTTGGATGTGAGTTGGTTATTATGAGAGTGAGTTGATTATTGTGGGATTGGCTTGGTTGTCTAGGAGTGAGTTGGTTATCATGGGAGTGAATTGGTTATCTCGGGAGTGAGTTGGTAATCTTGGGAGTTGGTTTTCTCAGAAGTGAGTTAGTTTTCTTGGGAGTGAGTTGGTTATTATGAGAGTGAGTTGGTTATTGTGGGATCGGTTTGGTTGTCTCAGGAGGGAGTTGGTTTTCATGGGAGTGTGTTGGTTATCTTGGGAGTGGCTTGCTTATCTTGGGAACGAGTTGGTTATCTCAGGAGTGAGTTGGTTATGGTGGGAATGGCTTGGTCATCTTGGGGGAGACTCAGTCATCTCAGAAGTGAGCTGGTTATCATGGGAGTGAGTTGGTTATCTCAGGAGTGAGTTGGCTATCTCAGGAGTGGCTTGTTTATCTCGGGAGTGATTGGTTATTGTGGGAGTGGCTTGGTCATCTTGGGAGAGACTCAGTCATCTCAGGAGTGACTTGGTCATCTCAGAGTGAGTTGGTTATCTCGGGAGCGGCTTTATTGTCTCAGGAGTGAGTTGGTTATTGTAGGAGTGAGTTGGTTATCATGGGAGTGAGTTGGTTATCTCGGGAGTGGCTTGGTCATCTTGGGAGTGAGTTGGTCATCTCTGGAGTGACTTCATTATCATGGGAGTGAGTTGGTTATCTTGGCAGTGTCTTGATTATCCTGGGAGTGAGTTAGTTATCTCGAGTGAGTTGGTTATGATGGAAGTGGCTTGGTCATCTCAGAGTGAGTTGGTTATTGTGGGAGTGAGTTGGTTATCATGGGAGTGAGTTTGGGTATCTTGGGAGTGAGTCGGTTGTGGTGGGAGTGACTTGATCATCTTGGGAGTGAGTTGGTTATCTCGGGAGTGAGTTGGTCATCTTCGGAGTGAGTTAGTTATCATGGGAGTGAGTTTGGGTATCTCAGGAGTGAGCTGGTTGTGTTGGGAGTGACTTGGTCATCTCGGGAGTGTGTTGTTTATTTCGGGAATGTGTTGGTTATCTGAGGAGTGGCTTTGTTATTTCAGGAGTGAGTTGGGTATCTTGGGAGTGAGTTGGTTTGTGTGGGAGTGGGCTCCTGATGGAAGGAAGAGTTCCACCCTCCCCCCGCCCAGCCCCCAATGCGTGTGTGCTCTCGCCGTCCACATGGGATGACACAGCACAGAGGCCGAAGTCAGATCCGTGCCTCTTCATCTTGGACTTCCCAGCCTCCCAGAGTGTGAGAAATAAGGTCTTTTCTTGTGAATTGCCACATTTGAGGAATGGTGCTGAAAGTTGGTGTGTGACAGGTCAGCTGTCACCACCAGCCTGTGACCTCAGAACAGCAGGATATTGAGCTTGGTTTGTTTTTCATGAAAGTTGTGGGACAGACCTTTCAAAGGCTGAGCTAATAGATGCAAATTTCCCATTATTCTCAAAATTACATCTTATTCAAGGATAAGATGACAAGCTTGCAGTGTTGATTCTGTCTGGAGGAGGAAGCTGGGATTTCAAAGAGGAAAACTTGGGATTGATATCACGCAGCCCAGGAAGACACCCATGAGATCCGGGGAAGAGCCCACAGCTGGGCCATCAGTGGATGGGGTGGTGAGCGTGGGCATCTCCTGCTCTTGGATCCCAGACAGACCTGTGTCCGCTGGTCTGAGTGGGCTGGACGGCTGGCGTGAGCATGAGGCTGTGCGGTCATCTCTTGGGGCTGCCGTGACAGATCACCACAGACTGCGTGGCTTAGACCAACAGAAACGGACACTCTCCCTGTTCGGAGGCCGTCCCTATTCCGGAGGCTCTCCCTGTTCGGAGGCCGTCCCTGTTCAGAGGCTCTCCCTGTTCAGAGGCTCTCCCTGTTCGGAGGCTCTCCCTGTTCGGAGGCTCTCCCTGTTCCGGAGCCTCTCCCTGTTCAGAGGCTCTCCCTGTTCTGGAGGCTCTCCCTGTTCCGGAGGCTCTCCCTGTTCCGGAGGCCGTCCCTGTTTGGAGGCTCTCCCTGTTCCGGAGGCCGTCCCTGTTCGGAGGCCGTCCCTGTTCGGAGGCCGTCCCTGTTCGGAGGCTCTCCCTGTTCGGAGGCTCTCCCTGTTCCGGAGGCCGTCCCTGTTCGGAGGCCGTCCCTGTTCGGAGGCTCTCCCTGTTCGGAGGCTCTCCCTGTTCCGGAGGCCGTCCCTGTTCAGAGGCTGTCCCTGTTCGGAAGCTCTCGCTGTTCGGAGGCTCTCCCTTTTGGAGGCTCTCCCTGTTTGGAGGCCGGCGGTCCAGAATCACGGTGCTGGCTGGGCCACGCTCCCTCCATAGTCTCCAGGGGAGGATCCTTCCTGCCTCTTCCAGCTCCTGGTGACCTGGGCATCCCTGGCTGGGGGCCACATCATTCCGGTCTCTGCCTCCACCCTCACGTGTGTGCCCCTTCTCTGCGTGTGTCTCTGTGTCTCATCTTCTAAGAAGGACATACCATGTTTGGCTCAGAGCCCACCCGACTCCCGCACTACCTCCTCTTACCTTGATGACGTCAGCGAAGACCGTTTCCAGATAAGATCCTGTTCACAGGTCCCCAGGGCTGGGACTCTGCCTGTTTTTCTGGAGGACACAATTCAACCCACAACAGTCTGCACAGACTTTGGCTCTCGGCCTGCACGGCGCCCGGCACTGGGCCTCTCCTTCCCTGCCTGCACAGCGCCTGGCGCTGGGCCTCTCCTTCCCTGCCTGCATGGTGCCCGGCATGGGGCTGTCGGGGAAGCCAGGGCATTGGGGGTGGGAAGAGCAGAGCAAACTCTCCGGGTGCCCGTCTGAAGGCCCCGCTGGCTTCCCAGGCTGGAGGCCCCATCTCTGGCCCCTGGGCTGTGGCAGCACCGGCCGCTCCTGTGACCCCCAGTGCAGCTACAGGGACCACTGGTGGCTCCATCCCACAGTGCGTTTAGAGGGATTTGGTCTTGAGCCCTGCAGCCGCAGGCCGGGCGTCTCCACACTTTTACCAGTTTCTTCATCGTTTGTCCTTGCTTCCTGGTGGGATCAAGCAATCCTGCCTCTTGGAAGGAATTCTTTGTGAAAGAAGATATGAGGCCACGCTGGAGATAAGAGACAGGGAAGATGAGAGCTCCAGAAATCCTGCTGCGAGGCGCCCACGGCAACCTTCCGCACAGGCAAAATCAGATCCGTGGGATTTTCACTTTTCAGAGCTATTAACAGATCCCTCCCGCTCCAGGGAACGTGACTGGGAAAGCCAAGCGGCTCTGACCCCACCCGCCCTCCCAGAGGCTGCCCCGGGTCTGCACCTGCTCCTGCCCTGCCTTCCTGGCTGGAAGTCCTGACCCCAGCCTCTCCTTGCTCCTGCCCTGCCCTCTTAGTCCTGACCCCAGCCTCTGCCAGCACCTTGGCGCTACATGACCGCTGGCACCCTGAGCAGGACGCCTGAAGCCTCTGAGACCTGGCTCCAAGGCCAGAGTCTGAGTGGGTCCCCAGCCTGGCAGCCTCAGCATCACCCGGAGGTCACCAGAGCTCCTGAGTCTCCTGCCTGACGTGCACCTGTGGATCAGACACTTCTGGAGGGCCCTGGTGGGCTGTGTTTTAACAAGGACCACGGGTGATACAGCTGGGTTTGAGAAGCACTGTTCTCAGGCTGCTGTTCACGGAGGAGCCTCACACCATCAGGGGCCTCACTGGGCCTCAGGGGCACAGGCTGGGGGCTGTGGGGGAGGCGACTCCCATCTCTCTGCTGACTCTGGTCAGAGTCATTCGTTCATTGGACCCACCTGCTCCAGGGACAGCTCTGGGGGGAGGTCAATGGTGAAGACCTGGTGCCCCAGGAGGGCCTGTGCCCCCCAGTCCCACCAGCCCCACCAATGTGTCCATAGTGGTCACCAGGATATCAAAGTACTGTCAGCCACATCATTCACAGATTCTGTGTTTGCAAATGTTCCTACTCCCTAAAATTCATCTGTAATCCCCAAATGCTCGTGGTCTTCCACGGCCATTCACAGATAGGCTCGGAGGGGCAAGATCTTTGGTCAAACAGGGCCAGGCTCCACTTCTCGTTCCAGCTCCGACTGTAGATGGGGTCCCCTGGCTTCTCCTTCTGGCCCCGACTGTATACGGGATCCCCCGGCTTCTCGTTCTGGCCCTGACTCTACACGGGATCCCCCGGCTTCTCGTTCTGGCCCTGACTGTATACGGGACCCCCCGGCTTCTCGTTCTGCCCCTGACTGTTTACGGGCTCACCTGGCTTCTCGTTCTGGCCCTGGCTGTATACAGGGTCCCCCAGCTTCTCGTTCTGGCTCTGAATGTGCAGGGGGTCCCCTGCCTTCTCCATCCAGCTCCGACTGTACACAGGGTCCCTACTACTGCTTAAGTGGCACGTTGTCTACATTTTTGTGCTTTTTGTGCTTTGGTGATTTCAATGTTTAGAACACACCAACCACAGGCTGAGGTGCTGTCGGTACCCAGGGCACAAGTGTCTGAGATACGCCTCGCAGGAAATGCGTGTGTGGAGAAGCTTGGCTCCAGCATGGGTCATGGAGCTGTTGGCTCTAAGAATCGTCAATAGGTATTAAATAAGGCATCTTTATGCAGAAACACATGGAAAACCAAGTTACCTATTGAGGGGCTGGGGAAAGCCTGTGGCCAGAGGCTCCCCGGAGCCCAGAGTTCCCCCTGGAGCAAGTGCTCAGCAGCCACCATTCAGCATCCACGGTGTCTCTAGAGCCAAAACCACTGCAAATGACAAGAACTGACTGTATTTCCCTGGGAAGCGTCAAGTGAATGCTGCCTGGAGGCCCCTTCCCTGCAGCCTCCCAGCTGCCTGAGCCCCCCCACTCAGTCCCCTTGCGTCCCCACAAGTCAGCAACTAAAGGTTGAGGCCTGGCCGGCTCGGCCCCACTGTGGGGTGAGGCTCAATGCCCCCTGATTATGGCAGCCCTGGCCCCGCCACTCCCACACCTGGTGAACAGAGCTGAAACCCCAAATACCCCTTCAAGTGTGCGGAATTCCTAGGGATGTGCGTTCTGGACCCTCCCTCTGCCTGTGCCATCTCAGACTCTCCTCCTGGTGGGAAAGTCTCTCTTTCTAGTATTTTCCGTGAAAGCCCTGCACATGCGAGGCGGCGTCCTCCGCACAGCTCTCATGAGTGTCCCATGGATTCCACCGAACAACGGTGGTCCAGACTTCCCGTCTCACCGACTCCACCCTCTCCCCACCCTCCTTCCCTTCCCTTTTCTCTGGACTCACACCCACTCCCTCAGAGCAAGCAGTGCCTCCTTCGCACGCCCCGCCCTGCTGGATGCTGTAGCTCTGGCCCAGGAGGCAGTGGAGCCTGGTGTCCGGCTTCAGTGGGGCCTCGAGACTTTCCTTCAAAGACAAGGCTCTTCCCACATTCTGCGCAGTGTTGTAGGGTGAATGCCGGGGCCAGGGGTTTGGGCCCAGCCAGGACCAGGATGGTGCTGCCTGGCTCTGCTCCGTTTTGTGTGGAGACCAGGACCTTACAGCAGGGCCCTCGAGGGAGTCAGAGACTCGGGTCCGGCCCAGCAGAGCCCGTGAAGCCTTGGGTGGGCTTGTCTGTGGCTCGGCATCTCTGTCTCTTCATTGCGGGGATGGGGAGGGAGATCCCGCCTCTCCTGTGGGATGGGGGGAGGCAGTGCCCTGGCACCCGCTTGGAAGGGATCCATTCACCCACCTCAGGCGGCTCTCCAGGTACATGCTGTGAACACATGAGGCGCTGGGGTAGATGGCAGGAAGGCAGGACAAAGTCCTGTCTCTTGCACGTTGAGGGGAAGCAGAGAGCGTAGCGGAGGGGATGATTTTAGATGGTGATGAGTTCTGAGTTCTGGGAGGAAAATGAGGCAGGGAGGAAAATGAGGCAGGGACTGAGGTGCCGTCACCGGGAATGGCTTCAGGTTAGAACCTGGGAGGTCTCCAGGGTGCAACCCAGAGCTGAGGTCCGAGTGAGGGCAGGAGCCAAGGCCCCGGGGCAGGAAGCAGGAGCGTGGCTGGCATACTGTGAGTGAGGATGCGACCCACGAGGGCTGCAGGGGCTGGGGGGGCCACAGCTGCCGTGAGGAGCCGGAACCGCAAGTGCAGCAGGATTGGGGCCCATGGCTCCCAGCAGGGGAGCGGCTCTGGAACCCTCTACAAGCTCACACTGGCTGCTGAATGGACAACTGAGGGTGTGGGGACAGGAGGGGATGGGGAAGCAGGGGGGAGGAAAGGACTGAGCGCATCTGGTCTCCAGGGGTGCCAGCACAGGTGTGGACGTGGGTGCTGTGGATGTGTGCGCCATGGATGTGGGCGCTGTGGATGTGGGCACCGTGGATGTGGGCGGTGTGGACCTGGGTGCTGTGGATGTGGGTGGTGTGGACGTGGGTGCTGTGGAGGTGGGTGGTGTGGATGTGGGCGGTGTGGACGTGGGCGCTGTGGTTGTGGGTGCTGTGGATGTCGGTGGTGTGGACGTGGGTGCTGTGGATGTGGGTGGTGTGGACGTGGGCGCTGTGGTTGTGGGTGCTGTGGACGTGGGTGCTGTGGATGTGGGTGATGTGGACGTGGGCGCTGTGGTTGTGGGTGCTGTGGACGTGTGCGCTGTGGACGTGGGTGCTGTGGACGTGGGTGCTGTGGACGTGGGTGCTGTGGACGTGGGTGCTGTGGTTGTGGGTGCTGTGGATGTGGGTGCTGTGGATGTGGGTGCTATGGACGTGGGTGATGTGGACGTGGGTGCTGTGGTTGTGGGCGCTGAGGACGTGGGCGCTGTGGACGTGGGCGCTGTGGATGTGGGTGGTGTGGACGTGGGCACTGTGGTTGTGGGTGCTGTGGTTGTGGGTGCTGTGGACGTGGGTGCTGTGGTTGTGGGTGCTGTGGATGTGGGTGCTGTGGATGTGGGTGCTATGGACGTGGGTGATGTGGACGTGGGTGCTGTGGTTGTGGGTGCTGAGGATGTGGGCGCTGTGGACGTGGGCGCTGTGGATGTGGGTGGTGTGGACGTGGGCACTGTGGTTGTGGGTGCTGTGGTTGTGGGTGCTGTGGATGTGGGCGCTGTGGATGTGGGTGGTGTGGACGTGGGTGCTCTGGATGTGGGTGCTGTGGACGTGGGTGCTGTGGATGTGGGTGATGTGGACGTGGGCGCTGTGGTTGTGGGTGCTGTGGACGTGTGCGCTGTGGACGTGGGTGCTGTGGACGTGGGTGCTGTGGACGTGGGTGCTGTGGACGTGGGTGCTGTGGTTGTGGGTGCTGTGGATGTGGGTGCTGTGGATGTGGGTGCTATGGACGTGGGTGATGTGGACGTGGGTGCTGTGGTTGTGGGCGCTGAGGACGTGGGCGCTGTGGACGTGGGCGCTGTGGATGTGGGTGGTGTGGACGTGGGCACTGTGGTTGTGGGTGCTGTGGTTGTGGGTGCTGTGGATGTGGGCGCTGTGGATGTGGGTGGTGTGGACGTGGGTGCTCTGGATGTGGGTGCTGTGGACATGAGCTTGTGGCTGTTTCTGCCTCTGCTTCCTCCTCCTGTGCTGTCTATTCCTGGACTGGGCAGAGGACAGCACAGAGAACAGCCTGTTGGGTGGCAATGGCTCCGTGCCCATCACCCCAAGACACAGCGCGTTGGGACGGCCTCGCTTACTCCCATGGTGCCGCAGGGGTGGGGCCGCCTCTCACTGAGGGTCCGTGGCTTGGCCGGTCCGCTCTGCATGGCGAGGCCTGTCCTAGGGCCCAGGCTGGGCAGTCATGATGGGGGCTCTGTGTGTGGTGAGGGCAGACGGGGCAGGCACCTGGCTCTGCAAGGTCCAGGCTGGGAACAGGGACATCATCGCTTGGGCCCTCTTTCCACAGGCAGCTCAGAGACCAAGCCCTGAGTCAGGGAGGTGGGAAATTGGCACCCCTGATGAAGCCACTGCAGAGAGCAGTGAAGCACCATGGCCAGGAACGTGGGTGCTGCTGGCACTGGTGTCCCCCGAGCAGCTTCTCTCAGCAGCTATGGGACGGTGACAGCACTGACTCCACCAGCCAAGGAAGAAGATCGGATCTGAGGCAGCAAAAGTTCCTTCACCCCCAGTGCACGCCCAGTGCTGGGCTCAGGACCCCTGAGCTCCATCTCCACCATCTGCACAGTCCTGGGACGGGGACTCAGTGGTGACCCGCCTGTGACCAAGGAGGACCCTCAGCCAGGAGAAGTCAGGCAGCTCAGTGGGCAGCAGCGTCTGGACCAGGGGCTGCTTGGTTCTCTTAAGCACAGACGCAGCAGTGAGGGGAGGCATGGAGCCCCGGGTGGAGGGAGGATGGGAATGGCAGCGTCTCTCTTCAAAACACACTCATTCAGAGGCCTGGCAACCCTCACTTCCTCCGCAAGGAAGCTGTGAGCAGCAGCGTGGCTGGGGTGTCCCCTAACCCCCATGCAAGTGACGGGTGACCACAGTGAAGGCCCAGCTCCTCCACTCCTTCTGGCCAATGAAGCAGATTCAGGCAAAGCAGGGGGCGTCTGCCAAGTCCCCTTAGCTGTGTAACGTGACACTCACCGGTTCCAGGGATTAGGGTGTGGACAGCTTTGGGGCTACTGCCAACCACATAAAGTAAAACCAGTTTGCCATTCATGCAAGGCAGGGGCGACTGGAGAGCAAGAAGCCTCTTTTGGGATTAAATATATGACAACAAAACCAATTCAATGGACAGGCTAGTTGGCAACATGGCACGACAAAAGATCAAGCCGATGAGATGAAAACCAAGAGAATGAAAACGGAGAATGAAGCGTTGGGAGGCAGGAGATAAACCGGGAGGGGAAACGTTCACTTAACAGGGGTTACAGAAGAGAAAACAGGGATGGCAGATGGGAATACAGTCACATCATTAACAGAGCAAACTTCCTGGAGCTGAACGTTGGCATGAGTGTGGATTGCCACGCATGACTGTGATTCACGGCAAGATATGCCCTGACCAAATCTAGGATCCCAACAACAAAAAAAATCAGTTTCCAGAGACAGGCAGAAACAAAATGCCAGTCTGAATAAGAAAGAGGGTCCTGCTGACCTCAGAACGCCGGGCATTGGGCAGCCATCTGGAACCATGCTCAGCCACCCTCCTGCCGGGTCCAACGCTGGGCATCAGGCAGCCGTCCGAAACCACGCTCAGCCACCCTCCTGCCGGGTCCAACGCCGGGCATCGGGCAGCCGTCCGAAACCACGCTCAGCCACCCTCCTGCCGGTTCCAACGCTGGGCATCGGGCAGCCGTCCAGAACCACGCTCAGCCACCCTCCTGCCCCCAATGCTGGGCATCGGGCAGCCGTCCAGAACGACGCTCAGCCACCCTCCTGCCGGGTCCAATGCCGGGCATCGGGCAGCCGTCCGGAACCACGCTCAGCCACCCTCCTGCCCCCAACGCTGGGCATCAGGCAGCCATCTGGAACCACGCTCAGCTACCCTCTGGCCAGGCGGCCAATCCCCACCTGAGGCCTGAGCCCCACGGATGATGAGGTGTCTCTCTCTCTCGAGTTAGAAGCTGCTGTGCCTGCCTCTGGGAGACATCCAATTCCAGACTTTCCAAAGTGAAAAATGCAAGTGCAGTATCGATATTTTAAAATAGCATGATTACGTATTTATCTCACAGGATTAAAATAAGAAGGGGAAGTGATTTGTGTCATTTTTCAATTCTACGTCCAATCTGTATCCTTCAGTCCTACATAAATACGGACACTTTGTTTACTCATTTAAAATGGAATATTCCAGAAAGTCCAGAGGTTCCGGGAGGCTCAAAGCCTCGGCTCTGCTGAGGGGAGAAAGCCACTCACTGCCCTGTGGGGGGCGGAGGGTCACAGACTGGAATCTTCCCAGGGCATCGGTCCCTCCCTCCCCATAGCAGGAATCCTACAGAGATCCCACCAGGCTCCAGGAGCTGGCGCCGCGAGAGAAGGTCCCCTCCCAGGCGGGCAGTTGTGGGATATTAGCATCGGGTATTTCACAAGTTTGTGTTTCCACTGGCCTTCCTCCGAGGACCAGAGACCTCTCTGTGCAAGCTGACAAAAGGCAGCCCAGCCTCAGGGGTCCATGCCGCCTCTTTCTGGCTTAAAACTATTGCCCAGGCACCCGCCCCCAAATCCAAGATGCCCCAGAGACTCCCAGCTCAGAGACAGCCAATGGTGCCATCTTTGTGGGGAGACACCCCTCTCACTCCCGTCCCCCTGGGAACAGCATCTCCAAGCCGCGTCTGCTTGCCCAGCACAACTGAGCACCTAGAACTTTCCCTGGCCCGGCCCCCTTGGGCACCCATTCCACACACCCTGACCAAGCTGCGGAGCCTCCCTGTCAGCCCAGAAGTTCCACCGGCTCCTTTCCAGTCGACACTGCCCCACCCCGGGGTCCCCGTCCTGCCCCGATGGCCATGGGGTGGGTTGTGATTCCGTCTGTTCTTGAACCTCACGCCGGCGGCCACACGGGATGAGGTCTCCTGTGTTGATCTTTGGCTTGGCGTCACGTGTGTGAGCCACGTCTCGGCTGCTGCCTGTGTCGACGGCTCGGTTCTTCCTACCCCAGAGTAGCAGCACGCATGTGGATGTGTGTTCAGCTCAAGTTACACAGGCGGATGGTGTCAAGGGCTGGTGGGGATGGTGGCGGCGGCATGGCGTTTAAAATACCTAATCTTAGAGCCGTTGCAATTTTCGGGTTAATATTTTTAACATTAGTAGGCCTGACCATCAGAGCAGTTTCGGGTTGATAGAGACTGAGCGGAGTTCCCGCATCCTCTGCCCCGCAGGCACAGCGCCTGGGCGTGAACGTGTGTGACTGTGTCACTGTCGATGAGCCAATGCTGCCCGATGCAGGAAACTCACTGAGGGCCGTGGCTCACGGGGGGCTGGCGTGCGTGAGTGTGACTGTGTCACCGTCGATGAGCCGATGCTGCCCGATGCAGGTGACTCACTGAGGGCTGTGGCTCACGGGGGGGGGGGGGGGCGCTCACTCAGTGTCACACCTGCTGTGCGTTTGGACAATTGCGTAAGAACAAGTATTGGCCAGTGCAGTGACTCACGCCTGTAATCCCAGCACTTTGGGAGGCCTAGGTAGGTGGATCGCTTGAGGTCAGGAGTTCAAGACCAGCCTGACCAACACGGTGAAACCCTGTCTCCACTAAAAATACAAAAATTTGCCAGTTGTGGAGGCCCACCCATTTACTCAGGAGGCTGAGGTGGGAGGATTGCTTGAGCCTGGGAGGTCCAGGCTGCAGTGAGCTGAGATCATGCCACTGCACTGCAGCCTGGGTGACAGAGCAAGACCCTGAATCAAAAAATACATAATAATAACAGATATCCACCATTGCAGCATCACACAGAGTCCACTGCCTTCAACGCCTCATGTACCACCCATTCATCCCTCCCTCTTCCGCCTGGCACCGCCCTCTCACTCCGCGCACAGCCTTGCACTTTCTGGAATGTCCTGAGCTGGCAGCCTGCCATCTGCAGGGAGTTTGCTGGGCTTGTACCGGGGGAAGCGGCCGTCGGGGAGAGGGGCGGGAGGGGCGTCTCCTGGGTGCAGACGCAGCGTGTCCTGGGCCTGCCTGACCTCCCTCTCTTCCTTTCCCCCAGGCCTTGCCAAGCCCATCGGCCTGGTGGAGGGGCCAGGAGGCCTGGGCCAGGGTGGCTTGGCGGCCACCCTGCGTGATGACGGCCAGGAGGCGGAAGGCAAGTATGAGGAGTACGGCTACAACGCTCAGCTCAGCGACCGCATCTCCCTCGATCGGAGCATCCCCGACTACCGGCCCAGAAAGTGAGTGAGTGACTGCCCCCCATCCCCCGACGCCCGCCGAGGAAGTGACCGCCCCCCACACTGGCCAGGGAAGTGACTGCCCCCCACGCCGGCCGGGGAAGTGAGCGGCCCCCACGCCCGCCAGGGAAGTGACCGCCCCCCACGCCCGCCGGGGAAGTGACCGCCCCCCACGCTGGCCGGGAAAGTGAGCGCTCCCCCGTGCTGGCCGGGGACTGCCCCCACGAGCTGCGGGCTCCTGGGAGAAACGCGCAAAGGTCTGCTGTGGGAAAGTGGAGCAGTCAGGAGCCCCCACCTGTGGGGCCCTCCTGCCTCCTCTGTCTTCCCTGTCTCTCCTCCTCTGTCTCTCCTGTCTCTCTCTGTCTCTCCCTCTCTCCTTCTCTCAATCTCTCTGTATCTCTCTCTGTCTTTCTCTATCTCTCTGTGTCTCTCCCCCTCCCCTACTTTTGGCTGCGGGCATCCTTCCCAGGGCCTAGCCCCAGGCTTGGGGCACTCCTGCCATAGCTGCATCTGGGGATCACGGAAGCTGGGCTGAGGCACCATGGCTCACGCAGCAGAGGCGCCCTGTGTCAGGCCCTGCCAGCCCTGGTCCCACCTGCTGTGGCCTCAGTCACTGCTGAGCTGGGTGTCGCTTGTGTCTGAAGCGAAGGGCATTCCCGTTCCATCCGTGGCCTGCGCACCTCCCATCCTGTCGCCCCCAGGCTGCAAGAGCGGGTGAATCAGGAGCCGGGCCCTGGCCGCCACGGCTTTGCCTCAGTGCCACTCAGGATGGAGCTTGGTCGCTGACCCTCACACCTGCCCTGAGGGAGTAGCCGCGACAAGCGCCAGATTAATTGGCATTGTTGCTCGGATAAAGTTTGGCTGAGCTTGGCCTCTGGGCCTGGGAGCGACTGGCAGGCTTGGCCAGCCCCTCCTGCGTCTCTGTCCGCAGAGCCCAGCCCGCGACAGGATGCTCCCTGGGAGGGCCCCTGGTGGCATTGTCCTGCAGAAGCCGGGCGCTCAGGGCTGCCCAGTGGGGCCGCGTTTCACCGTGGGGTGGTGGCAGGTGGCCTCAGCCACACTTGCCTCCTCCTGGAGCTGCCTGAGGGAGGGCAGGCAGGAGGGCAGCCCCCTCTGCAGCTCCTGGTGTGGTCAGCCTGCCCCACCCGCCAGGGAACCCTGACACCGGGATTCTTGGGCCAGGAGCTCATTTGAGATGGGGATCAGGAGGCTGGCAGGGAAGAGAGGGGAGGAGGAAAGGCGTGTCTCAGCCCCATTCCATTCCTTGTGACTCAGGCAGTGGTTCCCAGGGCGTTCACTCACCTGCTCTGGGGTTCCCCATGTGTGGACAGAGGGAGGCGAGATGCTGGACAGGCCCGCAGGGTCCAGGGGTGCAGGGAGCGCCCCGGGCTGCGTGGAGGTTGGTGCAGGAACCCGGAGCTCCCTGTTCTAGCCAGGTGGGGCCCACTTCACACCCTTCCCACAAATGCGTGCTGGGGACTGATTCTAGGTGTGATGAAGCTTCCTTAGACAGCACGGCAGTGCGAGTGAGGCGTGCCCAGCTCCCGAGGCTCTGATTCCTCCTGGAGGGGGTTTCCCCGAGTCCTTTAGACAAACAGGGCTGAGGCCTGGGCATGGAGGCTTGGACACCTCAGCCACATCCAGAGTGTGACAACATTATTTTATTTTCATTCTACTTATTTTCATGGTTACCATGATTTAACACAAGTGATGCCAGCTTTCCATTTGCAGCGGTGAAATGAAGATTCCCTTTCAAATAAAAAATGCATTTAGTTTTAAAATAGGCCAGTTTAAAGAAACATGCTCCATAAATAAGAACACAGTGGTGTTTTCATGTGGCGCCAGCTACAGGCATGGGGCTGGAATGACTTCGGTTTGGAAAGCGGCTCGTGTGTGTTAGCCAGCCTGTGCACTGAGGGTGCACGGTGTGTGTGTGTGTGCGTGCGCGCGCGTTGTGTGCGGGTGGGTGTGGGTGTGTGCGTGTGCACCTGCATGTGTGCGGGTGTGTGCGCATGTGTGCATGTGTGCACAGGAGTCTGTGTGTGCACGTGTGCACACACATGCGTGGGTGTGCGTGTGTGTGTATACGTGCGTGTGCGTGCATGTGCGTGGGTGTGCGTGCATGTGCGTGTGTGCATATGTGTGCGTGTGTACATGCGTGTGTGTGCATGTGTGCACGTGTGTGTGTGGTTTTTGAACGCTCCTGTGTGTCCTGAATTTGGGGGTGAAATCTGTTTGCTCTCAGGGCTAGCCCCACTGCTGGAGTGAGCACCGTTCTTGGCTGTGAGCCTCCAGGCAGCTGTGTGGCAGGAAGACCCCCGAGACCACCTTGACGGTCCACAACTTGCTAGAAGGACAGACAGAGCCCAGACAGGCTGCTTTTCCCTGCTGTGGGTTCTCACAGCAGAGGACATGGGTTAAAGTCAGCAGAGGGAAGAGATGCCCAGGCAGGGCCCAGGAGAGGCCAGGTGCGAGCTCCCAGGTGTCCCCTCCTGGGGGGGGGTCCCATGGACTTGATTCTCCGGCACCCATGTGTGACAACACGTGCCAAGCGAGGCCAGCCAGGAGCCCCCGAGCCTCGGTGACCATGGTCCTCACTGGGCTGGTCTCGTGGACATGGCTGACCTTGGTCTCCACCCTCCAGAGGTCAGGCTGATGCCGTGAGGCCAAGTGCCCACCGTGAATCCCACCATTGCACAGACCAGCTGGGGCTGCCAAGGCCAGGTGAGCAGGGCTGTCCTCTCCGGCAGGAGGTTCCGGGGCAAGGAGGGGCCGGATGTGGGCGCTCAGGGTGTGGAGGAGCCAGCTGCCAAGTTAACCCTTTCCTGCTCACAGCAACAGTGGAAACATCAGAGCCATCTGACAGAGGAAGGTCTCCAAGTACCCCGCCCCGTCCCCATCATTCCTCCCGTCACCTGGGAGGCTTCCAGCCGTGAGGAAGGCGCGACCCGGGCCCTGCTCTCCCGGCCTGCCTGTTTTATCTCCTAGCTCTTGCTGTAAGGGAGGAAGGCTGCGTCCGGCACTGGTTTTCGAATCCCTGCAGGCCCTCGGTCCCCTGTGGAGTCCTCTGGAGGATCCCAGCACCGCTGTGCGTGACCTTGGTCTTGTTGGCCGGCGGGGGCCCTGTGCGTTGTGGGGTCCAGTCGTGGGGGCCGGGTCGTCTCTGAGTCAGGACTGAACCCGAGCTGGGGGTGAAGCCCTGTGTGACCCTCTGCGTCCCCCCGAGGTTCGTTTTCCAGAGGCCTGGGAGTCTGGACCCGGCTGCTGAGCCAGTGCAGGGTGGGGCGAGGGTCTCTCGGGTCCCATCCTCGCCCCATATCAAGGGGTGGCTTTTCTAGCACAGACGTGGGCCTGCGTGTCACAGACGGTCGTCATTTGCCTCCTGAGGTCCTGTCCCGGCTCCAGATGGAAGTCCACACCCCCCGCTCTGATCCATTTCAGCCCAGCTGCAGATCCCGCCGCCCAGGTCTAAACCAGTCAGAGCGTGAAGGTCACCCCAGACCTAGGGGTTGGCTCAGGGCTGGTCAGGTGGTTTAAGCCAGTCCAGTCAGAGTGAATTCTGGAATTACCAGCGGGCCATCGAGAAAAAAACAGGCAGCCTTTTCCCACAAGATGAAACCAAGGCTGGGAGCTGGGGGAGCTGCAGCAACCTTATCATCAAGAGGGGAGAGCTTGGAGCTTCCAGGGTCCCTCACGAAACCCAAGAAGGGGCCAGTGTCTGAACACCTAGATCCAGCTGTTCCCAAAACAGACCCACTTGACTTTGCAATAAATTACCACATGCGTGCACACACACATGCACACGCACACACACGCATGCACGCACACACGCACACACACGCACACACGCGCACACACGTATTTTTAGTTTTTTCTTTAAGCACATCTGAATTGGGTTTTCTGTTCTTAGAGCTGCAGGGGTCCCATTGGATTCCCCCTCTGTGGGATGTGGGACCCCAGGCCTGGCCTTGCTGTAGTGGAGCTGATTCCCCCTCTGTGGGATGTGGGACCCCAGGCCTGGCCTTGCTGCAGTGGAGCTGATTCCTCTTCTGTGGGATCAGGGACCCCCAGGCCTGGGCTTGCTGTAGTGGAGCTGATTCCTCCTCTGTGGGATCGGGGACCCCCAGGCCTGGCCTTGCTGTAGTGGAGCTGATTCCTCCTCTGTGGGATCAGGGACCCCCAGGCCTGGGCTTGCTGCAGTGGAGCTGATTCCTCCTCTGTGGGATCGGGGACCCCCAGGCCTGGCCTTGCTGCAGTGGAGCTGATTCCTCCTCTGTGGGATGTGGGACCCCAGGCCTGGGCTTGCTGTAGTGGAGCTGATTCCTCCTCTGTGGGATCGGGGACCCCCAGGCCTGGCCTTGCTGTAGTGGAGCTGATTCCTCCTCTGTGGGATGTGGGACCCCCAGGCCTGGGCTTGCTGTAGTGGAGCTGATTCCTCCTCTGTGGGATCGGGGACCCCCAGGCCTGGGCTTGCTGCACAGTGGGGGCTCTTGCTCTCCTTTTGAGGGTTCAGCATCCTGCTGCCTCCCCCCAGGTGTAGGTGGCCGCTGCTGTAGGAAACCTGTCTGCCAAGATAAAGTCTGGCAGAAGTGGCCAGTCCCAGCTTTGTTTTTACGTCACAGAGAACGACATCGGGATGAACCTTGACAGAGCCGGCATTTGCTCTATACCCTCACTGATAGAAACCCAGTTTATAGATACTCTGGTTTGAAGGCACACAGCTCTCTGCCTCCTGAATTAGAGAATGTGAATTTTATATAGATATTTACACATGTATTTATATCCCATTTCTTTCCCAAAAAAAGTGAGGAGGCTTTGACACCAGTGACACACACACTCCCACACCCAGCCCACCCCTGCACACGTGGCTGAGAAGCTCGAATGCGAAGGAGGCCTCCTGGCCCCTCGCCTGCCCCTCACGAGCCCTGCCCACAGTCTCTGAGGCTCCACGCCCAGCCTGGAGCTTCCCCGGTGCCTGCGGAATGTATCACAGGGAATTGTTCACGTGCAACAGCCCTCACAAGCGTACCACTTAGAACGCAGACCCCGGTGGACGCTGGGTCTTATCCATCTTCCCAGGAACCACTTTCCTAAAAGGAGCTTGGGTGGAGAGACCCTATCCCGGCGCGGCTCAGCGAGTGTGGCTGGGAAGCGTCTCCACAGTGCCTGGCCTTTCCCTGGGGCCACTGAAGAACCACTGGCTGCAGGCGGCTGGCTGCAGGGGGCTGGCTGCAGGGGCCTGGCTGCAGGGGGCTGGCTGCAGACCACGCATCGCTCCCTTAATCCCTGCAGCAAGGCTTAGAGGCAGAGCCTCTTATTGTCCCATTTTACATATGGGGAAACTGAGGCAGGAAAGGTTAAGTCTCTTTATTCAGATCCCACAGAGAGTAGGTGGCAGAGCGGGGACGTGGAGTCTAGAGATTTGGCAGAAAAAGAGTGGAAACCTCAGTCATTCTGAGGGACCAGACGGGGGTGCAGGCTGAAAGCTGAGCCTGGGAGGGGCTGGGGGGCCACCCTGAGGGGTCTCTTCCCCGGGGTCTTGTCTCCCTCTGGGGTGGGCTCTGTCCCACTCCTTCCTCTGCTGGCTCAGGAGTCTGGGGGCTCCGCCTCCTTTCCACAGCTGCCGCCTGCCAGCCTCCTCCCTACTCTGGGCTGGGGGCACGGCCTGCCTCTGTCTCCAGCCCTCCGGGGAGGACGTGGGGCCCCGTTCCCCTAACCGCTCTCAGAAGCTTCCACGCGGGCCCCTTCTGGACACTTTGCTTCACAGACACAGACAGGGCAGCGGCAGAACTTGCAGATCACAAGGTTCTGTTTTCACCCAGTCTCTGTGCTGCCAGGCCACAGGTCCTCAGGAATGCCTGTGAGGCACATCTGTCTCCAGGGCCTCCTGTGAGTGTCTCCTGTCCTTCAGGCATCTCCTCACCTTGGAGAAGAGACATTTGTGTCCCTCATCCTCCAAAACGAAACCCCTTACTGCTGGCCATCCTGATAGTTCAGTCAGTAAGACATAAAATCCAATTAGAAATGGCTCAACCCAAAAAGGGAATCTGTTGACTCAGGCAACTGAAAGGTGGGGCTTCAGGCATGGCTTGATCTAGGGGATAGTCCAGCCCCTGCCTGCTCTCAGGTTAGATGTACCTTGACTGTCAGGATCCTTGCAGGAAATTGATGGTGCCCTCACGTGGACACAGGCAGAATCCAGGAGACCTGGTGGACACTGGGCATCCAGGAAGTGAATTCAGGAGATTTGGCAGACACTGGGCATCCAGGAAGTGGATCCAGGAGACCTAGCAGACACTGGGCATTCAGGAAGTGAATCCAGGAGACCTGGAGGACACTGGGCATCCAGGCAGGGACCACAGTGAATCCAGGAGACCTGGCGGACACTGGGCATCCAGGAATTGGATCCAGGAGACCCAGTGGACACTGGGCATCCAGGCAGTGACCACGGTGAATCCAGGAGACCCGGCGGACACTGGGCATCCAGGAATTGGATCCAGGAAGTGACCGCACTGGGATGTTCTTCTCCCCACGGCCTGAAGGGACAGGGGTGAGAATCACAGGCGCCCAGCAAGAGCTGGAGCTGCAGAGAGAGGACAGGGGGTAGGGACAGTAACTCTGGAGAGAAGAAACCACTGCCAAGACTGTGGGGAGGGGACAGGGGATGCCCCTCACTCCTTCCACCCTCCAGACTCCGGGGCTGCCTCCCAGAACTGAACCCAACAGAAGCCGGAGGGTGCAGGAGCCTGGCAGGAAGCCCACAGCGGTCGCACAGGGGACAGCATGGGGCTGGGCAGAGCAGAGCCTGTGCTCGGGGAGGGGAGATCCCAGGGAGGAACCGGCCCAGCTCTGTCCTCACGCTCCAAGTCTGACAGCTGCAGCCAGCCGTCCCCACTGAGGACTTTGGACCGTCCCAGCAACCATGCAAGCAAAAGTCTCAGGCGACTTTCATTGGCCCATAGTGGGTCACGTGCTTATCTGGGACCCAGTCACAGCCAGCAGTCTGGGGAATGCCCTTCACTGATTGGTCAAGCCTTGTTAGGCCTTCCCTGTGGGAAATAAGAATAAATCCGCGTTGTAGGGAGCTGGGGAGCAGAGCAGCTGGGGAGCAGCCCCAGCAGAAACCTGGGTTACTGGGGAATGCAGAGCCCCCCGTCGGCCCCTGCCGTCCCACACGCGGCCCTCTCTAGCCCTCTGCAGTGACAGTCACCATGCCGTGGGGTCTGATGGTAGCCACTGGAGGCTGAGTCCTGTTGGGATGGGATGGGCTGGGCTGGGTGATGGGGCAGAAGCCTCCCCGGGGGCGGGCCAGCATCCACACCAGGGGGCAGCGACATTTTCTGTAATGTGTCAGGGCAGAGTTGGGACCTTCAGGGACACCGAATCGCACTCTAGAAGTGACTTCGGGCACTGAGCTTGCATGTCCCTGACCTCCTGTGGTCCTCAGCTGCAGGGCCGACAGCTCCAGGCTCCCGAGGCACGAGGAGGGGTCCCTGCCTGCCCGAGCCCAAGCGGCGTGTGCCGTGGGAACACCCTTTGGTGCTGGCAGCAGTCGGGTCTTCTGTCCCGCGATGGAAGAGCACGCAGGGAAGGGATGCTTAAGTGAGCCCTCCCGATTCCCCTAAACCAGCGGCTGGAGACACAACCAGACGGCGGGCCCCAGCCCCGGGGAGGGCCACTCAGCCTCCACTTCCTCTTGGCTCTCTCCACCGCCCTGAGTCACTGGCCCGCAGGTGTTGGGGACAGTGGGGTCCGGGTCTGGAATGGTTTCTCTGGCCGTGTCAGCACCGGCTCCCGGGGAGGCTGCCTGGCTCAGACCCTCCCGGGCGGGGGCTGTGGATGTAGAGATGACACCATCGGGTTAGGGGCCTCCTGTTCCAGCCTGCTGTGCTGTTTTTAAGTCCTCAAATAACTTGTATGTTTGATGCCTGATTATTTTATTTTTGGTATTTTTTTAAACTCAGAAGTCTGCATTATCCACACCTTGAGACATACCCAGAGAGTGCGACGTGGCGCCCACGCTGTGGTGGGAAGGAGGTTTAAACAGGGTCTTGCTGGAGCCCCTCCCTAGCGAAGCCCTGGACGGCTTTAACCCACTCCCAGCCCCCGGGGGCCTCGGGGAGCCCAGCAGCCTGGCCCCTGCCTACTGTCCCCGGGGCTTCCCCAGAGCCCGCAGGGGCCAGAGAGAGGGGTTAGAATGGGGAGGAGGAGTTTAGAAAAACCAGAGAGGGTGGGTGTGGGAGTGAGGGGGAGGGGGCCGGGGCGGGGGGAGGGCCTCAGAGCTGCTGGCCCTGGTCAGAGGGCCACTGACCGGGTGGCTTATAAACAACACGAGGAGTTTCTCACCATTCTCGAGGCCGGAAGTGCAAGATCAGGGTGCCGGTGGGGTGGGGCCTGGCGCAGGGTCTCTGCCAGGTCGTCAGCAGCTGTCCCCTCCTATCCTCATGGAGTGAAATGGGCGAGGGAGCTTGGGACTCCCATGAGTATGGCACGAATCCCATTTCCCAAGGTTCCCTTCCGGAACCTACGTGCCTTCAGGGCGGCTGTGTGAAGGTGAGTTGCTTCTGGCCCAGTGCTGCCAGCAGAGCCGGGGCCGCGGGGGGAGCCCCCAGCAGTCCTGGAGCTGCCAGGCTGTGAGGCAGCCCACACGCTTCACGCCGGGAGTCGACGTGGATGGGCCCTGGGGCAGCACGAAGAGAGGCGTCCTGCCAGTCCCAGCGCTCCAGCTGCAACCCAGAACCCCCCAGCAGGTCTGCCCCAGTGCCAACCCCAGCAACCGTGGCAGAAAGTCACACGACGGTCTGGTCGCTGCACGAAGCCACACGCTGGAGGCCGGCTATGCAACAAGGACAGGGACATGGGCGAGGAATGGCTCAGACTGGACGTGGCATCGCGGTGACACTTGGGCATGTGATGTTAGCAGGCGTCTGTGGGAGTCTTCCATCCCCTGCAAGCAGCCACGGAAGCTGCATCTTGTCCCACGTGGGTGGATGTGCCTGGCCATTGCAGGCCCCAGCAAGCGTCCATGGATGATTAAAGAAGTAAACAAAAGCAAGCTCAGCCCGGCCCACTTGAAACTCAGACTTGGATTCCCTGCATGGCTTTAACCCCTCAGAGGCCAACTATCCCGGCAGAAACTGCACTGCTGATTGGTTTGGTTTGACAGGGCTGGTCATCGGAAACACACATAGAATGTAGGAGAGTGTGTGTGTGTGTGTATGTGTGCATGCCTGTACATGCGCATGTATCTGCGTGTGTACATGTGTGCATGTATCTGTGTGTGTGAGATGTATGTACATGTGTGTGTGTGTCCACAGATGTGTGTGCATGTGTGGACATGTGTGCATGTGTGTGTGTGTTCTGGCACCAACAGGTGATTCCATCCACTTTCAAACCCAACTCCTCACCACTTTCTCCATTAGCTGCATTACTGATTTCTCTTTGTCAGACGGTAGATGCTTGTCTAATTAGGCAGTGGCTTTAATTATGCCACAAAGCACATAACATAGTCTTGATTATTAAGACTGGCCCATGGGATAATGAAAGGAAGACTGGCAAATCCAAATTAAGCAGAATCATAAAAATGAATGACCTTATCCGAGAAGCCGTCCTACATCCCAGCACAGTAACATGCCCCTGCTCTGTGTTTGCGGACTCCTCATGCATATTAATTGTTTAAGCCTGAGCAGCCTGGCTGTCAGCTCTAATAGATGCAGATTTACCGGATGGCACTTTGAGGAGCTGGGAGCAGGTACCTCAGCCCAGTCCAGATTCCTGATGAAGCTGCTCTGTCTAAAGCCTTCTGCGTCTCGGGTCTGGGATGGGAAGGGAGTAGACGTGGACGGTGAGGATGGGAGAAGCCAGGTACCATCGTGGAGATAGGCGGCGAGCCATGTGGCTTTTCTGCAGGAACAGCTACCAGGTTTCTTTCCTCATCAAGGTTGGGAGCTGCGGCCGGTTCCCCAGCTGACATCTTCCCGTTTCACACGTGCCCGGCTCTGTCCAGGCCTGGGGTCTGTGCCCTGGGAAGGAAATGTCTCAGGGGGAGTGGGACCCTTGGGTGAGCACCAGGGGAATGCACTCCCACTGGGTGGTCTTTGCCTTTGAAGCAGCTCTCCCGGCCTCTCCGGGCACAACTTTAAGCAAGCTTGTCCTTGGTTCATGGAAGCCAACCGGAAAGCTGAGGTTCCTGCCCTGTGGCTTCCTGCTGCAATGTGGATTCACTGGGACCTGCGGGGCAGAGCCGGCTCGATGCCAGGCAGCCCTGGACTCTCTAAGCAGAAAGAGCCTTCTCAGGCCTGGGATCCAGCTCCCCCTTCTCCCACTGTGCGGGTGGCCTGGGATCCAGCTCCCACACACACACCTGGGCACACACACATGCACACGCAGCATCTCACCCACAGACCCAGCACACACCTGGAGACAGATGGACCTCAGACGGACCCCGGCGGCCCAGCCGAGGCGCTCGTGTCACCCATGGCTCCTGTTCATAAGGCGAAGGGCACGCGCCGATCGCAGACGATCACTTCCACACAGACTTGCATTATGTGGGTTTCATTTGCACGAAATCCACCTGGGCTGGACCAGGACTCCTTCAACAGCAAGTGACAGAAAATCCATCTCAAATTGGCTTAAGCTAGAAAGAGAGGCAGTGGGGAGAGAGACAGAGAAGGAGGGAGGGAGGGAAGTGTCCCTGCAATGACAAAGCCTGAGGAAGCCCTGGCGTTGGCCAGGAGGATTCACGGCTCAGGCGATATCATCGGGCCAGCGTCTTGCCAGCTCTCCGTGCTCCTCTTGGTCTTGCTGGCTTAGCCTGAGCCTCCACTGTCTGCAAGAGGCTGCAGCCACTCCAGCCTCACGTCCTGTCTCCCGGAGCCCAGCCAACCTCTCCTGGCTCTGATTGGGCCGTGTGTCTCTCCCTGAGCCTATTGCCATGCTGATTGGCTCAGCCTGGTCCTGTGCCCTCCCCTTCATCCAGGGCTGGAACTCCACCCAGCTACTTAGGGAGTTCCTGCCGGGCTGAGCCCCATGTTTTATGGGAAGGAGGAGGGAAGCGGCTGAGCAGGGCAAGAGCGAAAGTCCACTGCCTGGCAAGGACAGCCTAGACACGGGGGAAAGAAGGGACATGGAGGGGCTGAGCCCTGTCACACGTCATGCCCTGCATGCCGGGCTGGACATGGAGAAGCTGAGCGTGCAGTCTGGAGCTGAGGCTGGGAAGCCCTGATACATGGCTTAGAAGTGAGTTGGTGACAACTGGACGGTTCCCCAGCAGGGGCAAGCACCAGAGTGATGGGAACAGCCCCTGCTGCCAGGAGCCCACGGGGGGAGTGTGCACGTGTGTGCGTGTGTGTGGTGTATCCTGTGTGCACGTGGTATGTTCATAGATGTGTAGTGTCTGTGCATGTGTGCGTGTGTGTGGGGTATGTTCTTGTGTGTGGCATATGTTCATGTGTGCGTGTGTGTGGTGTCTGCTTATGTGTGCATGTGTGTGTGGTGCTGTAGCTTCTAATTCAGCCCAAGCCACAACTTAGACTTTTAATGTTACGTTCAAACAAAACCATTTGGAGACTCACCCACAGCTCTGAGGCTTTGGACGACGCCCGCTCATCACCTGCCTTCCCCTCTGCTGAGTGCAATGAATTCAAGCTCCATAAAGGCCACACATGGAGCCCTGTGTGCGTCTACAGTTCTGGGTCCCGAGATGAGGCGGTGAAACAGCAAACCCACACCCAGAACCCCTGCCCCAGGAGCCCCAGCCAGCAGGAGAGCAGGGCAGGGGTGCAAAGAGCAAGCCGGGGGTGGGGGTGGGAGAGGCAGAGCAGCAGGCTGGAGGCCGGGGCTCTGGTGGGATTTTACGTTGAGCACGGGGTGAGCCTCTTGAAGGGTGAGGGCGTGTGTGGCCATCCAGGTGGGGGTGGGGAGCGCAAAGGCCCTGGGGCAGGAGCAGGCCTGGAGCGCAGGCCACAGAGCCAGGGGCCGGGCGCAGGTGAGTGAGCCAAAGGGAACCAAGAGGGGATGGTGGAGGGAGCGGCCTGGCTGAGCAACCCGGGGCTTTGACCTTCTCAGGGGCAATGGGAAGCCTGGAATTGCATGGGCTGGTGTGGAGGTCACCGTGACCTTGCCAGGCCTGGGGGTGCAGCCGCAGTGCCCAGGGAGGTGAGAAGGGGCTGGCCAGGCTGCCTGTTGTGAAGAGCGGAGAAGTATGAGAGAGATGTGGAGCAGGGCGTCTGGCTTTTCTCTGACCTGCGATGGGCTGGTGGGAGCAGGAGCGAGCTGGCCTCACTGTGAATGTGAAAATGCTGGTTGGAGCACACCACGGTGGGTACTTCCTTCAACGGCTAAATGCGCCGAAGGCCTCCAAGCTTGACAGGGTTGAATTTCCTCCAAGGCCCTGGGAGGGGCGCCCTGTGCTCCCTGGATGGGGCCGACATTCCTGGCCTGTCCCCAGCTGCGTCGCCTCTGCCCAGCCCTCAATCACTGCAGCTCTCAAGTGGTCCTGGGTGCCGTGATCTTGCTGAACTCTGATGCTTTCCAAATACCATAAACTTAGTTTATTTTCTGTCTGACAGAAACGGCGCCACTTAAGTCCTGCAAAGAACCCTCGGGTTCCACTCAGGCTGAGTTATTCGGGGGCCACTGCTGAACGGTTTGCATTTGTTTCCTCTGTGACATCGGAGTGGGGAGGACGCTGCCTCCAGCACAGGGCCAGGGGCCAGGGCTGCTCACACAGAGCTGCTGGAGCCTACAGGGTCCCGGCTGTGGGTCCTGGGCTGCCCGCCCCCAGGAAGGGCACCTTGCCACCATTGAAGTGGGGCGAGCTGATTCGGGCACAGCTGGAAACCAGGAGGCAGCCAGCAGCAGCGGCCCTGAGCAAGAACAGGAACCCCAGGCCGAGGCGGGCGCATCACACGAGACCAGCCTGGCCAACATGGTGAAACCCCGTCTCTACTGAAAATACAAAAATTAGCCGGGCATGGTGGCACCCACCTGTAATCTCAGCTACTCGGGAGGGTGAGGCAGGAGAATTGCTTGAACCCGGGAGGTGGCGGTTGCAGTGAGCCGAGATTGTGCCACTGCACTCCGGCCTGGGCAACAGAGTAGGACTCTGTCTCAAAAATAAAGAAGAAAGAAAGAAGGAGAGTCCGGAAGCCACTGCTGCCCCCACCAGCAGAGTGGAACTGTGATTTCATAGAACAGACACAGCCTGGCAGCGAGAATGACCACAGTGCTCACAGCCACTCAGGTGGAATCTCAGGAACTCAATGTCAGGAGGAGGAGTGGGGCCCTAAGGCCCGTGTGCGGGAGACAGTGGCCATGGCGTCGAGCTCAAAGGTGAGCCGGGTGTGGCTGGGGATGGGAAGGCGTGGCGCAGAGCCACGGGGAAGGCACACGAGGTCCAGAGACGGCAGCCTGCGAAGTGGAGGGAGGGTGGACGCCGGGGTGATCACCCACTTTCCTAGACTGAGCGTTGGGCACAGGCTTTGTATTGCTTCATTCATCGTCATATTTGATGTATGTTTGATAAATATCCCTTTAAAAATTAAAGACAGTTTGTTAATTGAGAAGGGTACTGTATTATGGGTAAAAGAAATTATTTTATGCTAACTAGTGCTGGGTGAAAAATGAGGTGTATGTGTTCCATTATTTCCAATTTAAACAGCAGTTTGTCTACAAAGGTTTGTGATGAGTGTCAGGTGTTAGGTGCACATTAATGGCATGAAGTAAGAGCATTCTCCTGCGGAAAACACAGAAAAGTCCAGAAAGAATGTGCAAGCAACCTGCCCAGGCACTTCCACAGCTGCTGGGTGTCACGGGAAGCCGGGAACTAATTTAAGCGCCCGGCAGTAGGGTGGTGGCGCTGTGATATTTTCTTCTGCACAAGTTTGCTGCAGGGGCATCGTGGAGGGCCTGTGTGGAGCCACCGTCAGAATGCCAAGGAGCACCTGCCCTGACCCTGTCCCGCCCCGCACCATTGCCCACTCTGTCCCGTTGAGGGGGTGCTTCCCTGGGTCGTTGTGAGACCTGGGCCAGGCCCACAGGGTTCTGCTCGCTCGTAACAGAAGCCTGGGTCCCGTGATGAGCAGGCGTGGCCCACAGAGGGGTCCCCGCCGTGCATCTGTCCCCACGGTGCGTCCCCCGACCGCTCTGGGGCTGCTCTGAGTTGGGGGAGCCGGGCGGGGCGTGACGGCATTCTCCTCTCTCCTGTCTCCTCCTCCCCCCGCCCTCGAGCGCAGCCTCTGGCCCTGGCAGTGGCTGGTGACTGGAGTTTGGTCAGTTGGCAAACGTGTCCCCAAGGGTCAGAGACACACACAGTTCACGTGTGGCCGCCCTGCTGAGAACACGTGTGGCCCCACATGGCTGCTGCCGCAGTAACACACACAGCACTGAAGGGCGCACGGGGGACGGGCCCTCCTGGCAGCCACGGCCTCCCACGCGTGGGAGCCTCCCTGCACGTTCTGTGCGGGGCTCTGCTCGCCTTGGGGCCCTGGCCGTCGCTGGCCCTGTTGACTTGGGACCTCGGCCAAGCCTGAACCTGAAACAGCCTTCGGCAGGGTCCATTTACAGACCCCATGCCGGAGCATCACGGCAAGGCACGAGGCCACAGCTGCCCCAACGCCGTTTGTGTCTAAAAAGCAGGGCACAGCGCCAGGCCAGTGTTTTGTGGGCAGACCTGGAGGGACACTTGTCACACCCACGTCGGCGTCACCTCGGGGGACAGGGGCGGGGCCTGAGGGTGGGCGTCGGAGGGAGGCTTGGTGGATCTGTCCTGGCTTCATTGTTTTAAAGAGGACAATCTCTTAATTTTATGGTGTGATAAAATTGGTTCAAAATGGGATAAAGAAACCTGGAAGAAACACACAAGAAGGCAGATGTACAGGTGTGCGGGTGGGAGCGGCGGAGGCAGAGTGACGGGTGGGAGCCGGGCGGGGCGTGGCAGCGTTCTCCTCTCTCCTGTCTCCTCCTCCCCCCACCCTCGAGCCCTGGCAGTGACGGGTGACTGGAGTTTCGTCGGCTGGCAAACGTGTCCCCAAGGCTCAGAGACACACACAGGCTGTTCACGTGTGACCGCCCTGCTGAGAACGTGTGGCCCCACATGGCCACTGCTGCCGCAGTAACACACACGGCACTGAAGGGCGCATGGGGGACTGGCACAGAGTGACGGGCGCAGCGTCTGTCATGGAGAAGCAGCGGACGGCGGCAGCTGAGGCACCTGCTCTCCCCTCTGCTTGATTTTTAAGGACTGTGCTGCTGTTGTCTCGTTCTCTCTGCCCCTGTCTCCTCCTTCCCTCCTTTCTCCCCCTCGCTGTCTCTCTGCTCCATCTCCTCCTTGCTCTCTCTGAATCTCTGCCTCCTGTCTCCTCTCCCACTCCCCTTCCTCCCTGTGTGTGGCAATGACTGACCGTCATCTGCCTCTTATCTTTTCTCCCGCTCTTCCTCCCTGATAGAATTCTGAAATGTATCTGGGCTCCAGCCAGAGTGAAGACCACATTTCCTGGCATCCCTTGCAGGGTGTCGTGGCTGTGGCTGTGGCCGTGGCCGTGTCCGTGGCTGTGGCTGTGGCCATGGCTGTGGCTGTGTGGTCGGGCTCTGGCCGGGAGATGACGGCCGACAGCTCCACCTGGGACCTCAGACACATCCAATCCATTTCTTCTTAAAGAAAGAATTGAAGTCAATTGAAGTCAAATTGAGTTCCTATTGATTACAGTCGTAGACTCAGAACCATTATGTACGCAAGAGCTAACGCGTGAAGCCAGCTGTTCTCAGGGGCTCCTGTCCCTGGGGTTTTATCTCCAGGTGGCACCTGGCAGGGCACAGAGGTGGCATCACCTGCTGGGTACTCCAGGCCCCAGCTCTCTGGTTTGCCCCTGGGCAGGGCTCTGTGAAGCCTGCAGGATTCTGTGCCGGCCTTTGCCTTCTGGAGGAGGTTCCTGGTGATCGTATTTCAGGGAGACACGGGGCTATTTCAGGGAGACACGGGGCCTCTGTGACAACTTCTGTTTCTCACACCCAGGATCAGAGGTGCTCACTGTTGCCAAGCTCAGTGGTTATTGATTCCATAGTTTACAACTGTCTTGGCCACAGTCAATGGACTGTTTTACAAAAGATGTCTGTTCAGCACTATATCCTATAATAGGTGTGACCCTGTTTCATTTCTCGGCCCTAAATGGGACTTGTTCTTGTTGGAATAACTAAACAAGAGCAGTCTCAGGAGCAGTTTTCTTTGAAGAGTTTCTTCCAGAGCGTGGCTCCTGAGACAGAGCTGGAGACCGAAGTCACCTGGGGGTGCCCTCAGTGAGAGGGTCCGTCTGTGCTGTTCAGGCCTCAAAGCTGTTTGTAGAACAGGCTGGGCCTAAGTTATCTGGGAAACTGGCTGATCCCGTGCGCCCATCTCCCTCGCCTGTGTGTGCTGCAGGCAAAGGCCAGGCCTGCATAGCTGGTTAGACACGGGAAAGTGAGCGGCCAGGACAGGGTCCCAGCAGGCGCCACGTGCCACCCCACCGGGATCCGGCCCCACGCGTCTGAGACCTGCCCCAGGTACGCGTTCCCAGCGGCGTCTATTTCACGATTCCGCCCTCGGCCCCGAATCCATGGAGCCAAATTCCTGCTTTCTTCACGGTCACTTCTGGTATTTGAGCTGAAACCATGTCTGACCATGGGCCCAGCTTCCTATGCCCCACCCTCCTGCTCGGAGCAGCACCTGCCCCAGGAAAAGGCCACCCCGCCCTGGGCTCGGGACCGGCACGGGCTCCTCCCTGACGCCCCTCCACCTTCTCTTGCTTTTTCCAGCAGCACCAGACGCAAATGGGACTCCGTGGCTCCCGCCCGGAGGACGCTGCTGACCTCCTGCCCCTTCCTCTGCTCCGCCTGGCGGTCCCGCTCCTCGGAAAAGCTCGCAGCCACTGGCTCTGCTTGCTCTTCTCCCGCGGGGGGCATGGGACCCGCCACGCGTGGAAATCACACTCGACGAGTCCTCCCATCACCAAGCCCAGAGCAAATTCTCGGCCAGCATCTTCCTTGGCCGCAGTCGGGCAGGTGACGCTGCCTCCCGACGCCTCCCCCTGCCTCAGCGCTGAGGCCGCCCTGGGTCCTCCCTGGCTGCACAGCCCACCCTCTGTGCCTTTGCGGAGCTCCGAGGTTGGGGTTCCAGGGCTCAGGCCTTGGCCTCCTCCCTCTGTGTCTTTCAGTCCTGTCTAATGGAGGCAAACAGTCCTGGATGTCTAGCTCTAGCCCTGGCTTGAACTCCAGGCTCAGATATCCACACGTTTTATGTTTCAACAAATGGCCAGATTGTTTTCCAAGCAGCTGCGCCACCTCCCGTCCCCACCCGCCACACGTGGGCGTTCCGGCCCCTCCGCGACCCTCACCGGCGCCGCTTTTGTACGTCGGCTGCACGTCAGCCTTTCCGGTAGCCAGACAGCGGCCCCCGTGTGGCTCCGAGTGGCAGCTCCCTGATGGCCGCCGAGGGGGGCACCTGCGCACGTGCTTGATGGCTGCTTGGGCGTCTTCGGTGGTGACGTGTCTGTTCTGGTCTTTTCCCCAGTTTTCATTGGACATTTTGTTTTCTTACTTTTGTCTTACTTCTGGATACAAGTCCTTTATCAGATGCGTGCTTTGAAAGTATTTTCTCCAGTCGGCTGTGGCTTGGCTTTCTACACCTGAGTGTCTTTCAAAGAACAGATGGTTTTTTATTTTGATAAAGTCCAATTTATCCATTTTGTTTTGTTTTGGATCATGCTTTTGTTGCCATAGTGAAGAAATCTTTGCTTAAGCCAAGGTCACAAAGACTTTCTCCTCTATTCCCTTCCAGGGACTTGATGGTTTTAGGGTTTACATTTAGGTCAATGATCCGTTCTGGGTTAATTTTTGTATGTGGTGGAAGGTACAGATCAAAATTCATTTATCCAGAATAAGAAGTGTTTGTTGCTTGCCAAGGTGTGTGTGTGAGAGCATACGTGTGTGTTTCAGTGTGTGCGTGCGTGTGTAGGGGTGGGTGTCCATGTGTGAGTGTATGTGTGGGTATGAGTGTGTGTGAATGTGTGTATGGGTGTGAGTGCATGTGTGTGAGTACATGTATGGGTTTGAGAGTGTGCTTGTGTGAGATTGCGTGTGTGTGAGCGTGAGTGTGTGTGTGGGTTTGTGTGTGTGAGTGCGCGTGTGGGTTTGTGTGCATGTGACTGCGTGAGTGCGTGTGACCACATGTGGGTTTGTGTGCATGTGTGTTCATGTGTGTTCGTGTGTATCTGCCTGTGTGTGTGCATGTGTGTGAGTTCATGTGGGTTTGTGTGCATGTGTGTGACTGTATGTGAGTGCGTGTGTGTGTGCATGTGTGTGAGTGCATGTGGATTTGTGTGCGTGTGTGCGTGTGAGTGCATGTGGGTTGTATGCGTGTGTGTGTGCATGTGGGTTGTATGCATGTGTGTGACTGCATGTGTGAGTGCGTGTGTGAGTGCGTGTGAGTGCGTGTGTGTGCGTGTGTGTGAGTGCATGTGTGTGTGAGTGTGTGTGCTTGTGTATTTCCCCATTTTCCGAAGCAGTATTATTTCTTCACTTTACTCCTTTATCTATTTCAATGCATCTTTCTCTTTGTCTAGCTTCACACCAGTGTTGCCCTGCCAATGGCTGTGGTACTAAAATCAGTCTTAACTTGAGGTGGTGTGAGTCCTCCCGCTTGGTTCTTTTTCAAGATTGCTTTGGCTCTCCAAGGTCCTTTGCATTTCCACATGAATTTCAGAATCAGCTGCTCAGGTTCTACCGTGAAGCCCTCTGGGGTGCTGGGCGACGGTGTGGGTTCTCCGTGTGCACGGGAGAATGCGTCTTAGCCTCACCAAGGACCCCCGGCTGCTCACCTCCCATCCTCCTGTCTGCTGTTTTTGCCATGGGCCAGCCTGTGTGCTGGAGCGAGTGGCTGGGAGTTTGGTCACATGCCTCCCAGTGTGGCCTGCTCCAGTGGCCCCTGCTTTGGAGCCCACCCCATCCACCCCTGCCACAAGCTGGCGCCATGTGGCCCTGCCTGCCTCCTTCCCCGCCCTGGTTCCCCTGCCTGCCTCCTTCCCTGCCCTCATTCCCCAGCCCTCCTCTCGGCTGCTCAAGCTCTGGGCTCAGGTGTCTTCTTTTTTGTGAGACAAGCCGGCTTTTCCCACTTCCATCCCTCTCTGCGCCCACATGCCACCTCCTCACTGCTCCTCGGGGAGAGAGCTCAACCGCACATCCAGACGCGGATCACACCTCGGGCTGCCCCTTTCGCTCGCTGAGTGGAGGCTGCGTCTGTGACGTTTTATTCTCAGAGACGCCAGGATGCTCACCTGAGTCTCTGCCCCCAGCCAAGGGAGACCCTGAGCCTGTTTAGGGACAGCAGGAAATAATGACAGAGGCTCAGGACCCCCCTCATATCCCCATTGCCCGACTCGGTGGTGGCCCACGCAGCAATGCCGAGAGCAGCCAACGCTGTGCTGGCAGAGCCACCTTGCAGGAGGGGAGGTCCAGGCCCCAAGTCCGAGAGCAGAAGACAAAACATCTCCTGTGGACACTGTAACAAGGAGCCACAAGCAGGTGGCTTCCAACAATGTGAATGCACTGTCCCCCGTTCTGGAGGGCAGACCCCAAGATCACAGAGTGGCCAGAGCTGTGCCCCTCCAGAGGCTTCAGGGAGGATCCCTCCTGCCTCTCCCAGCTTCTGGGGCTCCAGGCTTCCCTGGGCTCGTGGCCGTGCCATTCGAGTCTCGGCCTCCACCTCCACATGGCCTCCTGCCTGGGCCTCCGTGTTGCATTTCCTCTGCCCTCTCTTTAAGGACACCGTCGTTGGATTTAGGACCTGCCCTAAATCCAGGATGATCTCTTTATCAGTGGGTGGCTGGGTCAGGTTCTTGACTTTGCAGCACAAAAGAATTTGAGAGCAAGTCCAAAGCTCAAGTAGGCAAAGAAGTTTGTCACAAAGCAAAGGCGCTGCTCGGAGGGAGAAGCAGCCCCTTAGCTCGAGGGGAGTCCTTTCTCGGGAGCTGTGCATGCACATTCATGAAATATGGTGAGGTCAGGCGTGTAAAGGCAGACAGGCCCGCGGTTGGCTGTGCATGCCTGTTCATGAAATACGGCGAGGTCAGGCGTGTAAAGGCAGACAGGCCCGCGGTTGGCTGTGCGTGCCTGTTCATGAAATACGGCGAGATCGGGCGTGTAAAGGCAGACAGGCCCGCGGTTGGCTGTGCGTGCCTGTTGATGAAATACGGCGAGGTCGGGCGTGTAAAGGCAGACAGGCCCGCGGTTGGCTGTGCGTGCCTGTTCATGAAATACGGCGAGGTCGGGCGTGTAAAGGCAGACAGGCCTGTGGTTGGCACACATGCTCAGTACCTACATGCTCCAACACACACTGCATGTATCATTACATATAGAATCCTCACCTGGGGGTGTGTCTCTTACTATTAAAATGAGCTGAACTTGGAGTGTAACTGTGTGTACAGTGTCCTGGAGAAGCCCCTGGCCCCTCCGAGGCAGGAATGTGTGGCTAAGAGCTTGGTGGGCTTTGGGTGCTGACTGGCTGGAGATTGGGGAAGCTACATCAGGAATAAGGTATCTTCATTGTCTTTCCCGGGCCTGTACCGGGCATCAGGAACTTGTAAGCATCCGGCTGTCGGCTGGTGTCCTGTGGGGCTGCTTACCTTGCGAAGCCTGCTGCAAAAGGGGCCCGGGGGCTTCACACAGGGAACAAGGACGTCAGTGTGGCCTCCTCATCCTACCGATCCTGCCTCAAGCTCATCTCAGGATCCCTAACTCAATTACATCTGCAAAGATCCTAGTTGCAATAAGTCACATGAGGACAGGCCCTTCTGAGATTAAACCCGGGCCAGAAGATGTGTTTCCGAGATCGGAGACAGAGGCCCATGTCCTGCTGACACTGTGTCTTGGGTCGCGGGAGGAGGACACCGTTCAGCCCACCACGGAAGGAAAGGCTTCCACGGGGAGGACCGGTCCAGCCGTCATTTTCTCCCCGTGGCCTCTCCCTCATCCCCAGCAGGAGCGCAGGAGGACAAGGCTGGGGGCTGAACTTCGGGGTGAGCGACTTGCCTTCCTCATTGATGGGCATTTGGGACTTGTTGGAAAATCTTTGCGCTCCTTTATCTTTTTCTTGGGGCTGGGTTGAGCCTTGCAGAAAAGCGAGATTTGGAAGAGTCATCCTGGTCTTCATTGTCTTCCATTTGCCAGCAGGTGGGCGACAGGGAGTTAAATAAAAACGCTTCAACTCCGCGCGTGTGGAAACGACCTGGCAGGATCTCCCTCGTACGACCTGCGAGGCGGACGCGGTTGGGATCCTCATTGTGCCGGAGACTGAGGCTCCCAATGGCTGTCGGTCTCGCCTGTGGGCGCCTGGGCTCGAACCTGGATCGGACCCTGGCGCTGCTCCCTGTCAGGAACATCTGCTGACGGCTGGTCCAGCATCCACGGGCCCCACTTCTAGGAGCCGCACCTGCCAGGCCCTGAGTCCAGCATGACGCGGTGGAGCATAAGCCAATCTGAGTGCCCTATTTCCTCTGGCCACAGCGATTGGTTCAGGGAAGAGCACGTCACCCAATCAGAGCCCAGCAGACACAGGGATGCTTTTCCTGCGTGTCCTGGGAAGACAGGTGGGTTTGCTGCCCTGGACTCAAACCCCTGGAAGGTTTGGACCTGCGGGGACACAGCCTCCGGCCACGCGGACACGGCCTCCGGCCATGCGGACAGGCCTTCCTGAGATTAAACTCAAGCCAGAAGGCTGGAGCCAAGAGAGGCAGGCAGAAGCCTGTGTCCCACTGACAAGTTTTGACCCCCGACCAAGCCGGGCCCGAAACCAAACACACCTGGACTTTTCCTACGGATGAGCCACCAGCCCCCTTCCTGCTTAGGCCATCCCGGCTCGGCTTCTTCATGTTGCTGCTGAGCGGAGAGCAGAGGATGCATCTGGAAGGTTCTGTTGCCCTGATCGCTCCTGGGCTCCTCACACGCTTCTCCGCGTGGCCAGCGTCCCGGGGGCCTCTGCGTCCATCTCTCAAACCTGTGCCATGAGCTTGCAGGGAGGCCTTCTGTTCCATGCAGGCGGCTTGTTTATAAAGCGAGTGGCCGCTGAGATCCATCAATAAAAGGCCGTCGATATTCTGGGGCAAGAAGTGGGTACCGAACATGGATTCTAAATCAAATGAGAGGTCATTGAGAATGAGTGCTGTAGGTGACAGGGATTCTCTGCCCCCACCTGCCCTCGTAAAGTCTGAAGAGGCTGGAGGCCCCCGGGAACGGTCACGCCATAAATCACTTGTCCTTGCTGCTTGCAAGTTCTTCAGCACAGGTGCATGTGGCCCCGCAGCCAGGCCCGAGACGCCTCCTGACCTAGTGATGGAGGGAGAAAGAAGGGTGGAGTCCACCACTGTCCCCCAGAGGCCAGCAGCTTCCTCCACTGCTCCGAGGAGGCGTAGGGGGCAGGCGTGAGTACTTCACGGGCCCAGCCGGTGCCTGTGGGGCCCCTTGAGTCTTCATTTGTCCCCTCATTACACAGATGTTTATAAAGTACCTGCTGTGTGCCGGGCACAGCCTGGGTTCTTGGTATAGAGCTGTCAATGGGACAGAAAAGGAGCTTGCTGTCAGGGCGCTCACGTTCCGGTCACGGGGGGAGACAGACCTGCAGGAACAAACAGGTACAGGGTGTGCGCTTGAGGACGGTGAGGGGGGCCACCCCATGGGACAGGACTTGCCACAGGCTTTCTGAGCAGCCCTGCCCCCCTCCCCCTGGGCTCTGGGAGTGCCTCTGCCCACCACCCCAACTCCAAAACCTCTCCTTTCCAACCTGCAGCCGCTCCTGCAGTCCGTCCTAGGACGTACTTCCTTTCTCAGGACTTTCTGTTTTACACATTTTGCAAGTTCATGAAAACTGTGCAATCCAAGCTTTTTCCTCTACAGATGAGTGGAGTGACGTTTTCTTGTCAGAAAGCATTTTTCTGAGTGATGAAATCTCCCTGGCTGAGCACCACAGCCCAGATAAATATGATGGTGGCGCACAGCCCTTGTCCCTTTGAAATTCTCACCAGAGGCTTGGAA
The DNA here is from genome assembly GCF_000001405.40 of Homo sapiens. NCBI lineage: Eukaryota > Metazoa > Chordata > Mammalia > Primates > Hominidae > Homo > Homo sapiens. Next base: position 132,263,197 of record NC_000012.12, on the reverse strand, counting down.
CCAGCTATGAGCCAGGGCGGGAAGTGGCTGCCTGTGCGGGTGGCTGGCTCCTTGGCTGTGCCCAGCTCCTCGGCTGTGCCCAGCAGCGCCGTCCCCAACGTGCTCCTGAAGCTGATGGCTGGGGTTGGAATCCAAGCACCTGCACTCATGGCCCACAGGGGAGGCTCCTGTCTGTGGAACGGGGACGTTCATCTCCTCTCGGGGTCGCTGTGAGCACGGGGTGGGCACAGGGGCCATGTGTGTGCTGAGTGCTGTGTTACTGTTACTAGTTTCTCTCTGGAACAGCTCTGGCCCCCGTACACCCTTGGCGTCTGGTTGTAGGGTCCAGGCCTTGTCCAGTGACCCTCGAAGGGTGCACCTGGCTCCCGGGGTCCCTCATGCTGCGCCCTGACCACACCCCAAACCGTGTCTCCTGCAGGTGCAGACAGATGAGCTATGGCTCCTGGGGTCCCTCATGCTGCGCCCTGACCGCACCCCAAACCGTGTCTCCTGCAGGTGCAGACAGATGAGCTATGGCTTCCGGGGTCCCTCATGCTGCGCCCTGACCGCACCCCAAACCGTGTTTCCTGCAGGTGCAGACAGATGAGCTACGCCCAGGACCTGCCCCAGGTCTCCGTGGTCTTCATCTTCGTCAATGAGGCGCTGTCGGTCATCCTGCGCTCCGTGCACAGCGTGGTCAACCACACGCCCTCCCAGCTCCTCAAGGAGGTCATCCTGGTGGACGACAACAGTGACAACGGTGAGTGGGCGGGGCCTCGGCACGGTGCTCGCCGGGCGGCTGCCTGTGGCTGGGTTGAGTTGGGGTTGGGTGGAGCCTCCGGGGGCAGAGCGACAGAGGACTGCACCCCATCTGTCCGCAGGGGCTCTAAACCTATGGGGGTCCCTCCTGCCTTCCAGCCTCTGTCATGGCTGCGTACGTGCTGTCCCCAGTGTGTGGCTGCCAGTGCCTCTCTCTGCCTCCATTATGCGGCCTCTCCCATGTGTCTGCATCCTCTCTTCTTCTCATGAGGACCCAGACTAGACACAGAGCTCACCCCAAATCCAGGAGGATTTCATCTCAAGATACTCAACCGGATACATCTACAAAGTCCCTGCTTCCTCTCCTCTCAGGCTCCGGGTGGAGATGAAGTTGGGGTCAGCCACCCCCTTCCACAGAGGCCAGTAGAGCTGAGCTCTCCAGAGTGCCAGTCACGCCTCCCACCTCTCTTGCCCACAGAGGCTCACACCAGAGCTTGGCTGGACAGAGCTCGCAGCTGGAGCCCAAGCCCCATGGTTCCTCAGCGCCACCCTCCTCAGCTTCAGGTCCCCTGAGGGCAGTGCTACTCACACCCTGTAGCACACAGGCTTGAAACCCCAAACAAGGATCTTGCACTGCCCCAGGCCTGTCCCCCATCTGCCCTTCCCAGGCGCAGAGCAGAGAGCCTGCAGCCGTGACACTCCCTCTGGAAATGGAGGAAAACATGGGGAGCCCCTTCCTGACCCCTCGTGGAGGCAGGAGGCTGTGCCATGGGGCTGTGGGGCAAGCTCTGGCCTGCAGCAGTGCCCTAGCCCAGCAGCACCGTCTACACTGGGGTCTGTGTGCAGAGGACTGAATGGCGTGGCTGCCCTCCTGAGCCCTGTCTCGCTGGAGAAGGTGGTGTGTGGGGAGGACCATCCAGTCCAGCTCGGCTACCTGTGTCTTGCCCTTGGCCACAGGGAGCTCCATCAGGACACCCTGCCCCCAGCATGGAAGGCCACGTTTGTGTGTCCACCCATCCATGCATGGACTTGGTTTTTTACAGCTGACTGCAGTCCTGTGTCTCCACAGCATGGGCTGCTGTCTGTCTCTCTGTCTGTCTGTCTGTCTGGTGTGTTTCCTTATTTGCTGTGTCTCCCACTGGAATGTCAGCATCATGAGGCTGGGGTCTCATCTCTCTGTGACCTCCACGCTGAACCACATGTGGTTCAGTGGGTCCTAAGAGAATGTTTACAATACACCCATCCCACACGCGGCACGCAGCATTTCCAGCCTTGGGTCTTGGTGGCCCCGCGCCTGCCAGCACCTGCCAGCGTGCTAAAGTCTTGTCTCTCCTCAGTGGAACTCAAGTTCAATCTGGACCAGTACGTCAACAAGCGGTACCCAGGCCTCGTGAAGATTGTCCGCAACAGCCGGCGGGAAGGACTGATCCGCGCGCGGCTGCAGGGCTGGAAGGCGGCCACCGCCCCAGTCGTCGGCTTCTTTGATGCCCACGTCGAGTTCAACACGGGCTGGTAAGGGCCGGAACAGGCTGGACAGCCAGTCTCAGCGGGTCCCCCTCCACCATCCCCCTCCTAAGCCGCCGTGCGGCTGCAGCCTGGCCGCTGGGTTGGCCCCGGGGCTGGGAGACTCGCCGTAGCCTTCAGGATCTGGGACTGAGAGCCACCACTGAGTCCACCTGTGCGGTTACCTCTGCGGCCTCTCTGTGTCCAGCTCCTGAATGCAAAACCACGGGAGGGCAGGCCCAGCACGCACCCAAGGACATGGCGCTTAGAAGCTCCCAGGCATGTGTATGAGGCTTGGTCTGTGCCCACCTTGCCCCAGGAGAATGTGACCCTGTCCTGACTCCAGCAGGCTCGGGTACCGTGTGTCCCCCGCGGGGTGGGAACCTCAGATCAGGTGGGGTGGGGCTAAGGTGCAGAAGTCCGGCCTCTCAGGCCCTGCTCAGTCACTGGAGATGGCCACGAGTGCCCCCGAGGCCTTAGCCTAGTGCAAGGGGCGTGGGAAGTGAGCTTCTGGGCTGAGGGGGTCACCTTGTGTATGGGGTCCTGGGGCCACCAGCACAAAGCAACCCCTTCTGGGCGGCTCGGAGCAGCAAGACTTCACCTCCTCACCGTTCTGGAGGCCCAGAGCCCGACTCCAAGGTGTGGGCAGGGCCCGACTCCAAGGTGTGGGCAGGGCCGAGTTTCCCCCAGAGGCTCCAGGCCCTTAAGGATCCCTCCCACCTCTCTCAGCTCCTGAGGGCTGCAGCCCCCACCTCCGACCCCCACGCCCTCCCTGTGTCTGTTTCTCCATCCCTGCCTTATGCAAGGACCCTTGTCATTAGAGTTGGGGCAGTCCAGGATGCCCCCAGGCAAACCCCAAAGCCAGCCCCACAGAGGGCACCTACGGGGTCCATAGTGCACTGGGTGTGTTCCCTGCACCCAGGCAGGCCCCGCGCCCACAATGCTCAGGGTGTGTTCCCCGCACCCAGGCAGGCCCCGCGCCCACAATGCACAGGGTGTTCCCCGCACCAGGGCCAGGACCCACCCCTGTCCACCCAACCACAAGGAAGACCCGGGAGGACATTTTCCCCACTTCCTGGAGAAACAAAAACTGAAGATTTAATATCAACTCTCCTGACTCATTTTTCAACTCAGGGAAATATGGGCTGTTGTCACTGCAGGGGGCCTTGGTGGGAAGGGCCAGCTGATGTTTGATCTCAGTGTTACACGGAGGCTGGGACTGTCATGATTGGCTGGGACACCCCACTGCATGTGACCTTGGGCCTCCTGCTGGGTCCCCGGGGAACCTGGCGTTTTGGGGCTTCTTAAAGTCCGTGGTTTCCATAACAGCATCAGTGGGTTCAAGTGGGGACTTGGCACCTCTCAGGCTTCTCCCCTCACACTCGGCTTTCCTGGGGCATCTCAGTCCCCAGCCGGCGCTGTTCTGACAAGACGCTGCCTCCTCTGCCCTGTGCCCTCCCTTCCCCTTCCTCGCTCCTCCGCAGGGCGCTTTCCTTTCCCTCGATGTTTATCAGCTTCTGACGTGTTGTGCATGAATTGTGTTCCACTGTCTGCCCCCCACAATGTCACCCCATGCAGTCGCACACGTTGTGCACTGCACAACTACACCGGCAGCCTTTTAGTCCCTCTGATGCCGGGTAAGCTCCCCGAGGCCTGAGGGCGTCTGGGGGAGCCTTGGGTCTGTCACGTCAAAATGCAATTTTAAACCGGTCCAAATTTAATTTTCACAACTGAAAACCCAGTTATCCATCTGCAAATAGCACCCCCTCCCGTAACTGTCTCCACAAAGGATTCTGCCTTATTAGAAGACCTGGCATTTCCAGGGAGCTTTTCATCTCTGAAGCACTTCGCTAACAGTAATTAATTAATCCTCCTCACAAAGCTGAAAGGCAGGTAAATACCAGGCCTCATGCTCAGAAGGACGGGAAGAAGGGGTGAAGACAGCCGTGTGGTCTCACAGGCAGGGTCAGGGCCTTGCCTCTCCCCATGCCGGCTCTGCCTGAGCCGACCCGAATCTGCCCTCAGGCCATCCAGCCTCTCACTGCAGCCTCTGGGCTCTGTGTCAGCCAGTGGCTGGGTGGCTTTGGCCCTGTGGGTCTCCAGCGTGGACGGCGGGCCTCTGCGGCCATCTCACCTTGCGGTAGACCATGGCGTCTCCAAGGGCGAGGGCTGCACCTGCTTCCCAGGACCCCTGCTTGGGACGGGGAATCGAAGACTGAGCTGATGCCCATCGAGGCTGCTTCTACTCACCTTCCTCTCTGCCCTCCTCGCCCCCCATTGCCCCATCGCTCTGTCCGGCCTCCTGGCCAGCCCTGCAGGCCCATTAGGCACACGCCCGGGCTTCGGTGCAGCTGCCGCACCCTCTGAGACTCCCTCTATGCCTCCTTCCAGTCACTACCCAGGGCAGCCCTACTTAAAACTGTGAGCCCCCTCTACAACATCCACGACTGCTTATACCTCATCCTCCGTCCCGTCCTTGAGCGGGGCCGCTGCACACTCATGCAGGTTCCACTCTGCACAACGGTGCCTGGTGGCTTTTCATCCCACACCGTGCGAGCTCCCCGTGGCACGGATTGTTTTTATTCCTTAGTTCATGATTGTATTCCAATTTGTGGGAACAGGGCGTGGCACATAGTAGATCCTCAATTAATTCTTGCAAATGAATGCAGCTCCCACAGGAGCAGGAAAGGAGAGGAGGGACTCGGGGCTGGGCAGAGAGGGAGACCGAGCTGGGGAGCCCCGTGGTGGACATAGCTGACCTCTTATGGACCCCTGGGCAGCCCTTCAGAGATACTGCAGTTGGGCCAACGTGGCCGGTGTCAGCGTCCCCCAGGGGCCAGTGGCATTCGAGGGGCTACCCCAGCAGGGGTGAGGCCTTGGTCAGGGTGGGTCTGCTGCTGAGAGGGGCCCTTGGGCTTCCAAGGGAGGATGTGGGTCTAGCTCAGCAGGGGGTGGCAGGGCTAGATGCAGACCAGGTGGGGACTGGCCTCCCCTCCCTGTGGGCGAGTGGACCCTCCTCAGGGAATGCGGTGGGCTGGGGCCGCCCCTCCTCACAGCTGTGCCTCCGCAGGGCCGAGCCCGCACTGTCGCGGATCCGAGAGGACCGGCGTCGCATCGTGCTGCCAGCCATCGACAACATCAAGTACAGCACGTTTGAGGTGCAGCAGTATGCGAACGCCGCCCATGGCTACAACTGGGGCCTCTGGTGCATGTACATCATCCCCCCGCAGGACTGGCTGGACCGCGGCGACGAGTCAGCACCCATCAGGTGAGCTGCGCCCTCAGGGGTCGAGGGCGGCCCTGCCCGGCAAGGAGCGGAGCAGAGCGAGGCGGGCGTGGGGACGAGGGCCAGGGATGAGGGCCGGGGACGAGGGCTGGGGACGAGGGCGTGGGGACGAGGGCGTGGGGACGAGGGCGTGGGGATGAGGGCCGGGGACGAGGGCGTGGGGATGAGGGCATGAGGACGAGGGCCGGGGACGAGGGCGTGGGGACGAGGGCCGGGGATGAGGGCATGGGGACGAGGGCTGGGGACGTCCCCCAGCAAGCACAACCTGGTGCAGGGGCTGAGCAGAGACCACGGTGAGTGTCGGGCCGGGTGCTGGGGCCCCTGGGCTTTGCCATAAAAACTTGGCACACAGAGCTTGTCTGTATCACAGAGATGCAGACGCAGCCCTCAGGGTTCACAGGAGCCAGTACTAACGGCTTGAAGGTTATTTTTCTTCATTCAAAATGCACTTGATAATCCCCAATTAGCAGGAAAAGGATCGCCTTGTGTTTGACATTTTAAAAATCAGTGAAATTCAGAGAACCCAATGGGAGGCACCTCCCACAGTTTTTGGCAGGCTCTGGATGCCCTGAGCTGTGGCAGGAGCAGGCTCACTGGCCCCATCAAGTCTTCAAGGCATGGCTGCCCCCCTGCTCCTCATAGCCACCACCTGGACAGCTGCTGAAGCCCCCCGTTCCAGCTCTCAGCTAAAGGACAGGGCGCGACATGAACAGACACTACCCAGGAGAAGACTGGCCTGCGCCAGCAAGCTCATGAAATGTGCTCCCCACAGTCCAGGGAGATGCAAATTCAACCCACAGTGAGATGGGGCTCTGTGCCCACTGGGGTGGCTGAAAGGTGCAGGCTGACAATACCAAATGTTGACAAGGACATGGCACAGATGCAACTCTCGGACATGGCTGGCAGGACTGTGAATCGGTGCAGCCACTTTGGAAAACCGGCAGCTCCTTCTGAAGGCCCGAAACCCACTCCAGTGTCCCCCCTTCCAGTGTCCCCCCTCCAGCGTCCCCCCTCCAGTGTCCCCCTCCAGCGTCCCCCCAGTGTTCCCCCTCCAGTGTTCCCCCTCCACTGTCCCCCTCCACTGTCCCCTCCAGTGTCCCCCGTGTCCCCCCTCCAGTGTCCCCCCTATTCCACTCCCAGGTGTTTTTCTCAAAATAAATGAGACATGCGTACATGCAAAGGCTTCCACACAAACGTTCACAGCGGCGTTACTCACAGTAGCCTCATATGCGTCAGCAGGTGAATGGATGAGCAGGGCAGACTCCACCCACATCACGGAATACTTAGAAACAGGGAGGAGTGGACCCTTCCACACCTAACAACGTGGTGAGATGTAGAGGCTCATGCTGAGCCTCGGAGCCACACATGGAAGAGAGTGTCTGCGTGATTCCTGCACACAGAATTCCACGGAAGGCAAAATTCATCCTGGGTGGAGGCTGAGGGTCGGGGCTCACAGGGAAGGGGCCTGCCTGGGACAGTTCCAGGGCAGCAGTGTTCTCTGCTGGAAAAGGATGGGGTCACCCAGGGGTCTCCATCAGTCAAAATGGGCCAAAATGCAAAGATCACATGGATGCATTTCATTTTATATAAATTTCACCCCTCAAAGTTGATTTTAAAGAATAAATGAAATATTAAGGCAGGTGCGGTGGTTCATGCCTGTAATCCCAACACTTGGGAGGCCCAGGTGGGTGGATTGCGTAAACTCAGGAGTTCGCCCTCCCTCATGGGGACAGAAACAGCAGACAGCCGCAACGAGATGGGGCCATGTTAGAAGTTCCAGGACGGCTTCCATGGTGGACACCCAGCGTGAAGATCGCAAAGGCGCATGTGGGTCCACGCGGTGTTGTCATCGCGGCCGGTGCCCCTGCGTTCCATGCTTAGCGTGCAGGCGTGCAGCCTGCTGGATGTGTATGTTTTAGGGAGAAGGAATCAATGCACACATGTCAGGTGTGCACTGGTTCAGTCCAAAAGGCGGGAGGACCGGAAGTGGGGACTTCCAGGCCATGGGCGGATTCAAAGATTTTCTGATTGGTAATTGGTTGAAAGAGTTAAGTTATTATCTAAAGACCTGGTATGAATAGAAAGGAGCATCTGGTTAAGATAAAGGGTTGTGGAGACCGAGGTTTTATGATGCAGATGAAGCCTCCAGGTAGCGGGCTTCAGAAGGAGCTTCAGAAGGAGGAGATTGTAAATGTTTCTTATCAGACTTAAAAAGGGGCCAGACTTCTGGTTAATCTTGTCTGGATCAGAAAAGACCTCCAAAAGAAAGGGAAGTCTCTACAGAATGTTGAGTTCCCCCACAAGACACAGCATTGCAAGCCATTTCAAAATACATCAATGAAATACATTTTGGGGTAAAATACTTAACTTCTTTAGGGACCTGCTAACTGTCATTTTGGATGCATTTTATCTCTACAAAAGAGTCTGTTTGGTCAGACTTAACATCTGTGTTTTAGTGTTCCAGAATTCCAAAGGGAGGAGAGTCTAAGGGGCTTGTCCAAACCCTCTTCCCATCAGGACCTGAGCTCGTTTTCCTGGGTTACTTTGGGGTGCCCTTGGTTGAGAAGCGGCTCCATTCAATTGGTTGGGGGTCTTAGAATTTTATTCTTGGTTGACAGAACCAATACTTAATCATTTTCACTTGAAATCTTATTTTATGTGAAAATGATTTCTACTCTTTTTGAAAATTGGAAGATTCTAGGCCCCAATTCTTACTCAGTCATGATGAACTGAAGCTGAGCTGTGGCTGCTCCCTCGGACAGAGCAGAGCCACAGTCACCACCTGTCCCAACAGCCGCTCCCGGCAAGCCCATCTGTCCTGTATTGTTTATCATTTGCTGATGCTGCTGCTCCACTTGGGGAAATAATTCTCTAGAGCTGGGTCCTTACGGGAGAGGGAGAATAGGGACAGACCAAGAGGACTGACTATTTCAAGAGAAAGAAGATGAAGGCTTTGATTTCACCATGTTCAACAAGTGACACTAGCCCTCTTCTCTCTTGTACTTTACCTGCCTGACCTTCGTGTAAGTTTGTCTGTCAAAACTCACCCTGGAGGATCAAAGTCTGGGCGAGAGCCCCATCAGAAATCAGCTCCCCACTCACTGGAGGATCACAGAGTCACGTGCTGGAGCCCTGTCAGAATCACTCCTCTCGCATAGAGGATCAGAGTCAGAGACATGAGCCCTGTCAGAATCACTCCCCTCATGCTGGAGGATCAGGAGTAATAGGCGAGAGAAAAAAATAAGAAGGACACGATGCTGATCATCGCTGAAACTGAGAACACATTCTGCTCATCTTTCTCCTTTTGCATACACTTGAAAATTTCCATAAAAGTAAATATGCATATTAAAAGCAGCGGAGGGGCCGGGTGCAGTGGCTTACGCCGGTATTTCCAGCACTTTTGGGAGGCCGAGGCGGGTGGATCACCTGAGGTCAGGAGTTCCTAGCCTGGCAAAACCCTGTCTCTACTAAAAATACAAAAATTCGCAGGGCGTGGTGTCAGGTGCCTGTAATCCCAACTACTTGGGAGGCCGAGGCAGGAGAATTGCTTGAACAGAGGAGGCAGAGGTTATAGTGAGCTGAGATGGTGCCATTGCACTCCAGCCTGGGCAACGAGAGCGAAATTCAGTCTAAAAAAAAAAAAAAGAAAAAACAGTGAAGGGCATTTTCAAGGATGTACAGCAGGGGTCAGGGAATCATGGCCCACAGTCCTGTATTTGTAAATAAAGCTTTATTGACACACGGCCATGTTTCCTCATTTGCATATCAGGGCAGAGGGGAGCAGCTGCCACCCAGGCTTCTGGCACAGAGCCAAGACATTTACACACTTGCCCCGGGCAGAGAAAGTGTGGGCCCTGCTCCAGGACGGCATTTCCGTGATCTCTTTGGGGAATGGAACTTTAGGTGCAGGGATAACCACCTCACTTTTTAAGTCCTAACAATTTTCACTGTGGGCAAAGGATTACCTAGGTGCCGAGGCAAGAGACTGAAGGCACAAACTTTCAGTATAATAAAGAAAATAGTTAGAATAAGAATAATCATAATACAAGTCAGATATAGAGATGATCATGGACAATTATCAATCATTATTATAAACATTATTAATCATTAGCTTTTAATATTACTCTTTGTTGCATTACTAATATAATCTAGGAATAACCTGAGGGTATAGGGTCAGGTGCTGAAGGAACATTGTGAGAAGTGACCTAGAAGGCAAGAGGTGAGCCCTCTGTCATGCCCGCATAAGGGCCGCTTGAGGGCTCCTTGGTCAAGCGGTAACGCCAGTGTCTGGGAAGGCACCTGTTACTTAGCAGACTGTGGAAGGGAGTCTCCTTTCCTTGGAGGAGTCAGGGAACACTCTGCTCCACCAGCTTCCTGTGGGAGGCTGGATATTCTCCAGGCCTGCCCGCAGTCATCCGGAGGCCTAAACCCCTCCCTGTGGTGCTTCAATGGTCACACTCCTTGTCCACTTTCATGCTCCTCCCGCACTCCTGGTTCCTCTTTGGAGTTCGTAGTAGATAGCAGAAGAAGAAATAGTGGAAGTCTTAAAGTCTTTGATCTTTCTTATAAGTGCATAGAAGAAAACGCTGACATTTGCTGCCTTCCCTCTCTGCTTCAGCTACCTAAAAGGGAAGGGCCCCCTGTCCTGTGATCATGTGACTTGCTTCACCTTGTCAATCACTTAGAAGATTCACCCTCCTTACCCTGCCCCCTCGTCCTGTATGCAATAAATATCAGCGCACCCAGCCGTTCGGGGCCACTACTGGTCTCCGTGTCTTTTTTTTTTTTTGAGGCAGTTTCGCTGTTGTTGCCCAGGCTGGAGTGCAGTGGTGCGATCTCGGCTCACCACAACCTCCGCCTCCCAGGTTCAAGCGATTCTCCTGCCTCAGCCTCCCTAGTAGCTGGGATTACAGGCATGTGCCAGCACGCCTGGCTAATTTTTTTTGGTATTTTTAGTAGAGACGGGGTTTCTCCATGTTGGTCAGGCTGGTCTCGAACTCCCGACCTCAGGTGATCCGCCTGCCTCGGCCTCCCAAAGTGCTGGGATTACAGGCATGAGCCAGTGCGCCCAGCCAGGTCTCCGTGTCTTGATGGCAGTGGTTCCCCCCAGGCCCAGCTGTTTTCTCTTTATCTCTTTGTCTTGTGTCTTTATTTCTGACAATCTCTTGTCTCTGCACACGGGGAGAACACCCGCTAAGCCCTGTAGGGCTGGACCCTACATTTCACTCTTTCCATTGTGGATGCAAACTCTTTCTAAAACGTGGCACGTGCTTCTCTGCCTTCTCAGAAACAGTTTTTAAATAACATTAAATGTCAGTGTCGGCGTCCGCAAGACACGAAGGCTTCAGTCGTGGCGGGGATGCGGCTGCAGGAGGTGCCCATGTGCCTGGGACTCTCTGCCCTTCCTGCGTTCACAGCCGCCTGTGGCTCATCTTTGGAGGCCTCTTTGCTCCCTGCAGAGTTGAAGCACCTGAGCTTCAATGGGACAGTCCTAGGCAGGAGTGTGGCCTCACTGCCTGGGCCTGTGGAGGTGGCTGCCCTGTTGGCCTCCACCCTGTTCTAGTCCTCTTCCTGCTCCCCTGCTCCTTTCTCCCAGACAGACGCTGGGGACCATCCTCATCACGGAGGATTCCTGGGATCCCAGTTAAGATCCGGCACCCCCATCACGTGAGCAAGGTGGGAGAACGGCAGGAAGGACAGGCAGCCTGGCAGGCGGGGGGCAGGCCTGGGGGAGCTGGCTCTCATCGGGGCTGCTGGTTCAAGTGTGACTTCGGAGGACACCTGGGGACATGTGTTCCTCCAGGAAGAGGTGGGGCCCCCAGGCTGTGGGTGCCCAGAGGCTGCTGATGTGCCACCAGCCCCTCCAGGATCAAGGGCTGTGCTGACACCAGGCCTGCCCACCTGAGAACCACTCGGAAATTATTCCCTCCAAAGCTCTGGAACCCCAAGCACTACCTCCATTCCCCAGGGCCCTCCAGCTTGCAGAGCCCTGTCTGCCGGGGGCTGGGCCTGCGGGGAGGAGACCCCTGATTTTCTCCTTCACCCGAGGAACAAAGAACAGGGTGCTGTCCCTGAGACCTCTCCTGGTCAGAAGAGGACCTGGGAGGGCGGTGTGGGCCCGGAGGAGTCCCCTCTGAGAGCTGGCCTTGCAGAGCCCTGAGCTCCAAGGATTTAAGGAGTCAGCGACCCCAACCCCATTGACAAGCCACACAGAAACGAGAGCAGCCGCTCCCCTCCCCGGAAAGCGGATGCCGGGAGCCCCCCAAGACGCAGAGCACCGGCCTGTTTCACAGCTTCCTGCCCCGTAACCGGCGTCGTGAACTGGACATGCCTTCCTGTGCTTTTCATCCTTAACGTACTCCAGTTTTAATTTTAACTTTTCGTTTCAGTGCCTCTGATTGAAGGTGGCAAGTGTTGACTGAAACCAAAGTTAAAATTGTATCGATCGAAATTCATAAAATCAAATGAATGTGAAAGAAATGTAAATAATCAAGCTCTCGGGTGATGTTTCCATGCGTTTGTGGCTCGCACATCTGCACGTACGTGTACCGTGTGCCGGTCACCGCTTGGGTCTTGCACGGCGAGGTTTCAGTGTGCGTTATTCTCGACGTGTTCCAAACTCCGTGTGGAAGGACGCGGCTCCGGTGCCCTTGTCTTAGCTTCTCCGTGGATTGTGTCTTACGCGCGCGCTGCTGTTTACGTACCTATCCCAGGTTCACGGGCACCGGGCTCACTAGGCCTCCCTGTGCACGTGTGCAGGCGACAGGTCCACCGCAGGCCTCCGGGGATGTGGGTCCCGACTCCACCCACACGGGCGGTGCCCACCGCCTCCTCGCCGTCTTACCTCGGCATGAGCTGAGCCTTTGTTGTTGTTGTCGTTTGAGACGGAATCCCCTCTGTCACCCGGGCTGGAGTGCAGTGGCGTCATCTCAGTCCACTGCAACCTCCGCCTCCCAGGTTCAAGTGATTCTCCTGCCTCAGCCTCCCGAGTAGCTGGGATTACAGGTGCACACCACCACGCCCGGCTAATTTTTTGTATTTTTAGTAGAGATGGAGTTTCTTCATATTGGCCAGTCTGATCTTGAACTCCTGACCTCAGGTGATCTGCCTGCCTTGGCATCCCAAAGTGCTGGGATTACAGGCGTGAGCCACTGTGCCCGGCCACGTTGGCTTTTCTTGTTATCAGGGTCTGTGGAAGATCAAAGCACTCAATGGGCCATTGGTGAAACTCATATAACACAAATCAACCACACTAAAGTGGGCACCTCTGCGGTGTTTCGACCATCACAGTGTCGTGCAGCTGCCACCTCCGTCTCGTTCCAAAGCATTGTCCTCCCTCCCCGTGGGGACCCCACACCCACGAGCCGCCACTCCCCGTTCCCCCCGCCCCAGCCCCTGCATCCACGAATCCACTTCCTGCCCCCGTGGACTTGCCTCTTCTGTTCCTTGCATGCGGACGGAGTCACACGGGGGGCAACCTCTTGCACCTGGCTCCCTGCCCTCGGTGCCACGTTTCCAGGGTTCCTCCACGTCGCAGGCTGTGTCAGCCTCGCTCCTTCCACTGCAGAATTGCGGTCCACAGCCTGGATGGGCCACTCTCCATGTATCCACCTGTCCCTCCGTGGCTGCTGGGCTGAGTCGCTTCTGATGCTAACAAGAGGCGTCCGGCTGGACTAAGGCCCCGGAAGCTGAGAACTGGAGGGCAGGTGCGGGCATCGGGCAGAGCAGCTCCAGCAGGCAGGACCTGGGGCCTCCACCCTGCACCCCTGTGCCCCGCGTGTGGCGGAACCGCCCCGAGGGGAGGCTGTCACCACGGTGACAGGCAGCCCCACGCGAGCCTGAGAACCCTCAGCCCACCTTTTTCTGTAATCACAGCAGGCATCTCTCCGGCAAGTCAATCCAGTTCCAGCTGGTGCTGCCTCCCTTGCCTCATGGGCTTTATTTTAGAACTCTGAGCAATAATAAAAAAGACGCTACCCGCTACAATAGATGTGGCAGAGAATCTGGCTCTTCACTTCATCAGAGATCACCCTGAAATGATGGTTGTTGTTAAGAAAACAGGAGAAATACCTGTTGTATATGATAAACTATAACTTACCCAATCAAAGGTTGCTATTAAAAATCAAGGGGGGGTATTAAAATTTCATCACTGTTAGGTTTGTGGCCGAAATCTAATGACAGAACAAATTGGATCTTTGCACAAATAAAAGGACAATTGCTTTTTAATGCTCCTGCTATTCTTGGACAATCGATGGGCATTTATTTCTGACTGCTGAGTCTCTGGGGACAGAATTGCTTCCTTTAAATTATGACAGAGGCCAACTTTTGCTGTTGTTTTTATGGAAGAACGCGTTGATACGCAGAGGAGGATCAGGGAAGCTCAAGGCCTGCAGGGCGGCCTGCCGTGGCATCTGGGGATAGCGTGAGGCTTTGCTGCTTCCTCTGACAGCTCCTGAGGCCTCAGAAGAAATGAAGCTCTCCACGGACAAGGAAATTGTTTTGAGGCAAAATCTTTCAGCAAAGATGAGAAGTTCCTCCTTCCTTACAACACACAGACTCTGCCTGCTCCTTGCTGGAGATGTGATTTTCCTGCCTCTTTTTCAATCCCCGCCACCTTCCAGACACCCAGTAGAAACCTGAGAGGGATGAGTGAATGAGCTCGCACGTCGCGTGGCCCACAATGGCACACCAGCTTATCCTCCCGCTCCACTCTGCAGATCCTGCCTTCACTGCTCCGCAGATCCTGCCTTCACTGCTCCGCGGATCCTGCCTTCACCACTGCTGTCCATGCAGCCTCTTCCCAGGGGATTTGCAGCACTGATGCACTCTCAATACATATTAGAAAAAATATAACTAGCATACCAATGCATGATTTCACAGAGATGGGGCCAGGCTAAGTCGGCTGACGTTTTAGAATTATTACAGGAAGTATAGTACAGCTGGCAGTCTGTGGCACATAGCTGCACAGGCTGTGCACTCAGCTCCAAGCTGCGTCGTTCAGAATCTGTCATCAACAAGGTTCTGTGGAGTTGAGCAGTGCACAGCCTACGCAACTGCCCATTGCAGTCCTGGCTCCTGATACACAGTTAGGATGAAGCATGGGGGAGGCGGGCAAGTGACTCACTCGAACTTGGGAAATGATGTTCAAGGCAACCACAGAGCTCCTTAGGTAAACTGATCTTTTTTCAGGGGAGAGGGGAGACAGGATCTCACTCTGTTGCCCAGGCTGGAGTGTAGTGGTGCAATACCAGCTCACTGCAGCCTCAATTCCCAGGCTCCAGTGATCCTCCTGCCTCAGCCTCCCTAAGTGCTGGGATAACAGGCGTGAGCTACTGTGCCGGCCGATTGATCTTTTTTTAAACCTCCTACACTAAGCTGAATTGAATGCGGGTTCTGTCATCTGTTGGCATTCAGCATTTGGACGCTGTCTGGGCTGAGGGCTTAACCAGGCTCCAAGGGACTCAAGTCCTGGTGGCTGGAGGAGCAGCGGCCCCTCACCTTGAGCACAGGGACCTGAGTGCACAGGGAGGAGGCACAGGAGGGAGGGGTGGTGGGGTCTTCCAGGCTTTCCTGGCTCATGGCCCAGCAGGCAGGGCTCAGGCCTGCATGGCGAGGTCCTCACGCCGCTGTCTCTGCCTCCCAGGACCCCAGCCATGATCGGCTGCTCCTTCGTAGTGGACCGCGAGTACTTCGGAGACATTGGGCTGCTGGACCCCGGCATGGAGGTGTATGGCGGCGAGAACGTAGAACTGGGCATGAGGGTGAGTGCGGCCCCGGTGTCCAGGGACAGGGTGAGGGCGAGTGAGGCCACAGCGTCTGGGAACAGGATGAGGGCGAGTGAGGCCGCGGTGTCCGGGGACGGGGTGAGGGCGAGTGTGGCTGCAGCGTCCGGGGATGGGGTGAGGGCGAGTGCGGCCACGGCATCTGGGGACGGGGTGAGGGCGAGTGAGGCCGCGGTGTCTGGGGACGGGGTGAGGGCGAGTGCGGCCACGGCATCCGGGGACGGGGTGAGGGCGAGTGCGGCCATGGCGTCTGGGGATGGGGTGAGGGCGAGTGTGGCTGCAGTGTCCGGGGACAGGGTGAGGGCGAGTGCAGCCATGGTCTAGGGACAGGGTGAGGTCCAGGGCTCCTGCTCAGCGCACTGAGCCCTCTCCAGAGCCTAGGCTGAGGCAGCTGGAAGCCAAGCTGGGCGGCCAAGGCTCCCAGGGTCCCTGAGCTGGAGTTGGGGACAGTGAGATGGGGCTACCCTGAGTCTTGCTAGAAGCTCAGTGGCAACATCACTGAGAAATTTTGTAGAATCACAAAAGATGGCATTTCCCATGTCTACTTTATTTTTCATGCCCTTTGTTTTGCTGTTTATGAATTGCCCCCAGGTGACAATGGATTGGGACCTTGGAAAGGTGGGTCCTTCGGCACAGAGGGTGGGTGTGAGGCTCTGAGCTCGGCCGGGCTTCTGCCTCCCGGGACTGTGTCTGTGTGAGGCTCTGAGCTGGGCCGGGCTTCTGCCTCCCGGGACCGTGTCCGTGTGAGGCTCTGAGCTCGGCCGGGCTTCTGCTTCTTAGGTTTTTATTTTGGAGGTTGCGGGTTTTTTATTTTGGAGTTTCGTTTGGTTTCCTTTGTGTTTTGCCCATGGGGCTTCTATTCACAGAAAAGAGTTAAGGCTAGTTTTAAAAATTTATATGTAGTTTATTAAGTTGCACCTTTCAAAACCTGTGCTGTAAGCTTGCGGTTCACTTTAAAGATCGTACTATCGTGGACACAAATTCAATCAATAAAACGGCCTCCTTCCCCGTGGCCGCGATTGTTTAACTCAGGTTGGGCAGATTAAATAATACTGTGAGGCCGGGCACTGAGGCTCACGCCTGTAATCCCAACACTGTGGGAGGCAGAGGTGGGTGGATCATGAGGTCAGAAGTTCGAGACCAGCCTGACCAGTATGGTAAAACCCTGCCTCTACTAAAAATACAAAAATTAACCAGGCATGGTGGTGCATGCCTATAATCCCAGCTACTCAGGAGGCTGAGGCAGGAGAATCACTTGAACCCAGGAGGCGGAAATTGCAGTGAGCTGAGATCGCATCACTGCACTCCAGCCTGGGTGACAGAGTGAGACTCCATTTCAAAAAATATATGATAAAATAAAATAAAATAATACCGTGAAACAGAATTCACTGCTTTTGTGCCTTTAAAGTCCCTTGAGCCTTTTAAAAATGGCACTTACAAACATAGTGTTTTATTTTCTTTTAATCACTTTGAATGCCTGATATCATACCAGAAATCCCCCCGACCAAGTGCTTTAAAATATCTAGTTTAATAAATTGAATTGAGACCAGATCTGTGAAGGATGTCAGGACTGTTTGCAGGTGCCTTTAATCCTCTCATCCTGTCCGATTTTAAACTGCACATCTAGAATCAATCCTCAATTACACATTTTTAAAATGGAAGCTGGAAGTTAATCTGGCAGGTTCTTTAATATTCTGACTTCCCTTAACTGCTGTGATTGTTAAACACCAGACCTTGGCGGGTCGGCCGTGGATTGAACGCACCCACGCGGGTGTCGGCTTCTCTCACCGTCTCCCCTGATGCTCACCCTGTGGGGCAGGAGACCAGGCCAGCAGTCAGGGGCCTAAGAAAGCCGAGGCCCTCAGAGGGATGGAACGCACCGCAGAGACGAGGAGGACAGCCTGGGGAGGGTGCCGGGGACCGGCAGTGCGCAGCCACCACCGAGGCCGAAGAGCGAGGGAGGACGGGACCCCTGGGGTGGAGGGCACCCAGCAGATGTGGTCCTGGGGACAGAGCCACCGTCAGTGAAAGACAAGTCGCCTCAGCAGGAAGGGCCCAGGGGAGAAACACGCCCACCTCCCCTCCAAACAAAATCGGCTCCCGTGGGCCAAACCCAGCTGCAGTGAGAGGAGGTCCCAGGAGGCTGGGTCGTGGGTGCATCCCAGGCTCAGGCTCAGAGCAAAGCCGGGACGACAGCGAACCTGTGTGGTGGGCGAGGGTCAGCAGGCCGGGCTGGGGGTGTGGGTGCTGGACCACGGAGGGCCCTGGCTGGGCGAGGGTCAGCAGGCTGGGCTGGGGGTGTGGGTGCCGGACCACGGAGGGCCCTGGCTGGGCGAGGGTCAGCAGGCTGGGCTGGGGGTGTGGGTGCCGGACCACAGAGGGCCCTGGCTGCAGCCGTTGGAGAGCTTCCCTCCCGTCTCCATGACACATGGGCCTTTCTTTTTTTTAAGACAGAGTCTTACTCTGTTGCCCAGGCTGGAGTGCAGTGGCACGATCTCTGCTCACTGCAACCTCCACCTCCCGGGTTCAACTGATTCTCCTGCTTCAGCCTCCCAAGTAGGTGGCACCACAGGCACATGCCACCATGCCCGGCTAATTTTTGTACTTTTAGTAGAGACGAGGTTTCACCATGTTGATCAGGCTAGTCTCAAACTCCTGAGCTCAGGTGATCTGCCCGCCTCTGCCTCCCACAGTGCTGGGATTCCAGGTGTGAACCACCACGCCTGGCTGACATAGGGGCCTTTCTGATGGCCTGACTCCTCCGCGGGGCAGGGGAGCCTGTGTCACCGCGGGTTCTGTCTTTCACCTTCATCCCCTGACAAGGCACAGCTGTGGCCGCGCCCAGCGTTTACTCCACTCCCTGACCTCCCTGCCCTCCCTGCCACCTCTCCCCCGACCTCTCCCCCTGACCTCTCTCCCGTCCTGGGGGCTTGAAAGTTTTCACCTTGGTGTCCTGTCTGGCGGTCAGAGGTTGCTCTACGGTGGGAGACAGGCTGAGAACCAGAACCCAGTTCTCCTGGTGAGGGACAGGAGACTCACCTGTCCCCATCACCACGCCCCCGTCCAACTCCATCACCATGCTGCCCGTCCAGCCCCATCACCACGCCCCCGTCCAGCCCCATCACCACGCCCCCGTCCAGCCCCATCACCACGCCCCCCCATCCAGCCCCATCACCACGCCCCCCCGTCCAGCCCCATCACCACGCCCCCATCCAGCCCCATCACCACGCCCCCGTCCAGCCCCATCACCACGCCCCCGTCCAGCCCCATCACCACGCCCCCCCGTCCAGCCCCCATCACCACGCCCCCATCCAGCCCCATCACCACGCCCCCATCCAGCCCCATCACCACGCCCCCGTCCAGCCCCATCACCACGCCCCCGTCCAGCCCCATCACCACGCCCCCGTCCAGCCCCATCACCACGCCCCCGTCCAGCCCCATCACCACGCCCCCCCGTCCAGCCCCATCACCACGCCCCCATCCAGCCCCATCACCACGCCCCCGTCCAGCCCCATCACCACGCCCCCCCGTCCAGCCCCATCACCACATCCCCCGTCCAGCCCCATCACCACGCCCCCGTCCAGCCCCATCACCACGCCCCCCCGTCCAGCCCCATCACCACATCCCCCGTCTAGCCCCAGCCCTGCCGGGCCCTCAGATGCTGACCACCGCTTTCCAGTCCCCCAGCTCCTTCCCTCCTCCCACCTTGTGCTCTTGGCCCGTGGAGGCACCGCAGGCTGTCTTGGCCCGTGGAGGCACCACAGGTTGTTGGAAGCTGCACCGTGGTCCGAGTGGCCGGCCCGAGGCCTCACTCTGCCGGTGTCGAGAACTGCACGTTGCCGCCCCTGAGGTTGCACTGCCCCCGTCTGTCCCTATGCCCCTAACCACACATCCCTAAAGCTTCCCTTCATTAACATCTTTACTGTTGAGCCCAGTAGGGTGAACTTTCTTTCTTGTGGGGTGTGGCGGACACGGGACTCTTCCAAAAAATATTTAGGATGCAAAGCTGGCAAGAGACGGTGATTGACGGGTGATTGGCCGGTGATTGATGGGTGATTGACGGGTGGGCTGGGACAGCGGCTGATTCCCAGTCCCCAGGCAGGCAGGGCCTTCATAGGGACAGAATGCCAGCCGGTGCGTGGTGGCATGTTGGGGAGAGCCACGATGGACACGTGGAGTTCAGTGGCCCCAGGACAGCCAGGTGGGGCTCACAGTTGGGGTTAAAGCCTGAGAGGCAGAGTGGGGGCTATGCAGAAGCAGTTTGAGGGGATGACAGAGGCGGGAGAAATAGAAATAGAACTGGGGTCTCCTGGGAGCCAGACGAAGAGACGTGGTGTCTGGAGGGAAGGACCAACAACACCAGAGCTGCCCCTACGAACCCAACTTCGTTTCCCCAAAGAGTGGATGCCCTGACCTTCAGGTCGGCCAGGTGGGGCCCCCACCAGAGAGAGAGAGCTCCGGAAGACGAGGAGGACTGGGGCCCCCACCAGAGAGAGCTCCGGAGGACGGGGAGGACTGGACACTGAGGCCACTGGGGGCCCTGATGGCCCCCCGGGAAGGGTGTGTGGTGTGTGTGTAATGGGTATAGGGAGGGCCCCGGGAAGTGTGTGTTGTGTGTGTAATGGGTATAGGGAGGGCCCCGGGAAGGGGGTGTGGCGTGTGTGTAATGGGTATAGGGAGGGCCCCGGGAAGGGTGTGTGGCGTGTGTGTAATGGGTATAGGGAGGGCCCCGGGAAGGGGGTGTGGCGTGTGTGTAATGGGTATAGGGAGGGCCCCGGGAAGGGGGTGTGGCGTGTGTGTAATGGGTATAGGGAGGGCCCCGGGAAGGGGGTGTGGCGTGTGTGTAATGGGTATAGGGAGGGCCCCGGGAAGGGGGTGTGGCGTGTGTGTAATGGGTATAGGGAGGGCCCCGGGAAGGGGGTGTGGCGTGTGTGTAATGGGTATAGGGAGGGCCCCGGGAAGGGTGTGTGTTGTGTGTGTAATGGGTATAGGGAAGGCCCCGGGAAGGGGGTGCGGCGTGTGTGTAATGGGTATAGGGAGGGCCCCGGGAAGGGGGTGTGGCGTGTGTGTAATGGGTATAGGGAAGGCCCCGGGAAGGGGGTGCGGCGTGTGTGTAATGGGTATAGGGAGGGCCCCGGGAAGGGGGTGTGGCGTGTGTGTAATGGGTATAGGGAGGGCCCCGGGAAGGGGGTATGGCGTGTGTGTAATGGGTATAGGGAGGGCCCCGGGAAGGGGGTGTGGCGTGTGTGTAATGGGTATAGGGAGGGCCCCGGGAAGGGGGTGTGGCGTGTGTGTAATGGGTATAGGGAGGGCCCCGGGAAGGGGGTGTGGCGTGTGTGTAATGGGTATAGGGAGGGCCCCGGGAAGGGGGTGTGGCGTGTGTGTAATGGGTATAGGGAAGGCCCCGGGAAGGGGGTGTGGCGTGTGTGTAATGGGTATAGGGAGGGCCCCGGGAAGGGTGTGTGTTGTGTGTGTAATGGGTATAGGGAGGGCCCCGGGAAGGGGGTGTGGCGTGTGTGTAATGGGTATAGGGAAGGCCCCGGGAAGGGGGTGTGGCGTGTGTGTAATGGGTATAGGGAGGGCCCCGGGAAGGGGGTATGGTGTGTGTGTAATGGGTATAGGGAGGGCCCCGGGAAGGGGGTGTGGCGTGTGTGTAATGGGTATAGGGAAGGCCCCGGGAAGGGGGTGTGGCGTGTGTGTAATGGGTATAGGGAGGGCCCCGGGAAGGGTGTGTGTTGTGTGTGTAATGGGTACAGGGAAGGCCCCGGGAAGGGGGTGTGGCGTGTGTGTAATGGGTATAGGGAAGGCCCCGGGAAGGGGGTGTGGCGTGTGTGTAATGGGTATAGGGAGGGCCCCGGGAAGGGGGTGTGGCGTGTGTGTAATGGGTATAGGGAGGGCCCCGGGAAGGGGGTGTGTTGTGTGTGTAATGGGTATAGGGAGGGCCCCGGGAAGGGGGTGTGGTGTGTGTGTAATGGGTATAGGGAGGGCCCCGGGAAGGGGGTGTGTTGTGTGTTTAATGGGGATAGGGACGGCCCCTGGAAGGGGGTGTGTTGTGTGTTTAATGGGTATAGGGAGGGCCCCGGGAAGGGGGTGTGGCGTGTGTGTAATGGGGATAGGGAGGGCCCCGGGAAGGGGGTGTGTTGTGTGTGTAATGGGTATAGGGAGGGCCCCGGGAAGGGTGTGTGTTGTGTGTGTAATGGGTATAGGGAGGGCCCCGGGAAGGGGGTGTGGCGTGTGTGTAATGGGTATAGGGAGGGCCCCGGGAAGGGGGTGTGTTGTGTGTGTAATGGGTATAGGGAGGGCCCCGGGAAGGGGGTGTGGTGTGTGTGTAATGGGTATAGGGAGGGCCCCGGGAAGGGGGTGTGGCGTGTGTGTAATGGGTATAGGGAGGGCCCCTGGAAGGGTGTGTGGCGTGTGTGTAATGGGTATAGGGAGGGCCCCGGGAAGGGGGTGTGGCGTGTGTGTAATGGGTATAGGGAGGGCCCCGGGAAGGGGGTGTGGTGTGTGTGTAATGGGTATAGGGAGGGCCCCGGGAAGGGGGTGTGGCGTGTGTGTAATGGGTATAGGGAGGGCCCCTGGAAGGGGGTGTGTTGTGTGTGTAATGGGTATAGGGAGGGCCCCGGGAAGGGGGTGTGGCGTGTGTGTAATGGGTATAGGGAGGGCCCCTGGAAGGGGGTGTGTTGTGTGTGTAATGGGGATAGGGAGGGCCCTGGGAAGGGGGTGTGGCGTGTGTGTAATGGGTATAGGGAGGGCCCCTGGAAGGGTGTGTGTTGTGTGTGTAATGGGTATAGGGAGGGCCCCGGGAAGGGTGTGTGGCGTGTGTGTAATGGGTATAGGGAGGGCCCCTGGAAGGGTGTGTGTTGTGTGTGTAATGGGTATAGGGAGGGCCCCGGGAAGGGGGTGTGGCGTGTGTGTAATGGGTATAGGGAGGGCCCCGGGAAGGGGGTGTGGCGTGTGTGTAATGGGGATAGGGAGGGCCCCGGGAAGGGTGTGTGGTGTGTGTGTAATGGGTATAGGGACGGCCCTGGGAAGGGGGTGTGGTGTGTGTGTAATGGGTATAGGGACGGCCTTGGGAAGGGTGTGTGGCATGTGTGTAAACATGTATAGATCATACTGCACATTCCAATTCTGCTGGTGATCAGGTTCTGGTAACTTCCCAGGAAACAGAAGGGTTCCAGCAAGATAAGGTAAATTATAAACAGAATAAAAGAGGAAGAAAAACACGGCAGAGAGTGAAGAGGAGCAGGTCCGAGGCCCATAGAGCACAGCCGAGCCCCGGGGCCACGCACGGAGCCCACAGCCGAGCCCCGGGGCCACGCACGGAGCCCACAGCTGAGCCCTGGGGCCACGCCAGGCCCACAGCAGCACTGCCAGCGACTGGAGTGAGTGCCGCCCGGGGTCCGAGCTGGGCACGGCTATTCTTGCTCCGTTCTGAGGGCTGGTTCTGAGGCCATGTCTGCGCTGAACAAGTGGAGGCTGGAAGCCAAAGGGTCCCTTTCACCAGCCACCTGGCCAGCATGGGGTGTACAGTGGGGTCTCCCTGCAGCCCTGGAGTCTGCCGGCCAGAGGCCAGAGCCGGGCCGGGGCTACAGGGAGGGGCACGGTGACCCCCAGCCCGATGGCGGCGCCTGACTTGGTCATATTCCAGATCCCTGACCTGTAGGGCGACCACCCCACTCAACCCCGCCATTTAGAGAGGAGATTCCTCTCAAGCAACGTCCCCTAAATACGCTTGTTCTCAGTGGAGCAACTGTTGAATATTAAACAGCAATGATTTAAGACCACACATCCTGATAGGCCCCAAGGGGAGCAGTTCTATAAACTGCCCAAGGACTGTGGATCTTCCTGTGTTTAGAGCGGCGGGCCTGGGTTGGGGAGCCACTCTTCACCTCTGATCACTCCTCTCCCCAGACACCAGACAGCCTAGCAGCTCCCAGGCAGGCGGCTGCCTGAGGCCAGGCCCCTCACAAGAAATGATTCCCCTCTCTCTGCATCTCTCTCTGTGGTCTGTCTCTCTGTGTCACTCTATCTCCTTGTGTCTGTCTCTCTTTGTCTCTCTCAGTCTTTCTGTGTCTCTTTATCTCTGTCTCTGCATCTGTCTCTGCCTCCCAGTCTCTGCCTCATTCTCTCCATGTCTCTGTCTCTGTCTCTCCCAGTCTTTTTGTCTCTCTGTGTCTCTTTGTCTCAGTCTGTCTGTATCTCTGTCTCTTTGTCTCTCTGTCTCTCTCTGTCTCTGACTCTGTCTCTGACTCTGTCTCTCTGTCTCTCAGTCTCTCAGTGTGTGTGTCTCTCTCTGTCTCTCTGTGTCTCTGTCTCTGTGTCTCTCTGTCTCTGACTGTCTCTGACTCTGTCTCTCTGTATCTCAGTCTCTCAGTGTGTGTGTCTCTCTCTGTCTCTCTGTATCTCTGTCTCTTTGTCTCTCTGTCTCTCTCTGCCTCTCTGTCTCTGACTCTGTCTCTCTGTCTCTCAGTCTCTCAGTGTGTGTCTCTCTTTCTGTCTCTGTGTCTCTGTCTCTGTGTGTCTCTCTCTCTGTCTCTGACTCTGTCTCTGACTCTGTCTCTCTCTCTCAGTCTCTCAGTGTGTGTCTCTCTCTGTCTCTCTGTGTCTCTGTCTCTGTGTCTCTCTGTCTCTCAGTCTCTCAGTGTATGTGTCTCTTTCTCTGTCTCTGTGTCTCTCTGTCTCTCTCTCTGCCTGTCCCCCACCCCCACACAGCTCCTGGGTTCTGACAGATGTCAATGCTGTGTGGCCCCCACCCCCACATGAAGATAAAAAATTCTCCCTCATCCTGAAAAGTACCCCCGTTCTCTTCTAAGCTTTCTGATTATTTCAAGAGGAAAATCTAGGCCAGGTTCTAGAGCACCTCTGATGCTGAACAGTCTCACCTTTCGAGCGGCCATCAGACGACAAAGCCTTCCAGACTGTGGTATCCAACCACTTTAACTGCGGTGTGTATCTTATTGTATTTATTTGTACAGTTATCTCTCATTTTTGGCAAGAGATAATGGTCCTCTCCTAAGGCAGTGATAAAGAGTTTCCTGTTAAAATTCATGCAGTTATCCTTTGGGTGGATTTAAAGACGTGTGTTAGGTAAATGGTAGCACGTCCCTGGGCGGGTGGCCTGCAGATGAGGGGGCGGAGGAATCAGGCTGTCATTCTCCTGGCCCCTCCCACAGCCCTGGGGAGGAGCTGAGGCCCAGAGAGGCTGAGTGACCTGCCCAGGGCCACGCAGCAGATGGATGTGAGACTCACACTCAGGCCTGCCCACCTTCGCCTTCCACTGGCCCAGGTGCAGGTCAGCCAGGCCAGGAGTCCCCATCCCTAGGGCAGCCCCTCCCCATGCCACGGCCCCGCCCTCTGGCCTGTCCTGGGCATCTGCAAAACCGTGGTCTCTCTGGCACCAGCAGTGGCACAATGTCCAGGAGACCTTGACACCATGTCGCCCCTGCGGCTGCTGCCCCGGCCTCCACTCCCCCTTACAGGAAGCCGTAGTAGGGTTATGAGTGCGCCGTCTCCACGTCCCCCTGCCCGGCCCCTCCTGAAGCCCCCCATCCAGCTCTGTCCCCCTCGCCAGTGACCCCAGAGCTACCTGCAAAGGGGAGTCCTCGGTCTCCGCCGTGAGGGACCCAGCAGCCGGCCGTGTCCCTCATGGGCTCTGGGATGACGCCCCCTCTCTCCCCTCTCTCCTGGGTCCTGAGCAGCCCCTGCCCGCGTCCTTAGCCTTGGAAGCATCAGCCAGGCTCGTTGCTGTAAGGTCATGACTATGTCCTTCAAGCCACCGAGCTGTGGAATTCGTGGCGGACGGCAGCCACAGGAAACACACGTGACCTCCACCTGACCTTGGCTCACCCACTGCAGAGTCCTTGCCTGGCTCCCCGTCTGCTGGGGTCACAGATGTTTCCTGAGGGCCTGGGTCTAGGCCGCACGCTGGGGAGAGGTAGAGGCCCTGAAGCTGGAGGGCAGCAGGGGCAGGCCTGGCACGGGGGTCCCTCATGCAGAGGTTTTGGGTCACATGCCACAGATGGAGGGTTCCACCCCCCAACCTCCACCGCAGGCCTGGCAGATGCCTGTCCGCTCGGGTCAAGCGCTGTCCCGGGCTTGCTTCCATGCCACGTGGTGAGGCTGCGTCAGGCCCCACCAATTCTGCACAGGTGGCCCCGAACTGAGCACATATTTCCTTTGCCTGAGCAGAAGGGAGGGGACCCCATCCCCCACCCACGAACCACCACACTGGGCATCTCCTGCAGAGGCAGCTGTGGGCAGGTGTGTGGTGTGAGCAGGTGTGTGGTGTGAGCAGTTACTGGCAGGTGTTAGCAGGTGTGAGCAGGTATATGCAGTTGTGAGTAGGCGTAGGTAGGTACAGGCAGCTGTATGCAGGTGTCAGCAGGTGTGGGCAGCTGTGTGCAGGTGTAAACAGGTATGGGCAGGTGTGAGCAGCAGTGAACAGGTAAAAGCAGGTGTCAGAAGGTGTAGGCAGGTGTTTGGGCAGGTGTGAGCACCTGTGTACGGTATAAGCAGATGTCAGAAGGTGTAGGCAGGTGCAGGCAGCTGTGAGCAGGTTTGGGCAGGTGTGAGCAGCTGTGAACTGGTGTGGATGGGTGTGAGCAGGTGTGGACAGGTATGAACAGGTGTGGACGGGTGTGATCAGGTGGCCTGGGGCAGCTGAGGGTACACGGCAGATACAGGAGCTCCACGTGAAGGCAGCCAGACTCCAGGTCAGGACACAGCCAACCAGCCCTGGGTCCCACACTGCCTGCACAGCCTCAGCAGCCACAGTCCCGAGAGACCTGGCCGCTCCACACTGGGGTCAGGGCAGCCCTGGGCTCCCTGAGAGATGGAGGAGAAGTCCAGTGGAGAAGAGGACCTGGGCGGAATCCCATGGGCCATGGAGCACCCGGAGAGATCCAGGATACGAGGGTTACCAGATTGGATGAGGATAAGAACAGCTGTGGGGCCTGCGGGAGGAAGCCAGGCTGTGGGAGGCCACACGACCAGCACCCACATGGCTTTCCCATCCCGATGCCACAAAGACCACAGCCAAACCAACCCTGGGAAAACGGGCATGAGGGGCCGCCATGCCCAGGATAGACCACAGGGATCACCACTGACTTGAAATTGGGGGCACAGCAAGACTTAGACACGGGAGACCCCCAGGAGGCGTGGCTGGCCGAGGCCAGGCTTGATGCCCCGAAACCTTACACCTTGCGAGGCTGGGCGATCTTCGGGATGGCTTTGGTTTTCGCTGATTATTTTAACCAGGTACAGATAAGGGTGGACTCTTGAAGGAAATCAAAGTGCAAGTTTGGAGCTTGAAAGGAAAGATAGAAGAAAGGAAAGAAGGTGGGAAGGAAGGAAGGGGAAAGGGCTGGGGGAGGGAGAGACGCCATCCCCCCACGTCTGTGATGATTTTGCAGAGCTGACTCCCTGGCAGCCGTGATGACAGGTGCTATGGGGCCTCAGGGAGCTCCGCAGACGCTGTGGGGTCTTCCCCTCCGGTTCCGAGGCCCCCTCCAGAGACACCAGGCCTGGAGCCCGCAGCCCCCACACTGGATGTGGCTCCCTTGGCCCCGACCCAGGCCCACCGCGACCCCCACTCCAGGGCCATGGCCCCCACCCGCTCCCCGCCAGCCGCCTGTCGGGGCTGTCATTGCTGATTTATTCACGAGATCGATGCCTGGGGGAGGGAGGCTGGCATTTGCTTGTATTTGAAAGGCCCGTCTGACCTTGAACTCCAGCCCAGGGGATCTTCTGCCCTGTCCCGAGGGTTGAACTCCAGCCCGGGGGACCCTCCTGCCCTGTCCCGAGGGTTGAACTCCAGCCCGGGGGACCCTCCTGCCCTGTCCCGAGGGTTGAACTCCAGCCCGGGGGACCCTCCTGCCCTGTCCCGAGGGTTGAACTCCAGCCCGGGGGACCCTCCTGCCCTGTCCCGAGGGTTGAACTCCAGCCCGGGGGACCCTCCTGCCCTGTCCCGAGGGTTGAACTCCAGCCCGGGGGACCCTCCTGCCCTGTCCCGAGGGTTGAACTCCAGCCCGGGGGACCCTCCTGCCCTGTCCCGAGGGTTGAACTCCAGCCCGGGGGACCCTCCTGCCCTGTCCCGAGGGTTGAACTCCAGCCCGGGGGACCCTCCTGCCCTGTCCCGAGGGTTGAACTCACTCCAGCCCGGGGGACCCTCCTGCCCTGTCCCGAGGGTTGAACTCCAGCCCGGGGGACCCTCCTGCCCTGTCCCGAGGGGCTGGCCGCCAGGGCCGCTGGGGGCTGAGCAACTGGCTCTGGCTGCTGTGGGGTGGGTGGAAGGGCAGGGTCTCCCCCTTCCCCAACTCCATGCTGACCACCCTGGAGGGGCACTTCAAGGGGGTTTGGAAAGAGGTCGGGTACCTTTCCCCACCTCCGAGCTGTGCCCCAGCTTCCTTCTCTTCTGAGCTCCAGTTCCCGCAGCCGGTGCCCCCCAACACTCTCTCCCTCTGCTCTCTCCTCCTGTCCACCTCTCCTCTAGGACCCTGGGTTCAAATCTTGGCTCTACCCCACACAGTTTGTTTGGAAGCTGCCTGATTCCCAGTCTCCGGGTCCCAGCTCCAATGACCACACCGTGCACAGCGCCCACCGCACCCGGCTCCTCACTCCTCCAGCACTGTCCTCTGCCCCACACACTCTGAGCTTGTGGGCCAGCTCCACGCTGTCTCCTCTCTCACGCCATCGAGTGTGTGGCACTAGGGGCTCCACGCTGTCCCTGTCACCCCATCGAGTGTGTGGCACTAGGGACTCCACGCTGTCTCCTCTCTCACGCCATCGAGTGTGTGGCACTAGGGACTCCACGCTGTCTCCTCTGTCGCCCCATCGAGTGTGTGGCACCAGGGACTCCACGCTGTCTCCTCTGTCGCCCCATCGAGTGTGTGGCACTAGGGGCTCCACACTGTCTCCTCTGTCGCCCCATCGAGTGTGTGGCACTAGGGACTCCACGCTGTCTCCTCTGTCGCCCCATCGAGTGTGTGGCACTAGGGACTCCATGCTGTCTCCTCTGTCGCCCCATCGAGTGTGTGGCACTAGGGACTCCACGCTGTCTCCTCTGTCGCCCCATCGAGTGTGTGGCACTAGGGGCTCCACGCTGTCTCCTCTGTCGCCCCATCGAGTGTGTGGCACTAGGGACTCCACGCTGTCTCCTCTCTCACGCCATCGAGTGTGTGGCACTAGGGACTCCACGCTGTCTCCTCTCTCACGCCATCGAGTGTGTGGCACTAGGGACTCCACGCTGTCTCCTCTGTCGCCCCATCGAGTGTGTGGCACCAGGGACTCCACGCTGTCTCCTCTGTCGCCCCATCGAGTGTGTGGCACTAGGGGCTCCACACTGTCTCCTCTGTCGCCCCATCGAGTGTGTGGCACTAGGGACTCCACGCTGTCTCCTCTGTCGCCCCATCGAGTGTGTGGCACTAGGGACTCCATGCTGTCTCCTCTGTCGCCCCATCGAGTGTGTGGCACTAGGGACTCCACGCTGTCTCCTCTGTCGCCCCATCGAGTGTGTGGCACTAGGGGCTCCACGCTGTCTCCTCTGTCGCCCCATCGAGTGTGTGGCACTAGGGACTCCACGCTGTCTCCTCTGTCGCCCCATCGAGTGTGTGGCACTAGGGACTCCACGCTGTCTCCTCTGTCGCCCCATCGAGTGTGTGGCACTAGGGACTCCACGCTGTCTCCTCTGTCGCCCCATCGAGTGTGTGGCACTAGGGACTCCACGCTGTCTCCTCTGTCGCCCCATCGAGTGTGTGGCACTAGGGACTCCACGCTGTCTCCTCTGTCGCCCCATCGAGTGTGTGGCACTAGGGACTCCACGCTGTCTCCTCTCTCACGCCATCGAGTGTGTGGCACTAGGGACTCCACGCTGTCTCCTCTGTCGCCCCATCGAGTGTGTGGCACCAGGGACTCCACGCTGTCTCCTCTGTCGCCCCATCGAGTGTGTGGCACTAGGGGCTCCACACTGTCTCCTCTGTCGCCCCATCGAGTGTGTGGCACTAGGGACTCCACGCTGTCTCCTCTGTCGCCCCATCGAGTGTGTGGCACTAGGGACTCCATGCTGTCTCCTCTGTCGCCCCATCGAGTGTGTGGCACTAGGGACTCCACGCTGTCTCCTCTGTCGCCCCATCGAGTGTGTGGCACTAGGGGCTCCACGCTGTCTCCTCTGTCGCCCCATCGAGTGTGTGGCACTAGGGACTCCACGCTGTCTCCTCTCTCACGCCATCGAGTGTGTGGCACTAGGGACTCCACGCTGTCTCCTCTGTCGCCCCATCGAGTGTGTGGCACCAGGGACTCCACGCTGTCTCCTCTGTCGCCCCATCGAGTGTGTGGCACTAGGGGCTCCACACTGTCTCCTCTGTCACCCCATCGAGTGTGTGGCACTAGGGACTCCACGCTGTCTCCTCTCTCACGCCATCGAGTGTGTGGCACTAGGGACTCCACGCTGTCTCCTCTGTCGCCCCATCGAGTGTGTGGCACTAGGGGCTCCACGCTGTCTCCTCTGTCGCCCCATCGAGTGTGTGGCACTAGGGGCTCCACGCTGTCTCCTCTGTCGCCCCATCGAGTGTGTGGCAGTAGGGACTCCACGCTGTCTCCTCTGTCGCCCCATCGAGTGTGTGGCACTAGGGGCTCCACGCTGTCTCCTCTGTCGCCCCATCGAGTGTGTGGCACTAGGGACTCCACGCTGTCTCCTCTGTCGCCCCATCGAGTGTGTGGCACTAGGGGCTCCACGCTGTCTCCTGTCGCCCCATGGAGTGTGTGGCAGTAGGGGACTCCACGCTGTCTCCTCTGTCGCCCCATCGAGTGTGTGGCACTAGGGACTCCACGCTGTCTCCTCTGTCGCCCCATCGAGTGTGTGGCACTAGGGACTCCACGCTGTCTCCTCTGTCGCCCCATCGAGTGTGTGGCACTAGGGACTCCACGCTGTCTCCTCTGTCGCCCCATCGAGTGTGTGGCACTAGGGACTCCACGCTGTCTCCTCTGTCGCCCCATCGAGTGTGTGGCACTAGGGACTCCACACTGTCTCCTCTGTCGCCCCATCGAGTGTGTGGCACTAGGGACTCCACGCTGTCTCCTCTGTCGCCCCATCGAGTGTGTGGCAGTAGGGACTCCACACTGTCTCCTCTGTCGCCCCATCGAGTGTGTGGCACTAGGGACTCCACGCTGTCTCCTCTGTCGCCCCATCGAGTGTGTGGCAGTAGGGACTCCACACTGTCTCCTCTGTCGCCCCATCGAGTGTGTGGCACTAGGGACTCCACGCTGTCTCCTCTGTCGCCCCATCGAGTGTGTGGCACTAGGGACTCCACACTGTCTCCTCTGTCGCCCCATCGAGTGTGTGGCACTAGGGACTCCACGCTGTCTCCTCTGTCGCCCCATCGAGTGTGTGGCACTAGGGACTCCACGCTGTCTCCTCTGTCGCCCCATCGAGTGTGTGGCACTAGGGACTCCACGCTGTCTCCTCTGTCGCCCCATCGAGTGTGTGGCACTAGGGACTCCACACTGTCTCCTCTGTCGCCCCATCGAGTGTGTGGCACTAGGGACTCCACGCTGTCTCCTCTGTCGCCCCATCGAGTGTGTAGCACTAGGGGCTCCACGCTGTCCCTGTCACCCCATCGAGTGTGTGGCACTAGGGACTCCACGCTGTCTCCTCTGTCGCCCCATCGAGTGTGTGGCACTAGGGACTCCACGCTGTCTCCTCTGTCGCCCCATCGAGTGTGTGGCACTAGGGACTCCACGCTGTCTCCTCTGTCGCCCCATCGAGTGTGTGGCACTAGGGACTCCACGCTGTCTCCTCTGTCGCCCCATCGAGTGTGTGGCACTAGGGGCTCCACGCTGTCTCCTCTGTCGCCCCATCGAGTGTGTGGCAGTAGGGACTCCACACTGTCTCCTCTGTCGCCCCATCGAGTGTGTGGCACTAGGGACTCCATGCTGTCTCCTCTGTCGCCCCATCGAGTGTGTGGCACTAGGGACTCCACGCTGTCTCCTCTGTCGCCCCATCGAGTGTGTGGCACTAGGGACTCCACGCTGTCTCCTCTGTCGCCCCATCGAGTGTGTGGCACTAGGGACTCCACGCTGTCTCCTCTGTCGCCCCATCGAGTGTGTAGCACTAGGGGCTCCACGCTGTCCCTGTCACCCCATCGAGTGTGTGGCACTAGGGACTCCACGCTGTCTCCTCTGTCGCCCCATCGAGTGTGTGGCACTAGGGACTCCACGCTGTCTCCTCTGTCGCCCCATCGAGTGTGTGGCACTAGGGGCTCCACGCTGTCTCCTCTGTCGCCCCATCGAGTGTGTGGCACTAGGGGCTCCACGCTGTCTCCTCTGTCGCCCCATCGAGTGTGTGGCACTAGGGGCTCCACGCTGTCTCCTCTGTCGCCCCATCGAGTGTGTGGCAGTAGGGGCTCCACGCTGTCTCCTCTGTCGCCCCATCGAGTGTGTGGCACTAGGGACTCCACGCTGTCTCCTCTGTCGCCCCATCGAGTGTGTGGCACTAGGGACTCCACGCTGTCTCCTCTGTCGCCCCATCGAGTGTGTGGCACTAGGGGCTCCACGCTGTCTCCTCTGTCGCCCCATCGAGTGTGTGGCACTAGGGACTCCACGCTGTCTCCTCTGTCGCCCCATCGAGTGTGTGGCACTAGGGACTCCACGCTGTCTCCTCTGTCGCCCCATCGAGTGTGTGGCAGTAGGGGACTCCACGCTGTCTCCTCTGTCGCCCCATCGAGTGTGTGGCACTAGGGGCTCCACGCTGTCTCCTCTGTCGCCCCATGGAGTGTGTGGCAGTAGGGGCTCCACGCTGTCTCCTCTGTCGCCCCATCGAGTGTGTGGCACTAGGGACTCCACGCTGTCTCCTCTGTCGCCCCATCGAGTGTGTGGCACTAGGGACTCCACGCTGTCTCCTCTGTCACTCCATCGAGTGTGTGGCACTAGGGTGAGTCTCTGTCACTACTTTTCCAGTGCCCAGAAGAGTGTGAGGCTCAGCAGAGTCTCACCAAGACGTCCCGAATGGAGGTTGGGAGCCCTGCAGTGGCCTGCGGTGTGGTCTGCCTGTAATGAGCTCAAGGGAGGCTGAAACACCAACAAAATAAATCGATCCATTAACCCGGACTGTTACCCCGTTAACACATACCTCAGCCTCCAGTGTGGCTATCACACGTCAGCCAGCCCCTCCCTGCCAAAATATGCCGTGTCCCAGCTACAGGAGGACCGGGCCTCACCCTTCTGATTTAAGGGCTGCGGGGAAGGGGTCCTGCCCGGGCAGCCTTCTCATCCACTCCGTGAGGACTTCCCCGCCACGAGGGCCAGGTGGCGCGGCCTTGGCAGTGGACAGATTAACAGGACTCCCCCGCCACGAGGGCCAGGCAGCGTGGCCTTGGCAGTGGACGGATTAAAGGGCTCCCCAGCCCGCGTGGGTTATGGGGCTTTTTCTATGCCCGTCGATCTGGCAGCGAACGCCAGGTGCCCGTAGACCCACCAAACCCCCCTGCAGTTGGTTTGTACCCCAGCTCCTTTTGCCTTGTAGCAGATCACCCCATAATTTAGTGGCTTAAAGTGACTGTTTCATTTTGTTCACAATCTTGTGGGTCAGGAACTCGGGAAGGCGGATGCTGTCCTGTGTGGCGGCCCCCATCACAAGGCTCACAGGCAGGACGTCCAGCAAGGGGCACGCACACACATGGCAGGGGGTGCGTGGACTCCGGAGGGTTCAGCTGGGGCAGGTGGCTGTGCGCGGCCTCTCCACAGCTGGGCTTCCTGGTGGTATGTGAATTTTGGTGGCCCAGGCTGGAATTACGATGCCCTCTGTGCCCCACCTTGGATGACCCGGTGGCGACTGTTGATGGATGCAGCCACACGCCTGCCCAGGTTCAAGGGGGCGGCACCGGGACCCAGGTCGGCCTGGCAGAAGGGTCCGGGAATGTGCATTCTTTGTGTATTTCACTGTTCTTTGCTTGTTCAGCAGAGTGAGGTGGCTGAGATTGGGGCTGAGAGCCTGTGACTCCACCACCGACGGACGGTGACCTTGGGCAAGCTCCTAGCTTCTCACAGCCCCGGCTTCCTCATCGGAGAAAGGATTCCTTTATTAGGATTAAATCAGTGAACACCTGTGGTGCCCTGAACCCCGTAACTGGCACTGAGTTGGTGCTTCACAGATGCCGGTGACCATGATTTCTTTCTCGCCTGGGACTCAGGGAGAGGCTGGTGGCTTCCCAGCTAAGCTTGCCAACCATGCCGGCCGTGTGGCCCGAGAAGGGTGGGGACGGCCCCGCTGAGGCACAGGCGGCCTCTCTCCCAGCCCCATCCCCGTCACGCGTGCTCATGAGAGCAGGACTTACTGCGGGGCTGTGCCTGCGAGTGTGGCCCTGGGGCCTGCCGCGGGGTGTGGTCGGTGTCTGGGGCATTAGTGAATGAACAGATAAGTCATCTGGATAGTCTCTCCATAAAGTGCTCGTGCCAGGGCAGGACGGGTGGGGCGTCAAAGGGAAGCGAGTTATTCATTGGCTGAACAGACTCCTGAGTGAGCTCAGGTGCTGGAGGCTGCTCTGGGTTCAGGTTCCACAGAGAGCAAAGCAGACAAAGCGTGCGCCTCGTGGGGCTTGCCTCTGGTGACCCAGGGCGAGATGGGGCGTGGGCTCCACCTGCGGTGGAGAGGCCTAAGTGGGGAGAAGACCAGGGAACGGTGCACGGAGCGGCCACCTGTGAGCCAGGATGGAGGAGCAGAGGCAGCTGCAGGGAACAGTGTTCCAGCAGAGGGATTGGCAAGGGCAAAGGCTCTGCCGCCCTGAGACTGGTACGTGTCCAGGGGAGGGCGGCCCCCTGCCCCATGCACTGGCACAGGTGTGTGCCCCAGGACCACGTGGCCATGTGTTCTGCCCCTGGCTCCTGTGCACCCGTGTCTAACCCGTCCACACCGGCGGCCTCTCTGATCAATTCAGCCCAATTAGAGGAGTAATTCTCCCGTCTTGGGGCCAATTTACATTTCTGCGACGGTAGAAATGCCAGCTGCTCATCTTCTAATGAGGAAAGTCCTAGAGCCAGTTAGAGGAAAATGAGTCCATCGCGTCTATTAGGCTTAATAAAGGTCAGGACGGAATCAAGTGTGAGAGTCGGGCCAGGAAAGCCATCTGCAGAGCGGAAGTTGGAAATCGTTTGCTCTCTGTCTTGAAACGCTCGGACATGCTGCTCCTCGGGTGTTACAGGAAAACCTCCTCTTGCACACGGAAGGCACCTCCTGGACCCTCGAGACCCCACTCCGCTGGGGGGCTGTGTGAGCATCAGAACGTCTGGGGCCGGGGGGGTGGCTTTTGCAATTCTCCAAGGGGGTGGGTTCATCAAGATCCTGTTAATAAGCCCTGTCTCGCCAGAGGCAAAGAGGTGTCACCCTTCCTCTGGGGAGGGAGCGAGGAGGTGCTGACTGGCCGCCCTGTCTTGCCAGAGGCAAAGAGGTATCACCCTTCCTCTGGGGAGGGAGCGAGGAGGTGCTGACGGGCCGCCCTGCCTCGCCAGAGGCAAAGAGGTATCACCCTTCCTCTGGGGAGGGAGCGAGGAGGTGCTGACGGGCCGCCCCGCCACCCACACTCAGGGAAAGGGAGTGCCGGGGTCAGAGGGACGCTGGGGAGGGACGCCGGGGAGGGATGCAGGTGTCAGAGGGACGCCGGGGAGGGACGCGGGGGTGTCTCCTTTCTGCATGAGTGGAGGGCAGAGGGAGAGGCTGGAGAGAGACTGAAGCCCTGTTCTTGTTCTCTAGAGCTGCTTTGTCCAAGGGCTTGTTCCAGCCACAGGTGGTTGGTGCCCCCCCGCCACCCCTGCTGGGGCGGCACATGGCGTCCTCACCAAGTCTGGCACCGCCACTCCCCAGCAGACCACAGAGCAGGCTGTAGCTACAAGACGGGCCACTCACCTGCCCACAGCCCCTGCTCAACCTCAGCAGGTCAACCAGGCCTCCAGGCTGCAGGGAGGAGACAGATGGGGAAACCGAGGCTCAGAGCAAGAAGGTGTGGGGACGGGGAGGTCTCTGTCCATTTGCACATCCCTGTGGGGAAGCCCCGCTGAGCACGAGGGGTCTTCAGAAGACCCCTCCACGTTGCCTTTGGACCCTGCCTCTGCCCATTAACCAGCGGGGCTGCCTCCGTACCCTGAGCCTCCGTTTCCCCATCTGTCACTAAGGATGACAATACGACTACACCCCTGGGGCTCTTTCAGGATTAAACGCAGTGGGGCTCTCAGTGCCTGGGATACAGCAAGCATGCTAATTTTCATCACGTGCAGACATTCCTTAAACACCAGTTTTCTTTTCTTTAGAAAAGCTGTTTTAGATGTAAAAGCACTGGATATAAGTTAACTAGAACAAAATAAAAATCACCCACAATTCTGCCTCTGTCTGGGCCGAGACGTGCACCTCGCTGGAGCCCGTCTGCGTCTGTCAGACTCTGTCTGTGGTGCGTGCGTGTGCCTGGGTGTAACGCGGCCTGAGGTGTTGCTTTCACAGGCACACGCTTCGGAGGGAGCTGCGGCCAGCAGGGTCGGGGAGCTGGGCCGGGGAGAGGGTCGCAGGCCTTTGTCCGTGCAATGCACTTCCCCACACGCGTTCGGGGACGGCACCATGCACAGCTGCACGCTGGTGCCCCGGGGTTCTGCTGACGAGCTGGGGAGCCATTTCGGTGCCTCCGTTCCATCTGGCACAGAAACGATTCTTCCTGTATCTGAGTCTCTCCTCATGCCCTAGCCATTTCCTCAGGCTGAATTTCTAGAAGCGAAATTACTGACTCAGGAAACGCATATTTTCATGGATTTATGTACAATTTGCCAAATTCACCTCCCTCCTCCCAAAGAAAAAGCTATGGGTTGTGTGTGGGTGTGGGTGTGTGTGTGTATGGGGTGTATGTATGTGTGTGGGGGGGATGGGTGTGTATGTACAGTGTGGGGTGTGTATACAGTGTGTATGGGGTGTATGTGGGGTGTGTACAGTGTGTGGGGTATGTATATGGTGTGTGTGGGGCGTGTTTATGGAGTGTATGTGTGTGGGGTGTGTATGTACAGTGTATGGGGTGTGTATATGGTGTGTGTGGGGTGTGTTTATGGGATGTGTGTGGGTGTGTATATGGGGTGTATGTGTGGGATGTGTATGTACAGTGTGTGGGGTGGGTGTATGGGGTGTATGTGTGTGGGATGTGTATTTGGTGTGTATGTACAGTGTGTGGGGTGGGTGTTTGGTGTGTATGTACAGTGTGTGTGGGGTGTGTATATGGGGGTGCATGGGGTGCATGTGGGGTGTGTATATACAGTGGGGTGTGGGGTGTGTGGTGTGTATGTGTGTGGGGTGTATGTGGGTGTGTATATACAGTGGGGTGTGGGTTGTGTGTTGTGTATGTGTGTGGGGTGTGTATATGGTATGTATGGGGCATATGTGTGGCGTGCATGTGTACAGTGTGTGGGGTGGGTGTATGTGTGTGGGATATGTCTGTACAGTGTGGGGTGTGTACATGGGGTATATGAGGTGTATGTGTGTGGGATGTGTATGTACAGTGTGTGGGATGTGTATATGGGGTATAAGGGATGTATGTGTGAGGTGTATGTACAGTATGTGCAGCGTGTATATGGTGTGTATGAGGTGTATGTGTGGGGTGTGTATGTACCGTGTGTGGGGTGTGTGTATATGTTGTGTATGGGGTGTATGTGTGGGTTGTGTATGTACAGTGTGGGGTGTATGTGTGTGGGGTGTGTATATGGTGTGTATGGGGTGTATGTGTGGGGTGTGTATGTACAGTGTGGGGTGTGTGGGATGTATGTGTGTAGGGTGTGTATTTGGGGTGTATGCGTGTGGGATGTGTATGTACAGTGTGGGGTGTGTGTATAGTGTGTATGGGGTGTATGTGGGGTGTGTACAATGTGGGGTGTGTGGGGTGTATGTGTGTGGGGTGTGTACAGTGTGTGGGGTGTGCATATGGGGTGTATGGGGTGTGTGTGTGGGTTGTATATGTACAGTGTGTGGGGTGTGGGTTGTGGGGTGTGTGGTGTGTATGGGGGGTGTGTATACACAGTGTGTGGGGTGTGGGTTGTGTGGTGTGTGTGAGGGTATGCATGTACAGTGGGGTGTGGGTTGTGTGGCGTGTGTGGGGTGTATACAGCGTGTGTAGTGTGGGTTGTGGGGGGTGTGTATGTACAGTGTTGTGTGTATGGGGTGTGTACGTACAGTGTGTGTATGGGGTGTGTACGTACAGTGTGTGGAGTGTGTGTGTGGGGTGTGTATATACAGTGTGTGGGGTGTGGGTTGTGTGATGTGCATGTGTGGGGTGTGTATATATAGAATGTGGTGTGTGGGTTGTGTGGGGTGTGTATGTACAGTGTGGGGTGTGTGTTGTGTGTGGCATGTGTATATACAGTGTGTGGAGTGTGGATTGTGTGGTATGTATGTGTGTGGGATGTGTATGTACAGTGGAGTTTCAGTTGTGTGGTGTGTGTGTGGGGGGTGTATATAGTGTGTGGGTTGTGTGGTGTGTATGTGTGTAGGGTGTGTACAGCGTGTGGGGTGTGAGTTGTGTGGTATGTATATGTGGGGGTGTTTATGTACAGTGTGTGGCATGTGGGTTGTGTGGGGGTGGTGTGTATGTAGTGTGGGGTGGGTTGTGTGGTGTGTGGGGGGTGTATAAGTATAGTATATGGGATGTGTATATGGAGTATATGCAGTGTATGTGTGTGGGKTGTGTATGTACAGTGTGTGGGTTGTGTGGTATGTGTGTAGGGTGTGTACAGTGTGTGAGGTGTGAGTTGTGTGGTATGTATATGTGGGGGTGTGTATGTACAGTGTGTGGCATGTGGGTTGTGTGTGGGGGGGTGGTGTGTATGTAGTGTGTGGGGTGTGGGTTATGTGGTGTGTGGGGGGGGTGTACGTATAGTGTATAGGGTGTGTATATGGGGTGTATGTGTGTGGGGTGTGTATGTACAGTGTGTGGGGTGTGGGTTGTGTTTATGCATGTGGCACGTGTATATACAGTGTGTGCAGTGTGGATTGTGTGGTATGTGTGGGGTGTGTACATTACAGTGTGTGGAGTGTGGGTTGTGTGGTGTGTATGTGGGAGGGTGTGTATGTGTGTGGGGTGTGTGTATGAGATGTATGTGTGTGGGGTGTGTACAGTGTGGGGTGTGGGAGGGGTGTGGGGTGTGTATGGTGTATGGGGCGTATGTCTGGTGTGTATGCACAGTGTGTGGGGTGTGTAGTGTGGGGTGTATAGGTACAGTGTGGGGTGTGTATGTACGCTGGGGTGTGTATATGGGGTGTATGGGGTGTATGTTTGTGGGGTGTGGGTTGTGTGGTGTGTGTGTGTGGGGTGTGGGTTGTGTGGGGTGTGGGTTGTGTGGGGTGTATGTGGGGTGTGTGGGGTGTCTGTGTATGGGGGTGTGGGTTGTGTGGGGTGTGGGTTTTGTGTGTGTGTGGGGTGCGGGTTGTGTGGGGTGCATGTGTGTTGTGTGGCGTGTCTGTGTGTGTGGTGTGCGGGTTGTGTAGGGTGTGGGTTGTGTGGTGTGTGGCGGGGGGTG